>NC_000008.11:29557072-29860102 GCF_000001405.40 Homo sapiens | reverse complement strand
AGGTGACATTTGGGGTGAGAACTGAATATCATGAAGAAGTGTGTCATGCAGCAACGGAGGGCAATACACTCTAAGCTGATGGGAGAGTATATGGACATATACTATAGTATATATGTGTGTATATATGTACATTTATACACATGCATACATCCAGGGGATGGAGATGAGCTCAGCATTTCAAGGACAAGAACGAAGACCAGTGAGATGGGAGAGGAGAAAAGTGCAGGGCCTGACTTGGGTAAGGTCTTCTAGGCCACAATACAGAGCTTGGATTTTATTCTAAGAGCCTCCAGTGGACCGGCAAAGATTTCTTCTTTTTTTTCTTGTTGTGCAATGGCCTGATCTCGGCTCACCACAATCTCTGCCTCCCAGGTTCAAGCGATTCTCCTGCCTCAGCCTCCCGAGTAGCTGGGATTACAGGCATGCGCCATCAGGCAAAGATTTTAAGCAGGCAAAGACATGACTTGATGAGTCAGTTCCCCCAGAACTGGGAGAATGGTCAGGAGGTGACTGCTGCAGTGCAAAGAGATTCCTTGCAGGGACAGGGCAGCAGAGGTGGAAGTGGTGAGAATCTGTTAGTCCTGCAGGGACAACAGAACCAGGACTGTAAATGGGCTGTGGGGGAAAGGGAAGAATCAGGGACGGCTCCAGTGCTGGGAACTGAGCATCTGGATGAATGAAGCCGTCACCTGAGACAGGGAAGAAAGTGTATCCTGGTTTTAGGGGGAACATCAGAAGTGGGAGTGATCAGGGTGAGAATTGCTGAGAAAGACACCAACCAGGGGTTAAATGAAAAAGAGAATAGAAACCAGCACAGAAGTTCAGGCCAGGACTTGTTTTTGGCCAGGCCTCTCCCAGGTAGAGTTGCCACATGAAATACAGGATGCTCAGTTACATTTGAATGTCAGATAAACAGTGAATCATTTTTTAGTATATATCCCATGCAATATTTGGGGCATACTTCACACTAAAAATTACTTATCTGAAATTTAGATGTAACTAGGCATCCTGTATTTCTACTTGCTAAATCTGGTAACTCTACTCCCAGGCCTGTTTTGCTAAATGCTTTGGAGTCTGGGGTGTGGTGAGAGTAGGCACCTTTTGTACTGGGGCATATCTGTGCACCATGAGCTGAGGACAGTGGGAGAGACCAATCCTGTGTGTCTCTTTTGTACAGAACTTACAGTTTAAAAAGTGCTTTTATTTTCACCACCTCTTTTGATCCTTCTGTGGGCAGACATCACTCTACTTTTTAAATTTCAATGCAAAAGTCAAAGGGGTCAAATGACTTGCTCAAGATCATGTAACTAGCAAGGTACAGAGCCAGGACTAGCACACTGGAAACTTTATGTACCCAGTGTTCATGATACAATTTCTCTTTCCTATCAGAACCTTAGCTTAGCGAGCTCTACTCATGAACTACTCTCAGCTCAAAAGGAGAAAAGTGAGAAGTCTAAGCCAATCTCATAGGGTATTGCCCTGGTGACTGTTACTGGTCAAGGTGGACTCATGACCTAAATCAGCTCAGTCAGCCTGAAAGGAAGGATGTAGCCCATCGTCAGTGGAGACATTTCCCTGTTGTACTCTCCATCCAGACCTAAGTGAGGACATATGTAAATCTCATTTGGACTGGTAACTATCACAATCAATCAAGAAACCAGCCTAGGGTGAAGTTGACTCTGAGGAAAGCTCAGCAGAGAAATGAAAAGAATTTGGGTCCATGATAATCTCTTTGTTTTTGTTTTTTTTTTTTTTTTTTTTTGAGACAGAGTCTCGCTCTGTCACCCAGGCTGGAGTGCAGTGGGGCGATCTTGGATCGCTGCAACCTCCGCCTCCTGGGTTAAAGTGATTCGCCTGCCTCAGCCTCCTGCCTGAGTGGCTTGGATTATAGGTGCACATGGCACCATCACGCATGGCTAAATTTTTGCATTTTTAGTGAAGATGGGGTTTCAACATGTTGACCAGGCTGGTCTTGAACTCCTGACCTTAGGTGATCAGCCAGCCACCTCTGCCTCTCAAAGTGCTGGGATTACAGGCATGAGCCACTGAGCCTAGCCCATGATAATATCTTAAAATTTTTATTTTATTTTATTTTATTTTTTAAAGGTAACAGAGTCTTACTCTGTTACCTAGGCTGGAATGTAGTGGGGCAGTCATAGCTCACTGCAGCCTTGAACTCCTGGGCTCAAACAATCCTCTTGCCTCAGCCTCCCAAGTAGCTAGGACTACAGACACATACCACCATACCCAGTTAATTATTATATTTTGTTTTTGTAGAGACAGGGTCTTGCCATATTGCCCAGGCTGGTCTTGAACCCCTGACCTCAAGTGAGGCTCCTGCTTCGGCCTCCCAAGGAACTGGGATTACAGGCATGGGTCACTGTGCCTGGCTTCCACGATGACATCTTGAGCAGCTGATTTTTACCTGGCTTGCCGCCACTCACTTCTGAGCTCCCGGTTGTGTGAGCTAATACATTGCTTAGTGGTTAAGCCATTTTGACCCAGAATTTTCTGTTCTTTGCCACCCAAATCATCTTGACTGCTGCAATGAACACCTAGCTCTCTTGCCTCCAGGATTTTCCCCATTGTAGTCCATGGCCACTATACCCAGAGACAAAGGCTGAGGTTTTGCCACAGAGCTATTCAGAACAGGTTTCAAATACCAGCACCCTTTAAAGAAGAGTTTTTGAGGTAGGAGGAGACAGTGGCAATACGTGGGCTGATGAGCCTTTGTAGCTGCTCACAGGCAACAGCCAGGAGTGGCAGGAGGGTGATGTTCATGTGATTGCAGAGCCTCCTGCTTAGGAGTTGAAATTGACTTGAGGCCACCAGGGAACCTGGAGAAAAGATGTGATAGGATAGAAAAAAGGTGCAGGAAATGATCCTGGCTCATATATTTTAGGAAGAGCAAACTTGCTTTATCCTTTCAGATGTGTATGAATGAAGCTTTTGAAAAGCAAATAGAGAGTGGGTGTTCTTGAGATCATTCCTTTTTTTTTTTTTTTTTTTTTTTTTTTTTTTTTTTTATTGAGACAGAGTCTCACTCTGTCACCCAGGCTGGAGAGCAGCGGTGTGATCATAGCTCATTGTGGCCTCAACCTCCTGGGCTCAAGCTCTCCTCCCACCTCAGCCTCCCAAGTATCTAGGACTATAGGCACACGCCACCACGCCCAGCTAATTACTGTTTTTTGTTTTCTGTTGAAATGGAGTCTTGCTGTGTTGCTCAGGTCGGTTTCGAACTCTTGGCCTCAAGTGACCCTCCCACCTTGGTCTCCCAAAGTGTTGGGATTGCAGGTATGAGCCACCGTACCCAACCTTGAGATAATTACTTAATAGTTGGTGTTTGCTCAAGTAATTGCCTGGAAGGAATCAGTCCTCTCTCAATTTGCAGTGAGCTATGCTCTGCGGCTCTCCCCGTTTATGCAGAGGAATGGTTTGATTATGTCAAACATCCATGCAGACTCTTTGTCTCCTTCAGGGGCCCTTGAACTTTTGCTCAGCCTACAATTTGGGCTGATCTCTCTCAGAAAAGCCAATGGTTTTTGTTTGTTGGGTTTCACTTGCTCATGGGGAAGGCAAGGCAGATGAGGCTGAGGTCTAAGGGCTTGACCCTATTCCTTTCTAAAGCTACTGTGGTCCTGATGTCATGGTATGGGATGGTATAGTTTATCATTATAAGCAACAGAGCTGGATTTCAAGGCTCTCATATTGATTGTCTAGGGCTACTGTAACAAATTACCATAAAGTTGGTGGCTTGAAATTACAGAAAAGCATTCTCTCACAGTCCTGGAGGCCAGAAGTGTGAAATCAAGGTGTTGGCAGGGCCGTGCTCCCTCTGGAGGCTCTGGGAGATTCTGTCTGTCTTGCCTCTTCCAGCTTCTGGTGGCTCCAGGTGTCCCTTGACTTATGGCCACATCACTCTAGTCTCTGCCTCCTTCTTCACACAGCCTTTTCTTTTGTCTGCATAATCTCCCTCTGCCTCACTCTTATAAGGGCCTCATCACTGGATTTAGGGCCCACCTGCATAACTCAGAATGCTCTCACCGTGAGATCCTTAATTTAATTACATCTGCAAAGACACGTCTTCCAAAAAAGCCACATTCACAGGTTCTGAGACAGGGACGTATGTATTTTGGGAGACCACCATTTACTCACTACACAGCTCTCTTTTGCAACTATCAAGTTATGCCATTGAAACTCTTTGAGTCTCACTGCTGTCATCTACATTTTCATGGGTATATAGCAACTGACTTTCTCATTTCACAGCTTGTGGAGATCCACACCTTCCCCTAAGTGGCTGAAGAGGCATGGGAGGGTGGGGAGGGCTGGAGCTGGGGAGTGGTCTCTGTTATTTGGGTAGGCATGTGGGGAGGCAAGAGGCGTGGGGGAAGGGAGAATGTGCTGTGTACTCTGCCCCACTGAGGGAAGGGAAACCATGGAAGAAGTAGCTGAAGCAGGAACTGTGGGCGGATGTGAGCAGCCCCCACATAGACACACACTACATGTGCTTGCCTGGGTCCTCAACTGGGAACACCAGCCCTGTTCATTTAAAAGCAGATGAAAAATCAAGAAAAACCGATGAGTCAGGGAGGAGGGCAAGGAGGATGAGAAAGGGAAAACAAGAAATAAAATACTGTTAGGTTCTGTCTTAGTCCATTTGTGTTGCTATAAAGGAATACCTAAGGCTGGGTAATTTATAAAGAAAAGAGGTTTATTTGGTTCACAGTTCTGCAGGCTATAGGAAGCATGGTGCTGACATCTGTATCTGGTTAAGGCTTCAGCCTGCTTCCACTCATGGTGGAAGGTTGAGGGAGCTGGCATATGCAGAGATCACATAGAGAGAGTAAGCAAGAGAGAGATGGTGGGGAGGGGCCAGGCTCTTTTTAACAACCAGCTCTCACCGGAACTAATTGAGCGAGAACTCACTTATGACCATAGGACATCACCAAGCTATTCATGAGGAATCTGCTTCCATGACCCAAACACCCCCATCAGGCCTTACCTCCAACATTGGGGATCAGATTTCACTATGAGGTTTGGAGGCATCAAATACTCAAACCATAGCAAGTCTTTCTCTGGTTATGTGTGAAGATAAAACAGAAAACCTCTGTTCTTCTTTAGAATTGTTTTTTTTAAACCCACAAGAAGAAAAAGAGGAGCCAGGACCCTGAGAGCTGCAGTGATCTGAGAGGAGAGTGTTCAGGGACACTCAGATGTCCTGGGCAGGAGGAGCCTCAGAAAGGAGTCCTTGGATAGGATGCTCTGCAGTTTAAAGTGTAGAAGGATTGCACCAGGGACAAAGTCCAGGGGAGCCCAAATTCTGGGTTCTTCTGAGATTTCCCTTCTGGTGTGGTTTGGCTGTGTTTCCACCCAAATTTCATCTTGAATTGTACTTCCCATAATCCCCATGTGTCGTGGGAGGGTCCTGGTGGGAGGTCATTGAACCATGGGGGCAGTTACCCTCATGCTGTTCTCGTGATAGTGAGTGAGTTCTCACAAGATCTGATGGTTTTATAAAGGGCTTTTCCCCCTTTTGCTTGGCACTTCTTCCTGCCGTCAAAGGATATGTTTGCTTCCCCTTCTGCCATGATTGTAAGTTTCCTGAGGCCTCCTGAGCCATGCGGAACTGTGAGTCAATTAAACCTCTTTCCTTTATAAATCATCCAGTCTTGGGCAGTCCTTTATAGCAGCATGAGAACAGGCTAATACACCTTCCCTCAGTGGGGCAGAGCACACTGCACATTCTCCCTTTCCCCCAAGCTTCTTGCCTCCCCCCATGCCTATGCAAATAACAGTGACCACTCCCTCACCCTAGTCCATTTGAATTCCAAGAAAGAAGGGAAAGCACTGTTGATGAATTGTTCACCCTGTGTGAGGACATGTGATCTTGCCTTGTGATGACCCCAGAAAAGGATTATTTAAATAGATGAGGAAACTTCAGCTCAGAGAAATCCAGTGATTTGCCTGAGGTCGCGCGGAGAAATTGATCTGCTTCAGGATTGAAACTCTAGTCTGTCTGGCTTCAAAGTTTCTGTTCTGTCTGCTCTCACTGGCTGCCCTTGAGGCTTCAAAGGAAGTAGCCCCTAACTGGTGCTTACATACGGCAGTTCTTTACTTCTGGTCTCAACTTTTGTTATTTCTCATTTAAAAAGCAAGTGGTGATCATTTGTGTTTCATAAAAGTATGTTATTTAATTGTAATCCTGTATTTCATTGCAAAAGGGTGACTGGTGCACGGTGTGTGCTCACATTCATATTACGACAAGTGTGTAAAATCACTGTGGGTGGCTTCCCAGACATGGTGCCTTTGGGGTTATGTAGCTTGATGGAAGAGCACGCCTTGAAGATTCAACTCCATTACACATTTGCAAATCTCGTAACTAGGGAAACTCTAGCCTAGTTTTCTATCTCTTCGAAATTTTGTCATTGAGGGTAGGGCCAAGATCAAAACACACAATTTTGCATCAAGGATGAATAGTAGCACTGTAGAAACACTGCTGCCAAATAGAGATGTCAAGAATGATTTTCTTCAAACCCACTTTTCCACAACAGTGACGTGTTTCAAGGAAGTGAGTTATCTACCTGAGGGAAGGACAAAAATGTCTTTTCCTTCAGGCCCAGGAAGATCAGATGGCTGAGTCACACCGACAGACAGTCTGTCAAAGTGCAGGCCCTTAAGTGGTTTCACATTTTAATCTTCTCATTGGAATTTCAAAGGTTTAGTTCTTTCAGAACCTCAGCCTCCCTGCTCTTTAAGTTTGCGTCAGAGCAAAGGGAGGAGTTCTGCAATTAGGCGCAAGTAACACATCTGGAATTTGAATGGATAGGTCCTGATTCCAGCCTCCGAAAGGTTTGAGATGAGAACAAAGTAAGCCAATGAGGAGAGATCCCCCAGGGATGAGGTTATGCCCCTGCCATTAACATTTACCGAACTGGAGAAGAAAAAAAGCAATAGCAGCAGTAATGGTGACAGATTCCATGTTTGTTGAGGTGCCAGGCTGTGGCATATCCTGTATGTGAGTCACCTCAGTCCTTTCCTAAAACTCAACATTCAGGTGATATGGGACCTGAAGGGGTTAGGAGCAGCCCCCGGAGACAGACTGCTGGGCTCAAACCCAAGCTTGGAAGAAGAGGGTACGTAGGGTCACGTATGTGAAGCACTTATAGGGCGTCTGGTACATTCTAAGTCCTGTACAAGTATTGGTGCTTATTATCCTCCTTCCTGTTTCTGAGGCTGGTGGAGCCTTAATGACCTCTCCAGGTTGAGAACTGACAGGAACTTTCCCACAGGGTTCCATCTCTCCACCTACAGTTTCTCCTGGCCACAGGCAATTCTTCATTTTGAGGAAGTGACCAGAGAAGGAAGGTTCTGGGAAAATGACTTGATTTTTATTCAGTGGTCTCGGAGGAGGACATTTATTCTGCCTACTAAATATGACACGATTCTGAGCTAGTCTCTCCCAGGCCCTCAGGCTTTTCTGGCCTGAACAGCCCTTGCAGTTGCCCAGCAAGAGTTGAGCTGCCCACCTGAGCTCAGGCCCTTCTCTGGCTCACAGAAGCCAAAGTCTCTTAATTAATTCACTCATTTTCCCTGAGTCTCTTCAGGAACTCTGTGATGTTTAACTACATCATCAATAAGCTCCCTTGTAGCTCTAAAATGCTGTAATTCTAATACCAATTAATATTTGGATGAACTCTGGGACTCCATATAAATCACCAGCATTTTACTTCTGCTGGGACTCTGTCAAGCTCAGCAAAGTACTTGTCTCTGAGGTTCCTGCCTTATTGGTTAAGTGTGGGTGAGGCCTGGGGCTTGTGTGTTTGTCTGGTGGGGGCACCATTCTGATGAGTCCAGAGCAGAAGGATCCGTCTCTAGTGGATGCTGTTAATGGTCACAGACTTAACTTTTAACACTGCAGAGAAAGTGTTACAAACAGAACAGGGAGAGAGTGTGGACAGATTAGAGAGAACCCCGTCCAATTGATTCATGAATCACTCAGAGAGTTGTGGGCAGTCAGGCCATTTCCTATTTTAAGCATGAATTAATTTACACTTCTGACTAGTAATGAGAATGTTGAAGGCAAAAAAAGCCATAGCCTTTTACATCTGGATGTGAACTCGACTAAAAACAAACATGGTCTTACTGAAGAACCCCAGGATTTTTTGGATTGCATTTTGTTTAAGGGATAAGTAAAGATGAAACAGGCCTGGATGTTAGTGTAGCAGTGACAGTGACCTAGAGGCAGACATCAATGTGGTCACGGACTCCCTGCAACATCATGAAGGAAGTCTCTAGAAGAAATATTATCCAGAACTTGCCCTGTTCCTTTGAAATGCATACCTACCAAGACACAGGGTTAACCATGGGCTGTTGCTTTGTCAGATGTTATTTCCAAACTCTATGCCAAAATCCTTCTTGATAAATTGGATAGGACAAAATGTTATGGTTATTTATATGTTGTCTTGGCTTTTTTTTTCATTCCCAGCTAATTTTTAAATTATTTTAAAAGAGATAAGGTCTTGCTGTACTGCCAAGGCTGGTCTCAAACTCCTGGCCTCAAATAATCCTCCTGTCTCAGCCTCCTGAGTAGCTGATATTATAGGCATTATAGGCATGAGGCACTGTACTTAGCAAGTTTCTGCTTCTCAAAATGAGCAGATCCTGCAACTGGGATCTTTGTTATGTGAGTCTGGACAAGGAGTTATGTGAGTTTGTAGGATGCAATTGAAAAAAAGCGTGAGATAGGAGGCCCAGAGGAGGATTTTTGGAGCTGAAACACTGGAATCTTGAGGATGAGAGCTGCAAGAGAAAATGAGAGACCCCTTGATGAAAGGCTGGGGAGAAATCAAATATTACATGAAGATTCAGAGCATTCACTGTGGTATATGTGATGAAAAAAAAAAGTTTCTCTAACTTTCTTATGAAATTTTCATCGATGTAAGTTGGACTATTGTTCAGATGGGAATAGATTCTTTCCAGAAAGTGGGAAGTTTTGCTGAGCCTTGCATTAAGGCAGGCAGAGAAAGCCAACGTGGGAATTATGGGTAGATCCCTGTGGGTCACAATTGCTACTCAACCTGGTGGATCTTCTTCAGTGTGCATGCACACACACACACATATACACACACACACAGAGCTACATACTACAGGGTGTAGTGCGAGTGCATTTGGGATACTAACCTCAGTTAATGCACACACACAATTGCATGGGCCCCTACGGTCATGTGTTTGCTGTGCTCACTTTGCTCTCTGGCTTTGTCCCATAGTGTTTACCTTTATTGTGCTCTCTTCCCTGTTTTATTATTTATCTGGAATAAATAATATTATTTATCTGGAAGTTCTTATTATTTATCTGGAAGTTCACAGTGCATTTTAGAACCTGTCTCTAATCTTATTTGGATGGAGCTTGTATAACTAAGTGCATACTATTCAATTTCAATCATATTCTGCAGATGCAAGAACCAATGTCATCGTGGACGATTACCCTGTCAACATGGTTACTCAGACTGCTAAAATCACTTTCCTTTCAGCTTTATTGTAATTGGGAAAAGAGGGGGATTAAAAATACACATTAGCCAAAGGACTGTGATAATGACCATGTCCTGATGTCCTGGCTGCATGATGCTGGATGCCCCTTTATGTCTATGTTCCACTGTCATGAGGGGTGTTCCCCATGGGCAATGCTGTCTGTGGTCTTAAGCATCCTGAAGCCAGGGCCTCCCTAATTTCCTTTAACTGGAACTCAGGCACCTTGATCAGAGAAAAGCTATTTTTTGCCCCAGCTCTGCTGAGCTAGATTCCATCTCAGATTATATTAAGGGAACTGCCTTTATCTGTGGTTGCTAAGGAATAGCTTTTCCTCTCCAATTAATTGTTTTTCCTTCAAGAAGCCCCAACCTACACAACACTTGGTAGTAATTTAAAATGAGCCAAAGAGCTGCAGCTTCTATTAGAGGCATAAAGGAACCCGCTAAGAGTTATTAGGGGTCACCAGGGCCTGTCTTTAACTAAACACCGAATTGCTATTTTAGAACAAAGGAGACTTCTCTTTGGAAAACACTGATCTACTGCTTGATTTTTCCAATTATAGGCTGAACTCCCCCCTGCCCACGAGCCTGCTAGTCAGACTTTCATTAATCTTGCTATCTCATGCGCAGGGCTCCTGGCTGAATGCAGGCGTCACAGAGAGAGGGGGGCATGCTTTCAGTGGAAGTCCGCTTCCCACCCTGATCTATGAGTCAAGAATTAGATTGCGCTGCTCACCTGCTGTGGAACAAAATGCGTTAAGCACCTGCCCCTCCAGATCTGGGGTGTGTGTGTGTGTGTGTGCGCGCGCGGCGTTCCCAGACCTGGATGGGCAGGTCTGTGGCAGGAAGCTGGGTTGCAGAACCAGTGTGGAGCAGGTAACCCGGGCTGCAAATGCTGCTCTCACACTGGCTGTCAGTGGGTTGTTCCTGCCCTACTTCTCCCAGGAAGGCTGGATTCCACACCTACGGCTGTCATCATCTTGTGTGGTTCTGGGGATCAGAGTGGGGCTAGTTTTGGTACAAATCTAATTCACAAAATTCTAGTGTCACTAAAAGAGCTTGTTAAATGTGAGCTGGGCTTTAGGAAGTGGCATGTTGGTAGACATGCATCTCTTTTTGGTAGGGCACATTGCCTGGTACTTACTCAATGATCAGGCACTAAGGAAACTTTTTCTGATCTCTCCATTTTGTATAGGCTCCTCCTGTCCTGTCTGTTGTCTTAGCAAGCTCTGCTTCCCTTGTTCACAGCATCCCCATCACAATGGTGGTCACTGGACCCCTATGGTCTGGGTAAGTTTTCAGGAGCAAAGGTCAGATCTCAATCATCTCCACATCCCCTGGCTCTCAGGAAGGAGTTACCCAAGCTTTGCTGGATGTTTGGTGAAGACGGGGAGAGAATGAAAGATGTCAAAACTAATTTTCCAATTAAGCTATTGAGACAAGTTTATTCAAATATTTACGTACTTTCTGATGTTTTATTTCTCCCATAAATAACCTAGTTCTTTCTTCACGGACTCCAGGACTTTCTTCTTCTTTGTCCAGAACCCTGGGGGGAGCCCTGGGGTTCCCTACCCTGTCCCCTCCAAAGCTCACTCTTGCTCCCAGGGCTCTGGGCACTTGTAGGGAAAGTCCAGCTTCCATAGATGGGGCATCAGGACCCTGGTGGGGGGGAGGGGCTGGGAGATGTGCTAAGGTATCTCAAACTGGAAATGGGATTCCAACTGGAGGGAGCTCTTCCGTGGAGCTACCTACAAATGGTGCCTAGCAGGTTGCATGACTAAGTTACATATATATATTTTTAACTGAGTCAGTTTTGATTCAAAACACATATTTTTAATCAATTCTTTTCTCCTATATCGTATAAGAAACTGGCATTTGCCAAAGAATTAAAACATAGGAAACATCTCGAGAGTGCTTCAACTTGCAGAAAATACTAGATCCTTCCAGTTATTTTCCAAAGACCAGCTAAGCTGGAGTTTTTACAAAAATAAAAATAAAAATAAGAGATTTTCTTTACAGTATCCTGAACATTATAGTGGCACATTATATCGACTAACTTCAGCTGACGCAAGGAAAGAAAGAAAAAAAGAAGTGGTGATGGGTGACTCATCGGCTCTCAGCAGAGCAATTACGCAGGGCACAAAGCGTGCGAGAACAGCCCTGCCACAGAGGAGGGAGTGAAAGGATGGAAACAAAGAACAGGACGCTTCAGTGCAGAGGGTTTGTGTCTATGTGGCCAAATGGCCCTGCGTAGGACACTCATCGTGAAAGCTCGGCTGATGGAAACCTGAGTCCTTTGCAGTTTCTTTTTTTTAGAAGTGATTTCAGTGATAGAGCAGCTCCTATTTTAACAGTGTCCTTGGTGCAACCAGCTCTAAGATTTTGAAATCCTGATAAGTAGGAACTAGAAAAATGGTTTAAAAGCTGCTAGCCATTTTTGTGAAGGCATCAATTTACTTTTGGGGGAGACATCATTGTTTTCTAAAAGCCTCTGCATGGGCTCTTGGATTAAACCTGTGTGGAGGCAGGTAGCCCGGGTCTGAGGGTCGAACTGGGAGGCAATTTAACTGGGAGGCATATGTCTTAGACTGAGATATGGTGATCTGCTGGGTGATGTTTATTTTGGGATAGGATTGAGGGACATCTGGGTCTCTGAGTGTGGCTTTTTGGTAGGGGATGAAGGGAGAGGAAGCATAGCTCACCCTCTGTCTTTGGGGGACCATAGAAGACTGGAAACTGAGCAGGAAGGCTGGTCTGACCCCCTCTCGTTGCAGTTGTATTCCAAGTGTCTATGTTATATTTCTCTCCTGTTAGCCCCAATACCATCAGTTAAGTCTTGTCCACAATTTCAAAATCTGGTCTCAGCAATTGCTGCAGGGAATTAAGGGAAGGGTCTTGGTCCATTTACAAGACAGTGAGTGAAGGGAGGAGCTTAGCTGCTGTAGGATGAGGTGACCTGCAGCAGAAGACTGGTGTCCCAGGGCCAGAGAGGAGGTGGCTTCTGAAGCTGGGCAGCCCACCTTGGGGACCAGCCACACCAAGACTCATTGGCAGGCTATCTGAGAACTCTTGCTGGGGATGGAGGGTGTTCCAGAAACATGTGGGAAGGGAAGCCTGAGTGGATTTTGGGAGCCAGTGAAGGGTGTGGTATCCACAGCTCAATTGACCATGACCGTCCCAAGGATTCTGGGGCCCAAGATTGGTTAACTAAGACCATCACAGTCACAGAGCGAGGTAACTCCATTCTTTTCTCACCTTTTGAACTTGCTCTGAGTCTGCTAGCCATGGGCTTTGCATCAGGACTTGGTCTGGCTGTCTTGATGTATTGAAGCATTTCTCCTAGGTCTATTCAAACCAGTGACTGACAGAATAGAGTGTGACCACTGCATGGCATGGCAATTCTTTAGCTCGGTGGCACATGATGTATTCTATGCCTCCTACCCCTAAGAAGCTCCGCATAGGCTTAGCATTACAACGTGACTGTTTCGGTCCCTGAGTCATCCTGGAGAGCAAAGTTCCTAACCATGGAGACTCATTCCCAGCCATTGCCTCTGCCAAAATCACCACATCAGAGTGGGAAGGTGGACTGTTACAGATGCTATATAACCACCTAATGTAAAATCATCCTGTGAAAAACAGCACATGTATATTGAACTACTTCAGGGTGGGATTTGGGCCAAGCAACTTAAAAAGCTTGCTCTCGCTTAGTCCTTACAAAACTATTGGATTGAGACTATGTTATCATGGAAAAACAATGAGGCTAAGGAGATTTGGGTACTTTTGCTCAAGATCACATAGGTCATAGGTGGCAGAGCTGGGACTCAAGCCTGGGGTTGCTGAAAGCTGGACTTGAGAATAATGGGAGGTCCTTGTGTCTGGCCAGTGGCAAGTGGGAAGGACGTAGCATTGGCTCAGCATCTGGGAAGTCAGCAGAGGATGTTAGAAATCACACAGCCACCCTGGAAGCTGGAGAGGCGGCCAACGGCAGCAGCACAATTAGAAAGACTACAAAGGAAGAGACACAGAACTTGCTAAAATACAGGTCTGAGTCAGCCACTCATTTCTGCCATGTTCAGATGGAATTACAGTCTGATCCACACCTCGCAAGCACAGGATGTGACAAAGTTGGAACATGACACAAGTTCACAAATTTCACTGTTTTTGGCTGGTTGCTTCCTTTCAATGAGCCCCTCACCTTTTTCAAATCCAACAGTTCAGGGTCTCCATGTCCCCATGGTGAATCCCAGGAGTCTCTTTTCCATTCTACCTTGGCCTCTGCCCCATTTTCCAGTAGAAGGTACCTACCTGCAGCACTTCTCAGGAACGAGGTGCACCCCCAAGGGACTTGGTGAGGAGGAGGGATTCAGAAGTTCAGGACCACTATCCAGGTTCTTAGAGTGAGGGGGAGAGGAACGTTCCAGGATGAGCAAAACATTCTCCATCCAAGGCCAAGGCCCCCCGTCATGTACTGGCAAGTTCAGGGACCTGAGACTGAAGCATCTCACGTCATTGCTTTGTATTTTCCCAGAAAGGGGTAGAAGATGAATATTATATATCTACCATATGGGAAGGTACAAATGACTCTGCAACATGTTGTTTGTTAAAAAATATTAATGTTTAGCACCCAAATACTTACTGCAGGAGTCCCAGAGAAGAAAGTGACAGAGAAGTGTGATATAAGTGTAAACAACAAAAGCATTAGCTTCTTAGCATTCTGTTGGGTTATGGGGCACTAGATTTTTTAGGGCTCTCAGGGACTGGAAAAATGAAGTGTAAAAACCAGACCCAGGATGGAAATTACTCATATTGATTACACGTACACACTTGTGTGCACACGCATATGCACACTTATACATCTCAATTTAATTCTTGGGGAGTATATTGATAATGAATGATACCTGTAACTGTAACTGCAATGTTTGGGACTCATGGGCTGATTTAATTTTACCCGTCATCATTGGTCCTGTAGAGTCCTCTTGGGATGTTCTCTCAAAAGCCACAGGAACTGGAGGGTTGAAAATTTCTTACCTTCAGAGACCAGGGCCCTACAGGGTCTGATAGGAAGTCAGTTTTAAAAGTCTGTGGTTTCAGAGATGTCTAGTGACATTCATATTTACCTTCCAGGGCTGCAGTGGCACCTGCTATATGAGGCTGAGAGGAGAGGCTGCTCAGACGCAGAGAGCCCAGTTGAAATCTACCCACACTTGCTATTAAATCACAAGCCGTCCACACAAAGAACAAAATCCAACCAACAGCTACGGGGTAAGTAGAAAAGTTAAATGATCAGTACTTTGATCAATTCAAAGTAGCAGGAGATTCACACATCCCAATGTGGCCTGATCAAAAGGATCAACGAGTGATTCTTGTTTCCTCACCTGCTTTTGAAAATATTTTCAATTTTTTAAAAGTATTTTCAGCCTACATCGTGTTTCGATCCTCTCCTGCTTTCGCGGTTGTCGTTGGCCCTAGCCAGCTTTGTGTCACTCTCAGCTTGTGCTGGACCTCATGGTTGACAGGTTTTGTTCTGTTTTGTTTTGTTTTGTTTTGTTTTTAGGTCTATTCTCATTTCAGAAAGAAAAATGCCCTCTGTGATTAGCTCCACCCCCACGTTCACTAGGAAACCTTTTTGGCCTTTTGGGCAATCAGTGCTGTCCTCTCAGAAGTCTCCCTTATGGGGAGTTTTCATTATTTAGCTCTGAGTCTCCCTCAATCTCTCCTGGACTGTGGGCTCCTCAAGGGCAAGGCTAAGTTTCACCTTTGAATCCCTAGCACACAGCACTTGATCTGGAACATAAGAGCCTTTTAGGAAACATTTCTGGAAAAAATAATGGGTAATAATGAATAATGAATATCTCTGCCTCTGTTAAAATTATACAAAACTAACAGGCTTTTGAAAGGGTTCTATTTTGGGCCAGGTGTGATGGCTCACACCAGTAATCCCAGCACTTTCAGAGGCCAAGGCGGGAAGACTGCTTCAGCCCAGGAGTTCAAGACCAGCCTTGGCAACATAGTGAGACCCTGACTCTACAAAATAAAAATTTTTAAAAATGTAAAAAAAATTTTGAAAGAAAGTGCTATATTTCTTTTATTCTGAACCTGCTACATTCTATCTGTCTAAAGACACCACAAATATTTAGCAGGTATGTTCTGCTACAGAGTCATTTCCAGAATCAGCCTTAGGCCCTGTTCAGTTAGAATGGATGTGACCTTCCTCTGAGACAGAAACAACTGAATTTATTTCAACTGGTGTGGGAGTAGGAAGAGGAGAATGAATCTATGCAGTGTAAACCAATGAATTAAAATAAAAGATGGATTTACACCTACTCTTACGGCCCTTTAGAAGAAAGTTTCAATGCTGATTCAAGTTGCTTTTGGCATTAACTAAAAAGCACTGAAATTGACCTTTGTAAGCTTGAGTTGTCACTTTGTTCTCTGTCAGCAGCATCCTTTGGAACATCCTTCGATTATAGATTCACTTTACAGACCTCAGTTTAACGAACCACCTGAGATAATTGGTCTGAAACCAAATCTTTAGACTCCTTCCTTAAATTTTACTTAGTGGGAAACAAAACCCAAGACAAAAAAAGAAGAAACACTTAGGGATTCTCAGTGAGAGAAAAACATCGAGTCAGAATTTACAATGACAGAGGTTAGAAATACCTCACGTCTAAACTGTCAGGATCTAGCTAACAAGTTTAGAAATAATCCCTGCTTCGTGCTTCACTTTTTCATATTCACAGAGGAGGGAAAGGAGACATAGATGTACCCGGATGGTTTATGTTTGTTTTCAACCTCTGCCTGCTCACACCCTACATGGAGACTCTTCACTCCTTGAGCTGCATATTTGCAGATCTCATCGCTTCACGTGGGCAGAGCTAGAAGCAGTATGCAACCCCTCAGCTTGATGTCTGGAGGAAGCTATGGGTGTCTGCCCCTATCCTCCTATTGGATTCCTGCCCTGGTTCCTGGCATCTCAGTCTTGCCTTAATTGTGGAGTCACGCCGGGCACAGTGGCTCACGCCTGTAATCCCAGCACTTTGGGAGGCTAAGGCAGGTGGATCACCTGAGGTCAGGAGTTCAAGACAAGCCTGACCAACGTGGAGAAACCCCATCTCTACTAAAAACACAAAAAATTAGCCGGGCGTGGTGGTGCATGCCTGTAATCCCAGCTACTCAGGAGGCTGAGGCAGGAGAATCACTTGAACCCAGGAGACGGAGGTTGTGGTGAGCCAAGGTCGTGCCATTGCACTCCAGCCTGTGCAACAAGAGCAAAACTCTGTCTCAAAAAAAAAAAAAAATTGTGGAGTCAAGTGTAATGCACTTGCCAAGACCTTGCCATTCTGCTCATCCTAGAGGTCTAGACCTGACTCTGTACCTCTTTCCACTGCTTGGGGAGTCCTGCCTCAAAAGGGATGGACCCCCAACTTGGTACCCAGAACTTGCTGTCAATTTGGCAGCAAGATCTTTTTCTTTTTTTTTTGAGGGGGGACAGAGCTTGCTCTGTCACCCAGGCTACAGTGTAGTGGTGCTATCTTGGCTTACTGCAACCTCTACCTCCCAGGTTCAAGCGGTTCTCATGCCTCAGCCTCCCAAGTAGCTGGGATTACAGGTGTGAGCCACCACGCCTGGCTAATTTTGGTAGTTTTAGTAGAGACAGGGTTTCACCATGTTGGCCAGGCTGGTCTCGAACTCCTTACCTCAAGTGATCCGCCCACCTTGGCCTCCCAAAGTGCTGGAATTATAGGTGTGAGCCACCACACCCAACCAATTTGGCAGCAAGTTCTGTGTACCAAGCTTAGACACCAAGCTCTGGGTACCCAAGAAGAGATTTTGGGTAGTAGCACTGCCCAGAATCTCCAATCACAGGGAGAATTTCTATTTGCCTGGATGATATCCAAGTTGTCCCATTACCTTGAATGTTGTAACTAGGTTTGAGGGGGAGGATCACCCTTCTCAGGGGTCAGCCATAACTTTGGGTCAGACCCTTATGCAAGCCCACACAATTGTGTTTCTTCTGGGTCGGTTTTCCCAGTGGGCCCTGAAGTCATGTCAGTGTGTGTCATGATAATTGTTCTCTGAGTTGGGAGAAACCAGCGATTAAATGAGATATTTTGATTATGTACTTATCTCAGTGAGCTATACCCTTTACATCTCATTTTTCTTGTCAGTATGGAGAACTTTTGTGGTTGTTGTTAATTGTTTTGCTCAAGATGCTGCAAAGAAGGGCAAAGGAATCTGTTGTTCTGCTCTCAAATTGCCTGGAACGTGAAATCAAAGTCAAGTTTGCTGGTCTTTTCTTGGTAAAGTTTAATTCTTGTGCTTTTGTCATGGCCCCAAACAAAGGATCCACCTGAAACAAAGAACGGCTGGAAGTCCAGGACGCAGGAGGGGAGTGGGGGATGGAGGTCAAACGTGTTGCCAATACTAGACTTAATTTGCCCCACAGGAGAGCTGTGGCTGTGGGTGATGTGGGTTGGATGATTTTTTAAAAGGAAGCAAACAATTGGAGCCACACAATTTGGGAGATTGAATTGTGTTTTGTTTGTTTTGTGTGCAAAATGAGATTGTGGGGGAAACAGAGACATTATCCATGAAGAATTCTCAGGCAATTTCTGCTGCTTCCTTCCATCAATTACCTTCTGTGAACTCGGGATGGAATTGAATTCCATTGAGTTACAGTCTATGCACTGCCAGTCTCCGCAGGGATAACTCTCTGGAGTAATTTCATAACCTGCACTGATGAAGATATAATTCATACTGTGCTGCCTTTTATAGGGGCCTTAAAAAAATCATGTACCATTTCACAGTTGTGGTTGTATTTTTTTAAAGTTTGACCAAAAAAAAAAAAAAAAAAAGGAAACATACTTTTTTTCTTCTTACTAAATCGTAAAACCAATAGACTTAAGGGGAAAAGGCAAAATCAGGCATCCTAGTCTTGCAGAAAAAGTCTTGAACCATGGATATCATAGTTTTCTCATCTGGAAAATGGCAGGACTGAACTCAATCATTTCCAAGTTCCATTTCCACATCCGGAAAGTCTCAGAATCTCTGGCTCTAGGTTTTTGTTTTTTTTTTTCCTAGAAATGTGACTGTTGAAGGAAAATAAAGTTCCTCCAGAGGCTTTTCTTTAGATGAGAATTCCTCCATTGAGGATGGCTTCCATTGTGCCTGGCTAGCTGACTTCCTCTGTGTGGCTGGCAGGAGAGAGGGAGGTGAGGTTGAAGGAAAGGTACCACTGAAGGAAGGCTTGGGCTTAGCAAAGGACTCCCCTGGCAGCAGGGAGGAGGCGAGAAGGTCAAGAATCAGAGAAGAGCTAACAGTTTTACGTGACTGACAGCTGAGGCCAGAGTGCGGGCATCAGTGAGATCAAACAACGGGAAAACATCCCCAAATAATAGAGAGGTGGAAGGGTCAGCCTAGCTGGCAGAAACCAGATCCTATGGGCAAGGAGGCCGACAGGGCAGGCCGGGCCCAGACACTGAACTGCCTGGAAATAACGTTGATAAGGGAGGCAGCATGCTGGTCGGCCTTGGCTGCACCAAGTCTGCATGACACAACCAACGGCCAACCAGGAGGTTGTGCATGAAATTGGTTACTTGTTTAGTTTACAATTGGCCGTGATTTCTCGGTAATCAGCTGGCAGACTTGGGAATTCTTATGCAGTGAGATAATTAAATCTAACACACAAATTATTTTCAGAGGTCATAACACGTTATGGATTATAAATGTAATAATAAAGGAAATTGAGATAGTGTTATTTTACTTAATATTTACCAATTTGTTTTCTAAAGAAATAGTATTTCTTTAGTATTCTGGGGTCAATTTTTTTTTGCAGGCTGCAGAGCTTATCAATGTTCTTTACCCAAAGCCCTCCAGGAACACACCTGTATTTAAAGTAGTTGGATTTATTACTTGTTTCAGCAAGGGATAATATATACCATGGAAACCATGGGGCATCTCAATAAGAGGGTGTGATAGAAGACCTGTCATGGCGTTTGGGCTTGTGTTGGGTGTCAGGTGATTTGAGAGAGAGTTTGGAGAAGTGAGGCTTTGCTCTGGATTGGATGCTGTCAGGAAGTGATTGGGTATCTCCACAAACCTTATCTGGAAAGAGAGTATACTAATGGAGGCTAAACCTGTGATTGATAAAGCAGCCCTGTTCACTGACTTTAGTGAGAATAGGGGGTGGTGGGCGTGTTTGGTATGTTTCAGCTTGGACAAGTTCATGCTTTGTTTGTGTTTTGCCATGATTACCAAGGGGTCTTGTCTTGATCCAATGTTGTTACGCAATGGACAATATCTGAAGTTGGTTTTCTGTGAAATTGTGTTCAGCAAGAGAACACCAAGGCTTAGCTGATAGCACCAGGCCGGCTCCTGGATGTCAAGGGTGCATTTTTCTTTTTCAAGTGAAAAACCTTTTGCAGATCTCAAGTGTTTCTGTGGGTCTCTGGAAAGTTTCTAGGCTATAGGAATTGAGCTCTTCATGTCTATGGAATAAAACAACTTTGTCTCCAGCACAGGCTTTAAGAAGGCCCTTCGTGTTGAAGCCATCCGTCACTCATGCCTCCCGTCACCCTTTGTGCGGGTGAGGAGGATACGGATCCAGTGGGGAGAAGTGGGAGGCCCAGGGATGCCCTGCTTTGGCTCACCCAGAAGCGGGCAGGAAGAAGTAAGAGTTGGTGGTATTTTGCGTGCAGAGGGAGAGGTGTAGGCCTGGTACATCCGGTGGCAGTAGGAGGTAGTTTAATGAAAGCTAGGATACGGCTAAGCTCTTTATAACACCAGGACAAACTTTTTCCTGTGTAACTCTCTTTTATTTTTAAAGAGCGCAAGGTGCACCACAAAGTAAGGCAAGAACAGCATTAAAAGCCTGATCTCCAGTTCTCAGTTTTCATTCATTTCTCCCCCACTTAAGAACTCCTACAAACTTTATTGTTTGCACTTTTTCTCATTTTTTTCTCCTCTCCTTTGCTGTTTATTTGGAAACTTTTTAAGCCTCCAGAATGGTTGAAAGAATGAACCCAGCATACCCTTCACCCAGATTTCATCAAATGCTAATGTTTTGCTACCTTCTCTCTCTCTCTCTGTCAAATCATTTGAAGTAAATTTTTGCCCCTAAATACTTCACCATGTAATCTCCCAAGAGCACAGTTATATTTTCCTACATAATCATAATACTATGTATGTAGGGGTGTGTGTGTGTGTGTGTGTGTGTGTGTGTATACAGTACAAAGACATTTCTTCTGAGCCACTTGAAAATAAGTTGTCAACATGATGCCCTTCACACCTGTAATCCTTGCACTTTGGGAGGCCGAGGCGGGTGGATTGCCTGAAGTCAGGAGTTGGAGACCAGCCTGGGCAACATGGTGAAACCCCATCTCTACTAAAATAGAAAAAAACTAGCCGAGCATGGTGGTGTGTGCATGTAGTCCCAGCTACTCAGGAGGCTGAGGCAGGGGAATTGCTTGAATCTAGGAGGTGGAGGTTACAATGAACCAAGATCACACCACTGCACTCCAGCCTGGGTGACAGAGCAAGATTCTGTCTTAAAAACAAACAAACAAACAAAAAACATGATGTCCTATACTCCTGGATATTTTAGTGTGAATTTCCTACAGATAAGTGTCCACTACAGAACCACAATTCAATCAAGATGAGGAAATTAACAGTGATGTATTGCTACCATCTGATATTCAGATTTCCTTCAAATTTTGCTAGTTGTCCCAAGTATGTGCTTATAGTAAAATGACCTAGTCTAGAACTACCTTTACATTCAGTTTTCACATATTTTCAGTTTCTTTCAATGTGCAACAGTTCCTTGTGCTTTCCTTCACTTTCATAACTTTGACACATTGAAGATTACAGGCAGGTAATTTCATAGAATGTCCCTCAATGGGATTGTCTGCTGTTCCCTCACAATAAGATTTGGGCTATGTCTTTGGCAGTAACATCACAGAGGTGATGTAGGACTTGTCTCATTGGATGCTGTGAGATGGGGCATCATTTCAATTTATTTCATTACTGATGACATTTACTTTGATCATTTGATTAGATGAGTGTTTGCCAGGCTTCTCAAATTAGGTGTACTATTTTCTTCTTTGTAATATTTCTCTCTCTATATATATTTGTAGGGAGATACGAGATACTTTGAGGCCATTTAAATATCCTATTCTTTATCAAAATTTCCATTTCTTCACTTCTTTATTTGTTCATTTTTATCAGTATGAACTTATGGATTCTTATTTTGTTCAATAGGATATAATCCGTTGCTATTCTCACTTATTTGATGCACAAATTGCCCAATATGTGGCCAGTGGAAGCCCCTTAAAGCTGTTTTCTGGACCTTTTTGAAGTGTCCCAATCATTCTTTTAGCCCTTCTTGTCACTCTGGCACAGCAAGCTGTCCATGTGCTACATTACCTGCCCCAGCCCTGGAATCAGACATTTTTTCCCAGAGCCCTTGCTGCTTTTTGGCAAATAACGGCATTTAGAAATCACAATCTGGGTGCTCTGTGTGCTAAATGCTCTTGGTAAGTCCCTGCTTCTAGGCCCTCTCAGTGGGCAGAGCTGGGATACAACTATGCATGTATAATATATAAAAATACATACATTCATATTACTGTATTTCTATATCTACATGTATATATATGTGTGTGTGTGTATATATGTGTATATACAGTGTGTGTATGTATACAGAAATATATACATACACACATATATGTTTAAATCATACATACACATTTAATACATAAATATATATATATTTATATATAAATACATATATGTATGTATATATGTGTGCATATGTATATACACACATATCTACACATACACACACACATATATTTAAAAAACACAAATTCACACAGTTATCTCACTCAACCCAAAACCACATGATTCATTCTTGTTTTCTTTTTTACCATAATTGTAAGTCTCTTTACTGACCATGAGAAACTTGCTCTAATTAAAAAACAAAAGTTTCCTATTTTATGCAGCCACATTGTAACTAATCTGCTACACTGCTATTGCCATTTGCCCCTTTTGGGATGCCCTCTTCACCCAGATTAGGCTCTGGCACCTCGTGTTGAGCTGCTCTACCACTGGGATGCCTCTTCCCTTTGCTTGTGGACCATGCAGAAGCCATGATGTGCCCGTTCCTATGTGGATGACCTCACCCTGCCCAGACCGTCTCCCTGCACTGGGCTGTCCGTAGCCTCAGATGCCCTTCTCACCTTGCTTGGGTGCAGATACCTTGTGCCAGAATATCCTCCCCACCTTCCTTGGGCTCCTGCATCAAGTCTTACCCACACCTCTTGGATGCCTTCCTCATTCTGCTTGGCTTCTGAACCCTGCACCAGGCTTCCCTCTGCAAAAATGCCTTCCTCCTCATACTTAGACTCCAGCACCTCCTGCCTGACTCCCTGTTCACTCTGATTAGGCTCCAACACCCTGCTCTGTGCCGCCCTCCCACTGGTAATCTCTCCTTACCCTTTTTGGTCTCCCATACCCTGGCCTGGGATACTCCCTTCACCCTACTTGGGGTCTGCCCATGCTGGGCAGCTGGAGGTATATTCTCTTGATAGTTTCTTCCTGCACAGACAAAGTCAATCCACCAAGACCATAGCCTTGTAGTAAAGTAAATTGACATGAGGTTGGCCACGCAGGACACAGAATTATTACTCAGATCAGTCTCCCAAGGCTTGGAGATAAGGATTTTTATGGAAACTTGGTGGGCAGGGGCCTAGGGAATGAGTGCTGCTGACTGATTGAGGATGAAATCGTAGGGTGTGGAAACCGGTCCTTGTAGGCTGAATCCACCTCTGGGTGGGGCCACAGAACCAGTTGAATCAGGAGTCAGGAGACTGGGTCGGGTCAGTTGGAAAAAACCTCAAAAAACCAATCTTAGGTTCTACAGTAGTGCTGTTATCTATAGGAGCAATTGGGAAAGTCACAGATCTTGTGACCTCTGGCCACATAACTGCTGAGTAATAAGGGGTTATAGAAGGCATGCTTATGTTGTAGCAGAACTCAAGCCACTCCCCATAATCCTAATCTTGTGGCCTTTCATTCATCTTACAAAGGCAGTTTCAGCCCCCAAACAAGGAGGGAGCAGTTTTAAGGAGGGACTATTATTATCCTTGCTTCGAAGTTAAACTATAAACTAAATTCTTCCCATGTTTAGCTTGACCTATGGTGAGGAATGATCAGAGAGAGCCAGCCTGTGAGGCTAGAGGCAGGATGGAGTCAGCCATGCAAGACTTCTCTCACTGTCATAATCTTTGCAAAGGCAGCTTCAGAGGGAGTAGAGGGGAGACACACTATGGCACAGCATATTAATGGGCCGAAGTCAATGCGATTAAAAAAAAAATCAGTGACTGGATACTGTCCAACACACTAATGGTACAGCCCAGAATTTGTAGTGAAAACTGAACAGGACAGCAGTAATGGGGCGCAGTGACACTCTGCATCTTCTGATATGATGCCATGGGAAGTGCCCAGCATCACCTGGTGGTACTCATGCCAAAAAAGAGCTAACCCAGACTGAATCATGAGGAAACAATCAGAAAAACCCAGGTTATGGACTTTATACCTGACTACTGGTTTCTACTTTTAAAAAATGTTAAGGTCATGAATGACAAAGGCAGGGAAGGGGACTGTCCTAGTCTAAAGGAGGCTGAAGAGCTATGACTACCAACTCAATGTGGGGTTCTTGATTGGATCTTGGATTGGAAAAACAAAAACAAAACAGCTAAGCAAGACATTTTTAGGATAATTGGGGAATTTCAAATATGAGTGGAATATTTAGGTAATATTATGGTATCGTAAGCTATAATTGCTTTCTTGGTGTGAAAATTGTATTGCGTTATGTTTTCTCATTTCCTTCTTGAACAGCTCAGTCAAAAAGCCACTGGGTGGGGCCTGGGAGGTTAGCATCCCAGATAGGGGAGCCATGTGACTCAGAGTGAGGTGATGGGCCCTGGGCTAAGTGAAGAGGACACACGGGTAGCGGAACAGCCCAGCCCAGCACAGGGGATGGTGTGGGGAGGAGGGCAGGTAGGTCTGGGTTATTAGGGCCTGAGAAGAGTGAGGATAATGTCTATGTGGGGGGCAAGCTGACATGGGTTGTGCTCTTCCAGGTTTGAGAAATAAGGGTCATTGCCTGGCCCTGGGGTGTTGGGGAGCCTGGTTGTGCCGTCTTGGCTGGAGTGGGAGAGGGTGGCTAAAGTGCATTCCATTGAAAGTCAAAAGACCTTCCAAATCTGGCCCCCATCTCCCTCTACTGTAACATGGCTCTCTCCCCTCTTTTCACCCAACTCCTGCCCAGTTTACATCTCATGTTCTTGAACAATCTACTGGCTGCCTAGATTAGGGATCATCCAACTGTAGCCTAGATTGCAGTGTTGTCCCCTGGTTTTGTAAATAAAGGTTCATTGGAACATAGCCATGCCTATTGTTAATTGTCTATGGCTGTTTCTGCATTGCAACAGCAGAATTGAGCGGTTGCAACAGAGATGAAGTGGTCTGCAAAGCCTGAAATATTTATTTGTTGGCCCTTTATAGAAAAAGTTTATGTGCATCTGGCATAGATTAAAAGTTATGCCTTCTTAATCTGTGCTGTTCTCATTGTAGCCTGTCGCCTATTGTAACAATGCATCTGCCCTCATTACAATATAGGCTCCGTGAGGCAGTGGACACCAGTGCTGCAACCCTCATGCCCCGAAATGCACCTGACATATGGTAGGTACTCAAAAAATATTTATTTAATGAATGGGACTTCTGCCTTATGCCCACTAGGGGATTTTGGTGAGGAACTCATGACAGTGACCTCCGGAAGGTATTCCAAGGAGGCCACTAAGCACAGGGGTCAGGGGTATGTCACCTCCTCATGTTGAGGCCTTGGGAAGCTAGCTGTTCCCTTGGTTTTACTTAAATCCTCTTTTCAGAAATGAGTCATCAATCATCTGCTGCTCAGTCAGCTATTAAGAGTAGAAGATTTTTTTTTAAACTATAAGATAAGAATAATTCCAGATCATAGAATTATTCCAGCACTATTCACAATAGCAAAGACCTGAAACCAACCCAAATGCCCATCAATGATAGATTGGATAAAGAAAATGTGGTACATATATACCGTGGAATACTATGCAGCCATAAAAATGAATATCATGTCCTTTGCAGGGACATGGATGGAGCTGGAAGCCACGATCCTCAGCAAACTAACACAGGAATACAAAACAAAACACCACATGTCTCATAAGTGGGAGCTGAATAATAAGAACACATGGACACAGGTAGGGGAACAACACACAGGGGAACAGGGCCTGTTGAGGGGGTGGGAAGAGGGAGAGCATCAGGACAAATAGCTAATGCGCACAGGGCTTAATACCTAGGTGATGGATTGATAGGTGCAGCAAACCACCATGGCACACGTTTACCTATGTACAAACCTGCACGTTCTGTACACGTATTCCAGAACCTAAAACAAAATTAAATTAAAAAAAAAGAATTAGAATTGGAAGGAAACAAAGTTCATCTAAAACAACCTCTTAGTTTATCAACTAAGAAATTGAAGCTTGGAATAGCGGAAAGCAATTGTGTGCTGGTAAATGTATAGCAATTAGCTCTTCAGGAAAAACATAAATTTTATTGATGTAACGGCTATATAGCACACAACTTAACAAATCAAAATAAAATATGTAATACACTTTATTTGAAATTCCTTACAGCTATTGATTTTCATAGAATGCTTTTGTTGATTTTTACCAAATTCCTGTGTTCATACCTAACTTCTGGTTGCAAATGATGAACTAGTAGAGTTCCAACATGAAGATATTTTTGTTTACATTAGGAGTAAACAAAAGTGAAACAAGCAAGACCTCTATGGGACCTTGTTCATTAATGATGCAAGTGACTTATTGGCTGTATCAGATAATAGTTTTTAAATACTAGAAGAATGCTTTGTCATTTTTTGGTGCTGTTCATGATGTAATGGTTATAGATCTTTTTGTACAAGCTTTTAAGTTTTATCTGCAGTATTAATATTTTTTTCCATCTTATCTTGATTTATGGTGTTTGCTGATTTCCATGGTCTAAATATATTCACTTCAAGTCACCAGTATGACTTGCGAACATGTCATTAGAAAGGGATGCCTGGTAGTTAGATGCCTAAATACACTATATAAGTGTTTCCATCATCCAGACACGATAGATGTAAATAGCTTCAAGAGTGTAGGCAGTGGTAAGATGTAGTAAAATAATTTAATTATAATAAAATAATAAAATAAGTTGGCAGTACCAAGTTTTGAGCACTTACTAAATTTGTTTGAATATAACTAATTTAATTGCTAGTTTATATGATTCAATTTTTCAAAATGGCTATGTTTAACATCCAGCTCATGACATTCCTGGAAATTTAACAACAGGCTCTCACAAGCCAAGTCTAGCCCACCACTGGTACAAAATTAACCAACCATCAAATCATGGGAAATGGCTGAGGCAGAGTGCCTAGAGCAGAGTTATTTCATGGGAGGTTTCAGTACAAAGTGATCCCAGGGCAAATTGAGAAAGCAGACAGACAAAGGGAGCAGGGAGGAAACACCCAAGAGTTAGGAGTTGTGGGATCCATCCAGTTCCCCACTTTGTGCCCAAGGACGCTGACCTCATTGTTTACTGTAAGGGCTGCAGTAGTGTGTGCTTGAATTAGGCTGAAGTTCCTTGAAGTCTTGCTAGCATCTTAATGCATAAATAAATATCACAGCCCCCTAAATATGTAATATTATAGAACAGCGAAGAGGCTCCTTTGATGAAATTTTGTTCTTCAGAGGCTTATGGACTGGAGAGTAAAAACACACATGTATTAGCCATGTGTTTTTAATGCTCTGGCATCTGCTGACCCTGGAGAAACTGCCCCTGCTTGCTGGTCAATTCCTAGAGGTAGTGAAGGACTGGCCTGTGGCATGCATTTCATATGCAAACCAGCCAACCCAAAGACCACACCCCACCACCTCCTCTACAGGGCTTTCACACTTAGGGCAAAGATTCCCTTGCTTTAATCACCCAGGACCAGGTAACAGGCAACCAGAGACAGTTTGTATTCCCTAAAACCTGCTAAAGTTACTCAAATTAGCCGATTCTAAGCCTGCTTGCCTTGCCTTTCCCATTCCTTCCAGTGGAAACCACAATAAAGGGTGTTGCCTGCATTTTCCTCATCATTCCCTCTGCCTCCTGACTGACCCTGGTGCGTGACCAGTGGAAACCCCCACTCCTGGCACTTTATGCCGTCCCAGTCTTGGGAACTGTGAGTAACAAACTCTCATCAATGGCATTGCCTTCTCATCTGTTGACCTCACCATACCTGAATAATAAAACCTACATTTTAAAACAACATGCCCTCCATCAAACCCATGAAGGAAATGATATGAAAAAGAAATACATCTATAAACAGATATTCATTTAAATTGGGTATTTCAGCAATTTCAGAAAACTGTCCTAACTGGTTGCTATACAACAATTTTGTTTTTAGTTTTGTTTTGTTTTAAATGAGAATATTCATCAACTTTGACAAGCATGCATGCAAATAAATGAACATTTATATCTTGCCTGACTCACTTGTTGATGGGACTGTTGAGCTCACATACTACTGTGGTGGGCTGACTCCTATGACACTTTCTCTGAAACAGGTATCATCTGTCATGGTGTTATTTCATTAATAAGCAATGAAACACATAAATGTCTCTCTTGTTTGACATGGTACCACGACTGACCTACATTTATCACTCTGTGAAACTTATACCAAGATTGGAAATTCAGATAAAAGGGGAATATAGAAAAGTAGACATATAGAAGAGAGATTTTACAATGAATTTAGCTAAGCAATTGCTAAAATTCTGTGTATAGCCTGTGATTCCTTGTCTAAGCCAGCCTGGGATAAGCCCAAGATTACAATAATCACCAGCAAACAGGCTTTCTTTGACTTTGCTCACTCCTATTCTACCTGAAAGATTCCCTCAAGGTCCTACTCCATTTTTCTGGCATTTCATGAGGCTTGGAGGACCTAGTTACCCGTAGCATCTGCCATCTTCTCTGTCTTTGCTCTGCTTGGAGATTTCTCCTGCATCTGCTGTGAACTGCAAGGGTCCTACCTCTGGGGATCCTGACACCTGAGGATTTCATCCCATGTCAGTGTTAAAGTTGCTGCGAAAGTTGTTGGCAATAGTGATGCTGTTCCCTTGTACTCTTGAAGTCTGAGAGAGATGGTAGCATGAGAAAGATTTCACTTTGCTCATCCTCTTTTACTGTAGTTCCCTTCTCTTGAGGGCTGCCCAGGAAGACAATCTGTGGGACAGACACTGGGAATGCTGGATCATCTTTTCCTTCTGAGGCTGCTCCACTGTCCTTGAATCAAACTCTGGGGTCAAACTCTTTATTCCCTTGGATGAGTTGTTTCCAAGAGCTCATTTTTAGGTAATGTGGAAGTAAATGAAGATCAATCAAATGAAAACAAGCACAGACTATTTATTTAGAGCTTACTATATCAAGAGAAACAACCATCATCATTTGCTTTTGACAGAGACTCAAAGGCAGGCCACGGAGTGGGAAATCATTTATAGTGGATAAAAGGCAAGGCTTCAGGTGTGCCCTGATTGGAGGCTGTTAGCATGGAAAAGCTGTGGACAGGCCATCTCATAGTGTGACAATCTATATAATTGGTTAGGGGAGCATACTGGGCTCTCTGGTTGGTCCTGAGTTGGAAGTGGGGACAATTATTAGGGAAGCTGTCAGATATAAACCAAGTCTTGGCTGTTTGGGGCCAATTGTTACAGGGATTATTGTCTGGCTTCCTGGGATGGTTTCTAGAGATAGTGGTCTAATCTGTTACAATCTGACTTATAGATAGCAAGCTGTCTTCCTGGGCTGGTTATTGTAGATAATGGATTAGGTTTCTGGAATAGTTGCTGTAGACTGGGTTAGGGTTCTATTTTGATATATAGTCTGGCTGTTGTCTATTTGTATATTCAGTTTCTCAGCAAATTGACAGCCAGTGAGTCTATCATTCACTCTCCCTCTGCCTCCATATTAGGGCTCTCCAAGAAACAGAACCAATAGGAAATTGGTTCTGTTATATGTGTAGAAAGAGATTTATTATAAGGAATTGGATAACATGATTATGGAGGCTGGCAAGTCCAAATTCTGCTGGGTGCAGATATGGGAGAGCCAACATTCCAGTTCCAGTCTGAAAGCAGTCTACTATAGAATCAGGAAGAACTCATATTGCAGATGGAGTCTGAAGGCAGTCCGCTGGAAAATTCCCTCTTGCTTGGGGACACTAGTGTTTTTGTTCTATTCAGGCATTCAGCTGATTGGATGAGGACCACCCACAACTGCTTTACTCAAAGTCCACCAATTTAGATGGGAATCTCATCTAAAACACCCTCACAGAAACACCCACTGTAATGTTTGACCTGACATCTGGGCACCACGTGGCCCAGCAAGTTGATCCATAAAATTAACTATCACATCCCCAAACCCTCACTCATGAATCTCAAGGTGAGCCAGTGACTTTTACTTCCTCTCAAGTTGGACCCTTGCTCCATGGTTACACATCAAGGTGGTAGAAAGTCTCTATTCTCCTTAGCATCTCTAGAAGCTAATGCAGAGCCATCTCTGTGTTTATGGCAGGACTTGTGAGTAGAAATGCCTTCTGGAGCACCCTCATTCCAATTGGATGTGAGAAGAGGAAAACTCATTCAGGCATACAGAAGGACAAAGCTCTCAAATTGGAGGGGCTGTGGCATTCCACATGCCACCCCTTGAAAAGAGTTTTAGTATGGTCTTCCAAACCACTCTATTGCCTCATTTCATCTCTCCAGGAGGGTCTGGGCCCATCTTGACAGTAGCAAGGTAGGTGTTTGGAAACCTGTCAGGATCCCTCAGATTCCTTCAATAGGGGAGTCTCCCAGCACCCCGAGGGATCAAAGTGGTGAGCAAAATTGCACAGTTCTTTTCTATCCTGCTTCACTGGAACGGACAAGCAAAGGACTGAGAATCTTCAAGCAGGCAGGCAGCTAAGGTTGCAGGGTAGCATATTATCTACAACAAGATCATCTCATTTTAAATTCGTTCTTTGACTCTTTTACCAGGTTTTTTTTAATTTTTCTTGTCAGTAAAGCCCATAAAATGTAGAGTCTTATCAATAGTATTCAAAGCAGATTTAAAATGTAATTACCCTTTTCTCCCTGCTAGTACAACCCAGCCTGAATCATCTCATCTGATTTAAGAAATAATCTTGTTAAGCTGAAAAATGAAACTCTCCCAGTTTTTTCCTCCTCCCTTTGTCCCTTTTTTCATTTTTCCTTCCCTTTTCTATTTATTCACTCTGAGCTCTCTATCCAAAAGGCATTTGTTAAGCACTATGCCAATAATTGGTGGTATAAAGATGAATGAGAACCATCCTTGCTTTTGAGATGATCACTGTCTAGTGGGGGAGGTAGAAATAAAAACAAATCTTTATAAAGCATCATGGTAAAAATGGATTCAAACTAAATAGTTCTGGGGAAATTGAGGCAGGGATCTCAAGAAAGGTCACATTCTGCAGGTTCTTGAAAGATGAGTTGGAGTCTTCTAAGCATACACAGGGCTCTAGGTGGGGAAAGTGTCCAGGGAGTGAGACAATATGAGGATGATAAGAATAGGACTTCGAGGTGAATCCAAGACAATGTCTACCCGGGTCCATGCTGTTGGACTCCTTTATTGCATCCATTTCCTACACAATCAAGCGAGAATTTTTATTCTCTTTTTCTATATTCTCAGAAATCCACCCCCACTGCCTTCCATTGCTTGCCCAACACTTGGGCTGATGTCTTTGTCCTCTGAAGCATCTTTCCGATGCATGGCAGCCTCTCTCCTTGGGCATGGCTGACCTTGGCCTCATCCAGCTCTCCATCCTAGCTCGGGGCTGAGGGCCATGAGCAATTCTCTGATGAATTCGTATGACCCAGAAAGAGCTGCAGCAGGAGCCAGCTCCGTGTCTGAGGTTTAAGTGAAATATCGAGCTGTGATTCACCATTACTCAGAACCTCGTCAGTTCATAAATTTAAAGCAACTCCATTTCCTTTGCTTTTGAACAATCCAAACTAGATGGTGGATATACATTGGAACAATCAGGTAGGATAACAAGCTTAGACCTGGGCAGGTTTGTTTCCCATTAGGCTGATAAAGGAAAGCTTATGCTTTTGTATACCTATGTAAAATAGGCATGCTGACGTCCTTTGGGAGAAGTAGGAGTGAAAATGTGGCTGCACTGCCGATAATATGGGAGGAGGATGAAAATAGCAGATGTGAATTGTGATTATGGCCAACAGAAATAGGAAACTGCAGCCAGGTCATCTGCCTGTTAACCAGGACTGGCCTATTAGCTGTCATTAGCCCTTCTCCAGGAAACAATTTGCATCCTTTGAAATCCTTTTAAAATTGGATTTCTGCCCACAGCCCTATCACGCTGCTTTTTGTCATCGATTAAAGAGAAAGTGGCCTGTGAACTAGTTCTCTTTGTGGGCAGAGAGTGCTATGGCCTGGGTGACAATGGGCAGGGTCACTTGTCCTAGCAACAGTATGGCAATGGGCTCATATTATCACAGGGTTGAAGTCTCAAGAGGGCATCCTGTCCTGTATGCCCCGCAGCAGATTTCACCATCCCTCAAAGCTGTAGACTTTCTGCCAGAATTAGACAATCTCCCAAAGAATTCCTTTCCAGGGACGGAGTAATCTTCAAGTGTAGAATTTCTTTGTATGATTCCTTTGGTTGTTTTCAGTCTTGAAGATGGCTCTGAGGAATATATAATTGGACATTCTGAGGATTAAGCTTCAAGACTTGAGCCTCCTAGCCAAGGAGTATTAGCCATTAGAGGCAGGTCACCATGCTGGGTGTCCCTGTCCTAAAGCCCCTGGCTTCTGTCTGCTGGGTCACTCCGAATCCACTTCCTTCTGCTCAGATTGTGTGAATTTATTTATTTATTTATTTTAGAGACATGTTCTTACTCTGTCACCCAGGTTAGATTGCAGTGGCGCAATCATAGCTCCCTGCAGCCTTGAATTCCTAGGCTCGAGTGATCCTCCTGCCTCAGCCTCCTGAATAGCTGGGGCTACAGGTGTGCACCACCTTGCCCAGCTAATTCTTATTTTTATTTTTTGTAGGGACAGGGGTCTTGCTTTATTTCCTAGGCTGGTCTCAAGCTTTTGGCCTCAAGCGATCTTCCTGCCTTGGCCTCTCAAAGTGTGGGATTACAAGTGTGAGCTACCAAGCCCAGCTTGAATTTTGATTTTTCCTTTTTCAAGAGTAGTCAGGCCCATTGCAAGAAACACAAGATCTGAGGCCAGAATGCCTGAGTCAGGGCTGTGCTCTTATGGAAGGTGTACCCAGGCCAGCTTCCCTAACATCTCTGAGCTCCAGGTTCTCTCTCGTTTCTTCCCTTCTTTATGGAGTTATTATGAACCTATAAAAACCTATAAGGAATGCTGAGAACTTTTACAAGTGGACCATGAAAGACATTTAAAGAGCTTTTCTTGACCTTCTGCAGTAAGGGTTAAAACTCAAGAAGGTGTCTCTTTTCTTCAACTCTGTCTGACACAGGAATCTCTAGATGCCTTCATTTAAACATTTCAGACAAAATCTTTATGATGTTTTACCACCTTCCCCTTCCACCACTGCATTTCTGCTCAGCTTTTAAGATCGACTCCCTCAAATAAGGCCTGCCTTTCATGTTGAACCTGCAGAAATCTATATCCTTCCTGATCAACACTACTAGAATGCCATCGTCCTTAGCACATATTTTAGGACCTGGTTGTTTCTGCTTGTGTTACTCAATAGTTCTCTCAGATTTTTAGTTTTCTCTCCTCTATCAGAGAGTGCATCACCAGAGTTCACCTTTACAAAAGCACTTATGGTGTGATGGGGAACTTTCATATTTGGGCTCTATTTCCTCACTAGCATACAGGTGCCTTGAGGGAAGGCATGGATGGGTCATATTCATTTTTGTGTTTCTGGTGCCTGGTACACAGTAGGTGCCAACAAATATTTGTTGAAATTAACTTGTAAACTTCATTTTGATCTTGCAAATTACTTTACAACCCTGAAGACAGATGTGAGAACGATTTCATTGCAAGATATCCTGTTGCCTTTGCATTGTGTAAATGAGCTGGGGTGGGCAGTTTGGATGAAAATTCAGGAACTAGCACAGCCATAGAAAACACTGCCCCAAATGCCATATATTTTGATAGCATCCAGATTAAGAGTCAGCCAGCTGGGAGTGCAGGAATGCATTACCCAGGAAGACAATCTATATACAGGTGGTAGAAGCTAAATGTGTATGTTGATTTAAATAAAATTATGCACAAGCCTGATAAGGTGGCCCATGCCTGTTATCCAACCACTTTGGGAGGCTGAGGTAGGAGGACCACTTGAGCCCAGGAGTTTGAGGCTGCAGGGAGCTATGATCACACCACTGCATTTCAGCCTGAGTAACAGAGTGAGACCCTGTCTCTGAAAAAACATTAGGCACATTCTCTTTTGAACTTTGAATTATCTTGCACATGCAAGTGTGGCAGTTGCAGTCACTGTCCCTGGAGACTCCTACAGTGTCTGCTTCTGCTGTGATTCTCATGTCCCCTGCCCCACCCTCACCCATGATCTCATAGACTCAGAATGGTACAACTGAGAAGGTCTGTGGCCAACAATCCTAGGTGGCCCCAGTATTCAATCTCTTCTTCTTATTTGGTAATAGAGTTTTTATCTGGTCACATAGTCTCCCAGACACCTGGGAGGCAATTGTAGCCATGTGTCCAAGTTCCGAGGCACTAGTATAATTTCCCTAAAAAGACAGAGTGTGGCTTCTGCTTCCTTTTTCCCCATTCCAGAGGACAAGACCAAACCTCTTGGTCTCAGATGACAATTCCCCACTCCAGAGGACAAGACCAAACCTCTAGGATGACAGAGCAAAATAACAGGTGCCTGATACCTGAGCCCCACCGAGACATCATGGAGCAGAGCCATTAAACCCAGCTTCAGCTTTTGTGTGTGAGACAATGGTCAAGCATTGTCGTCTTGGGTCTATTTCAGCAGCCAGACTTATTTTTAACCTAATGCAGGGGCCATGGAGATGGTTTAGGCTTATCTGTTGCTTTAAAGATGAAGAACTGAGATCCTAAGTGGCCAGCCTGTTTTCACAGTGCGGTGGGGGGGTACCTGAGACTAAAAGTCCAGGTCCAGGGTCCAATCATAGCTGTGAGCAGCTCACACTCAGGTGTGAACCACACGGTTTCTCCACCAGTGAGGATAAGGGAAGAAGGGGCTCTAAAAGATTTTGCAAAGTACTTTACAACCCCAAAGACAGATGTGAGAATGATTTCATTGCGAAATATCCTGTTGCCTTTGCATTGTGTAAATGAGCTGGGGTAGGCATTTTGGATGGAAATCCAGGAACTCGTATAGCCATAGAAAACACAGCCCCAAATGCTATATATTTTGATAGGGTCCAGATTAAAAGCCAGCCAGCTGGGAGTGCAGGAATGCATTACCCAGGAAGACAATCTGTATACAGGCCAGACGTTCTTAGAGAGAAGGGAAATAGATAATACGTCTTCTCCTAAGAGGAAAATAGGATTTTGAATGGCATTTAAGTTTGGGAGGTAATTTAGCACAGAGGCTACATGGGGCAGAGTTTTTGCTATTAAAGAGAGGATGGTGGAGAGGGTAAGAGAGAAGGAATCTACTTAGGATGAGGTCTAGCACCCGGGTGAGGCCAGGCCCACCAGTAGCTCCATCCTACAAAGACTCTTCTCCTGTTATACAATTGTTGTACAATTAGGCCAGAGGTGAGTGTTTTCACCAGAGTATGTTTCTATGGAGGATCTTGTAATTAGGCTGTTTTGTAAATTACAGATTCTGTATACGAGCTAGAGAGATGTCCCATCACAAAATTATGTAATGATAGCAGGCTACGTGTTAATAAGACTGAAAATACTTGAGGTGAGCCAACCAGGTGGGCAGAAAAAAGGCAATGTGGTCTATGGGAGAAGCTGTGACATCTGAATCAGTTTGAGGACTCAGCTGAGGTCACATGACCTCTCTGTGCCTGGAACCTTCTCTGTGGCTCTTGTCTTGCCCTGACACTGTTTGTTGTGCCTGCTGTGCACCTGAAACAGAGGGGCTTCCGCAACAGGGAAAATCTAGGATTTGCTTTGACCATATAAAAAGCTCCTAGAACTGCAAAGAACCTAATAACTCACCAGTTCAAATCCCACTTCCTTCTTCTTCTTTTTTTTTTTTTTTTAACACAGAAGAATCTCAGGCTTAGAGAAATAATACATTCAATTCCCAAAGCAGGTCAGTAGAAAATCAAGAAAGTCAAGGGCTCCTGATGCCAAGGTGGTTTTCATATAACCCTAAATTCAAATAAGGACTTAGCCATCACCAACACAGTTTAGAGTTTAATTCTCTTTAAAAGAAGCAAACATATATGGTAATCTAGATTGGGACTGAAACAAAGGGGGTAAGATTCACTTACACACATGGAGAATACTCCCTTAAAGGGTTATGAAAATACACTGGCTGGATGTAAACCTTGTAGAATTGAAACCAGGTTGTCTTGGGCCATGGTCCTGAGCAAAGTGATGTAGTGAAGAGCAGCTATACAAAAGTATATGTCAAAGTATAGTAGCTTTGCTTTATTGGGATAATGAACTATGTGGGCTGGGGTGAGCGCTCTCTCTCTCTCTGTCTCTCTCTCTCACACACACACACACACACACACATACTCTGTGACTTGGCTCATTAATAAACTATGGCAGTTCCTCTATGTGTAGGCCAATGGCTTTGGAAATGAGAACATAGTAGTCTAAAGAGGAAGGTAAATGTCTATATGGGAGGCTGAATATTAGTCAAAAAAAAAAAAAAACACAAGGGTTTCAGTCTTAGAAACCCAGGGATCGAAAGGTTCTTGGGAAACCACTCATGCTGGACTAGGGATTGAGGCAGGTTAGAGACAGGTAAACGGTGTGGGGGCTAAGATAGGGTGTACTAAAGAGAAAAGGAGGCTCAGTTATCTAGAAAAGAAATTTTGAATCAGGGAAGGAAAGCTTACTCTGGGCGTTGGTTAGATTTGAGGACTAGGATGGAAGAATAAACACCATCATCTCAGTAGGATTTTTCCCTACAGCTGGTTGAGATGGGACTCTGTCTCTCTCTCTGGAGACATGTGCTTGGTAACCTGTATGTACTGTGTGTCCTCAGTCTATACACATTGGCTACTTATAATAAAATGGGCTGAATATACCCAGGTGACGTCTAGAATTCTGCTGCCGCCGCAATGGATTTTTTAAACATGCATTTTTTATTGTGGTAAAATAAACATAACATAAAATTTACCACTTCAACCTGTTTTAAGTGCACAATTCAGTGGCATTAAGTACATTCACAATGTTGTACAACCCTTAGCACTATCTTTCTCCAAAACTTTTTCATCATCTCAAATAGAAACTCTGTCCCCAGTAAAAACACTCTATTCTCCCCTCCCCCAGACCCTAGTACCCTTTAATCTACTTCTTGTCTCTATGAATTTGCCTGTTCTGGATATTTCATGTAAGTGGAATCATATAATATTTTCCCCTTTGTGTCTGGCTTCTCTCACTCAACATAATGTCTTCAAGGTTCACCCATGTTGCAGCATGTGTCAGAATTCCATTCCTTTTAATGGCTGAATAAAGTCATCTGTATGTACGTGCAACATTTTATTTATCTATTTATCTGTGGAAGGACACTTGGGTTGTTTCCACCTATTGTGAACGGTGCTGCTATGAACATTGGCATACAAGTATTCGTTTGAGTTCCTGCTTTTAATTCTTTGGGGCATATACCTATAAGTGGAATGTTGGATCATATGGTAAATCTATGTTTAACTTTTTCAGGAATCATCAAAGTGTTTTTCACAGTGGCTGTGCCATTTGACATTCCCACCATCAGTGTACAAGGGTATGGTAGCTTATTTTTATGACTTACGTAGGTATCAGACAGGATTTGGTGAGGAACACAGAAGCCACTGTATGTTCTGCACATAAAGGGTTTAAAAGTCAAGCAGGAGCTTATACACAAGTTAGAAGACTTAGGAGACTGCAGATGAGAGAAGCTGCTGCCAGCATTTGGGGAATTGTCCCTGAAAGTCAAAGGAGTTACCCTGAAATCTCAGCCTGCAGCCCCAAAGCAGCTGGTTTTTAAAAGCTTGCCTAGAATTCTTGAGATTCCCGAGGAGCCCCCAACACCAACCGTCTCAGCCTGCAATGATGAGGGGCTTGCCAGGAATCCGCAGGGAATCTCTCATCTGTCCACACATCCAGCTGCAACCATCTCTGAAGACTGATGGCTTCCACTTCCTTTCAGCCTTCCAAATATCATACAAGTTCCTCTCATTAAAAAAAAGCAAACATATACAGAAGGGGGTCTTGGGAAGCACAGTTCCCATTCTTAGAAGGGAGAGGTAGTGGTGCCTGCTGACAACAGCACACATTATACTCTTCTTTATTCTAGAAGGCATTCCAGGGATCTTATAACGATGCATCAAATTTGACCAACAGAAATTTGACAGCATACATTATACTCTTCTTTATTCCAGAAAGCATTCCCAGACAGCTTATTACGATGCATAACATTTGACTAACATAAATTCAAAGTCGAGCAAATGAAGGCAAAAAGGCAGAAGGGAAGAGTGAAAATGGACCCAGAAATAGGGCGAAGCATGTCTGCCACACTCGTCTACCTGCTGACCATGGGTGAACCTCATGGTGAGCTGTTGACCACAGGATTCACCACAGAATTCACTCTCCAGAAGACAAAAACTGCTGTGGAGATTGGAAAATTTATCTTAAAATATTAAGGTCAGACAAGAACCTCTGTCAAGGAACAGGAAGTCGTGCCCTGAGGAGACAAGTAGAGGCTGTAGCCATGGGTGGCTTTGGGGTAGTAGCTGTTGGCTGTGCCTAGAAGGACATCATGAAAGTTGTAAGTGCTGCTAATTGACGTCCCCCAATTCATATGCGGAAGTCCTGGCCCCTAGTACCTCAAGATGTGCTTGGTTTTGGAGCTGGGGTCTTTAAAGAGGTAATTCAGTTAAAATGAGGTTGTTATTATGGGCCCCAATCCAATATGACTGTTGTTTTTATAAGAAGAGCTGATTAGGACACAGACATGTAGAGGAAAGACCATGGGAAGATTCAGGGAGAAGGTGGCCATCTTCCAACCAAGGAGAGATGGGCCTGAAGAGCCCAGCCCTGCTGACACCTCGATCTTGGACTTCCCGGCCTTCAGAACTGTGAGGAAATAAATTTCTGTTGTTTAAGCCACCCAGCCTGTAGTACTATGTCATGGCAGCCCTAGCAAACTAATGTCCCCCCCACATCTAAAATTGGCATCATTTATGGAGATGGAGTTGAGCCCAGATTTCTCTTGGGGGAACATTGTCTTTGGTTTCTAATTTGACAAATGTTTACTGAGTGTAGAACTATGCAGGCCTCTGTAAGGCTCACAAGGAATACAAACAGGAGAAAGTCCAGGTCCCAGCCCTCAGGGAGCTTATAGCCATCTCAGATATTCTCGGGAGAGTAGCAAGCTTAGGTATAAAGGAAGTGTTATAGGAGCGAAGGTGAGGAAGAGACTTAAGGCACTGAGAGGGACAGGCAAGGCTGCAGAGGAGCGGCAAGCATCTGACTCGGGTCTTGAAGGAGAATGAAAAGAAGGCCTTTCTTGTGTGAGTGTGTGTGTGCATGTGTGTGGAGTGTGATGTGAGTGGTGTGTGGTGTGTGTATCTCTGTGTATGAAGTGTGTGTGTGGGGATGTGGTATGTAGTATTGTGGCATGTGTATTGTGTGTGTGTGGAATGTGTGGTGTGTATGGTACATGTGGTGTGTTGTGCATAATGTGTGTGTGGTGTGTGTATGGTGTGTTTTGTGTGTGTGGTACGTGGTGTTGTGTATAATATGTGTGTGGTATGTGTATGGTGTGTTTTGTGTGTGTGGTATGTGCTGTGTGTGGTGTATGTGTGGTATGTGTTTGATGTGTATGTGGTGTGTGTGTGTGTGTTGTGTGTGGTGTGTGTGTTGTGTGTGGTGAGTGGTGCAGTGTGTGTGTAGTTGTGATGTAGGTGTTGGTGTGTGGTTGTGTGTGATGTAGGTGTTGGTATGTGGTTGTGTGTGATGTAGGTGTGTGGTGTGTGGTTGTGTGCTGTGTGTGGTGTGTGGTACAATTAGTGTATGTAGTGTATGTGTGTGTTGTGTGTGGTGCAGTGTCTATATGTGGTGTAAGTGTGTGATGTGGTGTGTAGTGTGTTGTGTGGGTGGTGTGGGTAGTGTGTGTTGTGTGTGCATGGTGTGCGGTATATGTGGTGTGTGTGGTGCATGTGGTGTGTTGTGGGGTATGTGTATGTGGTGTATATGTGTGATATGGGTGTGTGGTGTGTTGTGTGGGTGGTGTGGATGGTATGCGTTGTGTGTGCATGGTGTGTGTGCAGTGTGTGTGTTTGTGTGGTGTGGGTGTGTGGAGTGTGTAAGTGGTGGTGAGGTGGGAGGATTTCCAGGACCTTATTCTCTGTGGTTGCACTCCCAGAGCCAACTGGCAGGACCTGAGGCTGCAGTCCTGGCACAGCAGGAGAGAGCGGAGCACAGCCCGGGTGTGGGTGGAGGGCTGCCCAACCCAGATCAGCTCAGCATGCCATGCTCTGATGAGCGCTTTCAGCCCTGGCATTTACAGTGCCGAGTTTCTCAGGAGCTACCAACAGCCTTTGGACATGCACAGCCCCTTGCCCACCATCCTGGCATGGTATGAGGAGAAGAACATAGGCCACTGGAAGAGGGGGAGGGCAGAGAGGGCACAGGGTGAAAGAGGGACCTCTATGGGGCCCACAGGGGCTGGGGGAGCTGCTCACGGCCCTGCACCCAGGACGAGTCAAAAGATGTTGGTTTAGGCCATCACTGCTGGTCAGGCAGACTAGCCTTGGCTCTGATGACCTTTTAGGGACCTCATGCTTCTTTTGGGATGGTGCATAGGTGTCCCTGCCTGATGGAACCCTCCAGCACCACAGGCATGTGTGAGAGTTGTCAGAGGGGGCAGCAGGCTGATGGATGGCCACACCAGCTGCTCACACAGCGGTAGCGCTGACTTCCTGCCCCTGGGGTAGGCCAGAATTCAATGAGGCTTGGAGAGAAAATCTGCCAGAATGGCTTCCCTTGCCCTTTTATGGGATGATGAGGCCAGGTAAGATTCAGCCATCTCTCCAGGTGTCTGGGGAAGGGTCTGCTCGGTCTCTTGATTTTAGTAGAAATAGCTGCTGTGTTTCTTACTCTGGGCACAAAGACATGATGACCAGCCTTTGGCTGGGCTGACAAAGGATTTTGTGTGTGCGTGTGCACACATGTTGGGGTACAGTGAGTGTCTGTGTGGGGTTAAACCTCTTAATTTCTAGAGGATCCCTCTCCAAACAGATGCTGCAGGCAGGTAGTGTGGAGGGTTTGGCTGGAGTGTAAATGCTCTGGCTGGGTGAGAGTGAGTTGAAGATCAGAAATATATACTTGTTTCAAGTTTAATTTTAAAATGCGGTCTTGCTTTGGGTGACAGGATGATGTCCTCTATGTCTTGAAACAGGGGTGGTAGAGGAGACAGAGAAACTGGCAGGAGAAATTTCCAAAATATTTAGTCATGTACCTCCTTCTGGAAGCCTCCCTCTGCTCCTCAGTGACTGTTGGAATTCCACTTGGCCTCTCTTGCCAAGACCAAGTGATGAACAGAGGCGTCTGGTTGGGAGTTTATGGGCAAAGCTGGGATAGTCAGATGCACAAGCATGGTGATTGAGAGCTTCTTTGAGCATTTCAAAAGGCTGTTGGGTAATTTGAGCCCCAGCACACAGCTGTGTGGGCCCTGAGCTGGGGCTGGCCCCCCGACCAGGCTAGCCACTTTGCTTGCAGGTCAGACCAAGGCAGTGAGCAGGCACAGGGATCTGGAGGCCAGGTGTCCAGCCCTCCCGTCAGTCTCCTGAACAGGGCCTCCTGGAAGTCCCCACCTCCCTGCATCTCACCACAGGGATGGGCACCAATTCACCCCATGACTAGGTGACTCTCGTGAACCAACAACATTTTAGAAACTAGTGAAAGAGAGATGGCTGAAGACACAATGGATTTGGGTGTTGACTATAGTGCCTTTGGGGGCAAAAGAAAGCACAGATAAGTTCAAATGCATCCCCAAGTATTTTTTTGTTTGTTTGTTTTTGAGATGGACTCTTGCTGTCACCCAGGCTGGAGTGCAGTGACACGATCTCGGCTCACTGCAACCTCCACCTTGTCGGTTCAAGCGATTCTCCTGCCTCAGCCTCTCAAGTAGCTGGGACTACAAGCATGTGCTACCATGCCTGGCTAATTTTTGTATTTTTAGTAGAGATGGAGTTTCATCATGTTGGCCAGGCTGGTCTTAAACTCTGACCTCAGGTAATCCACCTGCTTCGGCCTCCCAAAGTGCTGGGATTACAGGCATGAGCCACTGCGCCTGACCATTTACAGGGGGAAAAAGCATCTCAAGCAAAGCATCTCAAGCCCTAGGAAAAGCAGCAGTTAAGGACTGACAGGTGCAGCAGTGACCCAGGGGTGGGTTGTCACCATTGAGCTGCAGGACGGCCGGAGAGTCTGGCCTCAGGAGGAGGCTGGACTTGTAACTCACCTCCACCCCCCACACCTGTGCAGCTTTGGGCAGGTTTCTCCACCTCTCCAGATTAATCTGAGAAAGGAAATGAGACCTTTCCCTCCTGAGGACAAAGGGCTGGGTAGTGTCTCTGATGCACCTCCCAGCTCTGAGGAATTTGTGTTGGTGAATTGTACTCACTTTCCTTCTGAGCAACTGACTCTTGTTTCACTCCTGTTTGGCTCCTGAGGGTTGGGGATTGTTCAGAACCATGAGAGGTGCCATGCTTTCCTTATGGAAAATGGAAACAAATTTGTTTCAGTCTGTTTGGACTGCTATAACAGAATGCCACAGACGGGGTACCTTATAAACAGCAGAAATGGATTTCTCACAGCTCTGGAGGCTGGGAAGTCCAAGACCGAGGCAGATTCAGTGTCTGGGGAAAGCCCACTTTTTGGTTCATGGATGGCACCTTTTTGCTGTGTCCTCAACATGGTAGAAGGGCAAGAGCTCTCTTTCAGGCTTCTTTTATAAGGGCACTAATCCTATTTATGAGGGCTCCATCCATGACCTGATCATTCCCCCGGAAGACTCCGCCTCCCAGTGTCATCACATTGGGGATTAGGCTTTTAACCTATGCATTTTGGTGGGATGCAAATATTCAGACTATAGCAGAATCTAAGGTTATGCCACATGACCAGGCAGTGGGGAGGAGAGAGGAGGGGGTGAGGAGAATTTAGGTGATAGGTGAGAATGAGAAGGGAGAGGAGAGGAAAGAAAGAAGAGGGAAAGAGGAGTGGGAGGAGGAAAGAGAGAGGAAGCATCCGGCATCCCTAACAGGGTTTGTTTGGATTGGGTAGTTTGATTGATGGAGTCCTGGGCTGATCAGTATTGGCATCTTATTCAATCTCTACCAATTGCTGATTTTTCTCTGATCAGAGAAAACGATTTGCAGATATGCACAATAGATCCCAAGGAGACGTCAAGGAGAAAGCTCAGATGACTCTATATGAATTCATATCTAGCACCAGAGAAGCAGCTCAAAGTGTGTCTCTGCATAGTCCTGAATCAGCAGCATGATCTTAATACTAGTGATAGCTTCTATTTAATTGAACACACATAATGCGTGATATTCTCTGCAGCCCCTTAGCTAGCATTACCTCATTTAATCCTCACAACAACCCTATGAGGTAGGTATACTTATTGTCCTCATTTGAGATCTGGCTTGTGTGAGTAACATATCCAAAGTCACTTAGCCAATAAGTAGCGACACCTGGATACACGTTTGTCTAACTCCAGAGCCCAAACTATTATTTATGAGACACTATGGGCTCCCTAAGCAAGGATCGTTGTCTCCCCAAGGCCAAGCCCAGGCCTGACATAGCGTAAATGCTTATTGAATGAATGAATGAATTATGAAAGGGCAATGAGGTCAACGATTGTAAGGCTGGTAAGAAAATTTATATCCTGTCCCAGGAATCAAATTGCTTCAATAGATTTCCAAAGCAAGCCCTGAAAACAGAGGGGATTTGTTTTTCAGCAATGTCCATGCATAAATGCAATTTTTTATTTTTAGTTTTGCAACTACAAAGGGCCCAGAGTTTCCCTTGTGAATGAGCTCAGCATCCTCACGTTTCCAAGAGGAATCAACACTGCAATTCCTCGGACCACGGTGGCTCTCTTCCCAGCACACCTTTGCTGTGACCTGCACCCCTGCATTGTCCTCAAAGACACACTAAGAAAACACATTTCAGAAGGAAGGACGTAACGGAGCTCATGATCCAGTTCTGCATTTGGCGTGGCCCCAAAGACACTGTGTGCAGAGTCAGAAATATGCTCCCCAGTTGGACTCCATGGGATACTGTTTCAAAAGAGCTATCATTCTTGTCTGTTTACCACATATCTTGTTCTAATAGGCTCTTCTTTTCCAGAGTTTTTTATTTTCCCTGGCATTTTGTGTTTTGGTAATTGCCTACAAGAATAGTTCTATAACAGAAATCAACAATGAAAACCAAATTACCCCTGCCCACATCCTTTCATTCCTTTTTCATCTCTAATGATATTTTCTGTATGATGACTAACCCAGACTGACGTAATTTATCAATTGATCTTGACGATGTACATTAGAAAATGCATTCTGCAGGCCCCAGCAGGCCATCTTCCATGTGCGCCACGTAGCTTTAGAAAACCTATTAGTGCAACAGAAATATCTAAAGCCCAGCCTTTTTGCTAAGAATATTAGAACTGGTGCTAATTACTTTATTAATCATAAAGTGAAACAGCCGTGCTATGTCACCACAGCCGTAAAATAAGTGGTTTTATGGCAAAAGTAGTTAAAGAGAAAGGACAGATTGGATTTATATACTCAGCTGGTTAAAAAAAAGAAATTATGCATACCAGCAATTTTCTTTCTTTGGTTAAATGTTCATTAAATGTGTACCACTAAAAACCATTTGTAACTAATTCCCTAGTGGGTCCATGCCTTAAAATAATTTATTTTAAAATACAAATTAAGGCTTAAATTTGCCTTTTTATTAAAAATAGGTATAATGAGTCAACATATCTCCTAAGAGAAAGGAGCGTTGCAGACATGCTGATGAGAGGAATCTTGTCGCCAAAACCTGGAGGCCATGCTGGTGTTGGGGACTTAGGCTATCCTGCAGGTGCCTGTCACCATTAAGGGCGGCAGAATTCAGAGGCTTTGGTCCAGGTTAAAGCACAGAGGTGGCCACTGTCTGAAGACAGGGACACCACAATGACCATCATTGAGGGCGATGTTTATGCTTCCATTGTTAGTTTAGATATTTTGTTTTCTTTAAAGTCAGTATTGTCTCTGAGTAAATAAAAACAATCTCCAGTTTCTGCAAGTATGCTTGGCTTTCACACACTTTGCAATTAAAAAAAACTAGGATTCATCAACATTTCACTTTCTGTTACTGATTAAAGCCACTTGTGTGTGTGTGTATGTGTGTGTGTGTGTGCGTGGGCATGTGTGCATGTGATTAGATGGAAGAGAGAGCATTAATGTTTGTTAAGTGCTAATACATTTCAGACACTTTATACATTAATCTATTAATGGCTATCTCATTTAATATTCAAAACAGATGTGTTATAGGTGGCCTATCTCCTGTTTACAGAAAACCAAGGTGCAATAATCTCTCTCTGAAGGTAACTCTGTTGTGGCAGATATGGAATCCTGACTCAAGACTGCCAGATTCCAAAATCCATGCTCTTTATCCTGTACCAGGGCATTTCCAATTAAAATGCAAGACAAAATTACTAAATGCTGAGTGCAGGCTGATTTCACAAATCAAAATGATGAAGTAGATAATATTGTCTCCATTTTAGCACTGGACACTAAAAAGAGGGTAAGTTGTCAGGGTCACATAGTTAGTGAGTGAATTCCAACCCAAATCCATTATGGGAGTCTAGGCCCCCTTGTCTATGGTCTCAGTATCCTCTTCCATCAGATAATTTCCAGCCCTAGGAATTTTCTTCTTGTATTAAATATCTCCTGGCTCAAAGTTAAATTCATTTTCTTTTGCTTTGCCTTTTATTTATTTATTTATTTATTTATTTATTTGAGACAAAAATCTCTGTTGCCCAGGCTGGAGTGCAGTGGCACAATCTCAGCTCACTGAAACCCCCACCTTCTGGGTTCAAGTGATTCCCCTACCTCAGTCTCCCAAGTAGCTGGGATTATAGGCATGTGCCATCATACCCAGCTAATTTTTGTATTTTTAGTAAAGACAGGGTTTCACCATACTGGCCATGCTGGTCTTGAACTCCTGACCTCAGATGATCCACCCACCTCAGCCTCCCAAAGTGCTGGGATTACAGGCATGAGCCGCCATGCTCAGCCTGCTTTGCCTTTTGTGATCAAAAGAAAAAATACCACCATCCTTCAGGTAATCCTATCAACATAGTGTAAACTCTTCAAATTACCCTTCAATGGGTTAAACAATCCCAAATTACTAAGTTGTCTCTTGGTGAAGACAGTATTCCTAGTTACTTCTGACCACACAGAATCAATACAAAGAAACCAGACCAAAGAAACTGCCTCTTAAAATAGAACATGCCATCTTTTTATGTCACAGCTGGGACTAGTATTGTTTCCAACGAACAGAGTGTGGAATTGAGGACTCAACTTAGGTGAAGCTCTGCTACGGAGTAGGCAACTATCAGACGTTGGCTCTTTCCTCTCTCCTTGATGGGCCCACTGGCCCAGGATATGAGGCCTGAGAGATTCCTATAGGAGGAGAGGATGAATATTTTGACAAGCAGGTAACTTTAGAAAGATGTAGGTAGCAGATCTTAGGGATTGGTGTTCTAGAACAGGGGTCCCCAGCCTTTTTGGCACTAGGGACCCATTTCGTGGAAGACAATTTTTCCATGGATGGGAGCAGGGATGGTTTCGGGATGAAACTGTTCCACCTCGGGTCATAAGGCATTAGTTAGATTCTCACAAGGAGTGCTCAACCTAGATCCCTCGCAGGCACAGTTCACAATAGGGTTCATGCTCCTGTGAGAATCTATAGCTGATGCTGATCTGACAGGAGGCGGAGCTCAGGTGGTAATGCTCACTTGCCCGCTACTCACCTCCTGCTCTGTGACCTGGTTCCTAGCAGACCACGGACCAGCATGGTTCCATGGCCCAGAGGATGGGGACCCCTGTTCTAGAGCAAAACTCCAATTGGAAAGTAAGGCAAAGAGACCAAGACAGGAATGTAGCAATAACTCTGGAGTACAAGGTAGGGCAGAAATTAAAGTACACATTCAAGCAAGGATTACTTTCTTATTCCATGCATTACCAAGTCATTTGGATCCTTAACGTCCTATATGGATGTGATAGGTCCCAGGGCCTGGGTTAAGCTTGAGGCAGGACCAGCTGCTTAATTTGTGGGCTGTAGTGCAAAATGAAATTGCAGGCACCTTATTCAAAAGCTAGACAAAAGTGCTGTTAAAGGTTCCAAAATATTAAACTCTTTCTTTTCTTTCTGGTTTCTTTCCCTATTATGCTTTAAAAATTTTTGCTATTTGATATTGCACTCCCTCAGGCATGGGGATATTTGCAAGGGTCAGTATGGACTCTCACAAGTGCCTGGGGACCCCTATTTGTGACTTTGCAGTGTTACCCACTAGCTTCCAGGACAGGACATTCTCTGTCAGCCCCCAGATTGATGTTCTCTGCCCAGCCAGGTTATGGGAGTCAGCCCTAACTCACAGAGGACTGGAGACTCTCAAGGGATCGCAATCTCAACACTGAGAAGTGGTTGGGACCTGGGTTGGGTAGGCAGAGGCTCACACCTGCCTGGATGTGTACTGAACAGCCATGGTACTGCCAGCCGGAGATGAGGACAGCTGCCAGCCAGGGATGGGGACAGCGACCACCATGCCCTGCCCTGAGACACCCCTGAACCTTCCAGCATCCTTGTCTGTGCACAGGTTCTCACTGGAGGCAGAGAGTGATGAGAGAATGACAGCTTGCACCCCGCCCCATCCCCAGCCTAAGTGAGCTCACTGATGCCCCAGGCAGTGGGCAGGATCCCTTGTGGGGTGGGGTGGGGGAGGTGGGGCAAGGGCAGGGCACCAGGACCGGGAGGCAGTGAAGAACCCTTCCCAGGGAACAGGGAGATTGTGGTGGTGGGGCCTGAGTGTGAAACAAGGCTCCCACATCCTAGTGCATTCTTCACTTTCCCGTCAGAAATAGGAATTCCAAGATAAAATTAAGAATTTCAGGATGGTGATCTTAGGAGCTTCCCTTGCCAAGCCGGGAGTTCTGGACACCTGCACTGATTTGTGACCTCAGCCAGCCTTGATTTGAGGTGCAGCCTCAGTGGCTCTGGCATAGATATCGGAAAACCACTGAGCTGGAACACCAGGCAGGTCACAGGGGTTTGAATTTGTAATTCAACATTTCTATTGATACGTGCCTTTTATAAATGCTCCGTGGCCTTTTAATAACTTGGTGTGTTATCTTGCCCAGAGTTTTCGTTCACTATTAATACTGATTCTGTCACTGTTGAGATATCTGACTCTGGACAGACTCTGCTCCTTGGCTTCCTCTTCTCTTTTAGTTCTTATTCTTTGTGATTCTGCAAACTTAGTTTTAAAGCCTCATATTGGATATTAAGACAAACGACATCATACAACGTAGTTCACCCTATCCATTGATCTGTCTGGCTTCTGTGTTTAAACAAAAGGGACTGGCAGTCTTGCCAAATCCCTCACTCACCCTATGTTGTATTTTAGATCATGTTTCAAGAAAGGGAGGCCCCTGTGTCCAGTTATTGATTAGCTGGGGAGGAAAAAAATGGCTTTGCCTCATTTCTTGTTAGGTAGCAATCCACGTATCTTTCCAGTAAGCAGCATGACACTTCAGGGGGCTCTGGAAGACATTTGACACTCTGGCGTCAGAGAGCCAAGGCCTGGGAGGTGTGTCCAGCAGTGTGTGTATCCAGGAAGCAGCAGAGGAACACAGCATCTGACAGTTCTGTCACTCCTGGCTGTGTGACTGCAGGCTAGTCACTTTCTGTCTCTGGGCTTCAGTTTTTCCATCTTAAAATAAAGAGATTGGACTAGGTCATCTCCAGGGTTTCATCTGGCTCCAAAATCTAAGATTTTATGACTGTGAATCAACAACTTCCATCTTCTCAGGGGCCTCCAGTCAAGTCATTCTGGGGATCACAGTCTTTCATAATCTCTGAAGCTTCATTTCTCAAAACAGCTCAGAGCGGGCCTGTCATGGTGGCTCACGCCTATAATCCCAGCACTTTGGAAGGGTGAGGTGGGTGGATCACCTGAGGTCAGGAGTTCGAGACCAGCCTGGCCACCGTGGTGAAACCCCATCTCTACTACAAATACAAAAAATTATCTGGGTGTGGTGGCGGGCGCCTGTAATCCCAGCTACTTTGGAGGCTGAGGCAGGAGAATCACTTGAACCCTGGGAGGCAGAGGTTGCAGTGAACTGAGATGGCGCCGTTGCACTCCAGCCTGGAAAACAAGAGCAAAACTCTGTCTCAAAACAAACAACAAAACAGCTTACAGCACAGTTCCCAGCCTGTTAGAAAGAGGAGAGGCATTGAGGTACATGTCAGGCTCCATCGTAAATGCATGTGAATGGGAAATGGACCCAGTGACTCAGAGCTCGCCAAAGACCCCAGCCCATAAGCAGTCTTCCGACAAGACTGGCATTGCTATTCTTGCCCCTTCAGGCAAGGGTGTTCTGCAGCTCATTGCTGAGTTCATTACTGGAACAATACAAAGAAGCCAACAGTTAATTATACACTGAAGAAGCTCCTTCACATCAGCCTCTACTCAGCTCTCTTTTTCATGCCCTCTGAAAAGACGTAATCATCCATTATAGTCATCACCAGCTTTGTTACTTTGTGTGCCTCTAATTGGCACTTTTCTTTTAGACAGTGAGGTATAGTGGAAAATATGCTCATCGAAGAGACAGCAGCCTGGGGTTGTGATTCTGGGCCTATTAATACTCCATTGTGTAACCCTGAGTGAGTTCCCTTCACCTTTTTGGGTCTTGGCCGTCCAATCAAAAGGAGGGGGTTGGAGCAGATCTAGCTAAGCTTTGCTTCTGCCAGACATTCTGTTACTGTCTCCCCAGATGTGCTCAGTAGCATGCCAGTTATCATGGGAGACATGGAAAAGTAAACATGTGCTCTAGTTCTGGCCCTCAGAAAGTGCTCAGCACTGGGGACCAGGTGGAAACAGAGAAGTGTATCATTGTGCAACTCTTCAAGGGCTACAGGAGTTTCCAGCAGGAAAATTTAATTTGCTAGCTGGAACAAGAGGGAAGAGGCCATCCTGGCTCCACTGGAGAGTCTCATGTTGGGAACAGGGGTGGTAATGCTGAAAGGAAGGGAGAAGTCAGACTAACAATAAAGGCAAACAAGTTTGGACTTCATCAGCAATAAGGCACCAGTGTCAACATTTGACTAGTGGAGTTACAGCATGAGATAGACTCCTTAGAAAATGTGTCAGTTAGGAATGCATTTGGCTGCACCAACCACTGTGGTCTAAACACACCTGGGTAGATTTTTTTCTTGTCTATAACAAGACATCAGTAGGTGGCAGGTACTGGTGTTGGCTTAGCAGTCGGGGTTACTGTGACATTAGAATGCAGACATACTGGTGCCAGGGTTATTTCTGCAATTTCCTTAGCCTTTTACTCATGGTTGCAAGACAGCTGCTATGGTGCCTGCTCACATCTCTACGTAAGCCAAAAAGAGAAAAGATAGAAAAAAAAAAAAAAGAGTGACTGCGGGGGGGTTTTGCAGCAGTTAAGTCATTCCTTTTAAATCACAAAAAACTTTCAAAGAAGCCCCCAATCCCAGACCCCCTAAAACAAAACTAAATTTCTGACTTTGTCTTAAGGGCCATAGCTTGGCTACATGGCTATCTTTGATGCAAAGAGGATTTCCAGCCTCTTACAGAAGTCATTCCCAAGCCTGCTTTCCCTCACAGCCTCCTATTACACATCATGCATTGATTGAAAAAAAATTTTTTTTTGTGCTAGTTAACTGTGAGCATCTTAAGAAACTTCCCACCTTTGTGTCTGGAGCATTAGATGCAATGCTGGGTTCACAGTGATCCTTCATTCACGACTGTGGGTGTGAATGCAGTGAAGACAGCTCGGATGGGGAACTCCCTGCCTCTATTACTTCTCTTAAATAACCAAACGTCTGAAGTGTTGGCCAGAATGTGTGTTAATATTCTGGCCCTATTCCAGCATATTTCATAGCAGCCATTAAAGAATATATTCTTAGGTTTGCACTTATAAAACTTTATTGGCTTAATCCATTTATTATCATACATTTGCAGTTGAAGTCTTGAAGTGTAGCTTAGCTACATAGCTGCACCTACCCATTGGTACAAGCCACAGCATGCAAGTTGGTGAGCTTCTGGCAACAGTTTTTGTTTGTTTGTTTGTTTGTTTGTTGAGATGGAGTCTCGCTCTATCGCCCAGGCTGATACAATCAAGGCGAAACTGTAACTTTCGCCTCCTGGGTTCAAATGATTCTTATGCCTCAGCCTCCAGAGTAGCTGGGACTATAGGCATGCACCAATAAGCTCAGCTAATTTTTGTATTTTCGTAGAGGTGGAGTTTCACCATGCTGGCGAGGCTGGTCTCAAACTCCTGACCTCGGGTGATCTGCCCACCTCAGCCTCCTAAAATGCTGGCATTACAGACATGAGCCACCGTGCCTGGTGACTGGTGACAGATTTAATTACTTTACCAGCTCTGAACAACCTCTATCCATGGTAGATAACTGTAGTGGTTTTTGCTCTTTCCTGAATGACTATTAAAAAAAAATTTCTTAGTTTGATCAAATAATTTGCCTTGCTTCATCCATAATTCTGCTTCATCTCAATTGAGCTTATTTTATTAAAGGGCAGGAAGTCCTCTGAATTTCTATTTCTGGACAGGTTTCTGTGGGAGTCTTTTTAATGTTTTTCCTGCTGCCTTTTCTCCTTTATCTTTACAAGTTCCGGTTCTATAAAACCGGTCATTTTTACTGACCATTACTGCAGGCTGAATTTTTCCCTATAAACCCTAATTTTGTAATCTGGGAGCAATATACATTGCTAATGTGATTTTTGTTCCCTTCTCTCCTTCTGAGTCTGGAAGAGTAGCCTTTCTTTTGTAGATTTATGGTGAGGTCTTGTACTCAGCGCTCTCACAATGCAGATGAGTTTTCTGACTATAATGGACCATTTTACAGCCTTATGGTTTGCCTATTTCTCAATGAATTTAATATTTTCTTCAATTTGTGAGCTAAATGTTAACTCCTGGGTTTTTTTTATTGATCCAGTACTATTATAAAATGCATGTTTCTTTATGTCTAGAGCCTATGACTGCAATTACTGCGTGTGAAGATTATGTACAGATTCTAATATGCATATTAATCTCACTATGCTATGGAACTGGTCCTTGCAGAGTTGTGCCTCATGAAGGGACACTGTAACCTCAAATGCTTTCTAAATGGATGGCCCCAAAACAGCAATGTCTCCCCTACACATACCCTCCCCTACTGGTGGCTGTCTTTATGGTAGAAGGGGAAGACAGCAAACATCCTACAGTTGTAGATTTTGGAAGTGGAGCATGAAAAAAATAAAACTGACCCTTGTGAGATTCATTTGTTTACAGAACAGGATTTTGTGGTCCAAACCATGCCTCTGGATGCCCTGGGGGCGGCAGTAAATGGAAGCCTCTGGCTGGAGGGAGAAGCGTAGCTGCCCAGCTACTCACATATTCATATATTCTCTCTCGCTTGAGGCTGAATATATTTCTACCTAGCAAGGAAGCCGTGCTGACACACAGCCCCAGCACAGAATTCCACATTCCTTTGTGTTCAGGGAACAATGATTTAGGTTAGCTGGGATTAACCCACAGTTGAACCTCGGCGAGATGGGTTCCGAGTCTCTCAATGAATTCAGCAGTCACTGACAGCTTCGTGAATGGGATTCGCTGCCTGATGCATGAGCTGAGTTGTCACAGGCAGGGCGGGGAAGGCAGGCTGGAAAATCCCCATGCCTGGCTGCCTCCCGATGTGTCCCCCAAGATTGCGCTCTGGGGGTTTCTGTGAAGGGGAGCCCTCCTATTGCCAGCCTGCTCAGACCACACAGGCACGCACAGCCCTGCCTCACGGAAGCATCTGACAATTTTTAAAAAGTCCTTTCTGCAGAGAGCCCAGAGCCTGCATGTTTTAACCCCCAAGTGGTAGCAGGCTTGTTTTGATAGTTGGAGCCAGACATTTATATCTGTATAAAATAATACTGGACGATGAGGAATATGCATGAGATCATGAAAATAAGCAGTAAAGGCAGATTTTGATAGCCTCTCTCTAGAATTGTTAAGCCTTTCTTTTTTTTTCTTTTGAAAAGGGGATAGAAGAGCTGCACATCTAATATAATCAGTCCTTTTTGGAGAAATGTGTGAATGGGCTACTGTCAGTCCAAACAGGCGTCATTTAGTGTCCATCCATCTTATTTCTCTCACTAACATGTCAGTCTCCCTTGTCTTCCACTCACATCATTCAAGGTGAAAAACACTGAATAGGTTCTTGTTGTTCTTTGTATTTTTTTCATTGTTCTAGGGCTGTGCTGATGCCGACACATCAAGTCTATGATTTGGAGGAGAAAGGAGGTAAGGAGGAGAGAACCAACATGCATTGAGCACCTGTGATGTGCTAGGCTTCATACCCATCATCTTATTTAATCTGCCCACATTTAAGATGTGGTGATGTCATCCCCACTTCCTGACTGAAGACACCACAGTTGAGACAGCTCCAGAAAGGGTTCCCACGTCTTGCAGAGGTTAGAGACAGAGGTTAGAGTCTGCCTCAACACACCCCTGAAAACCCCATGTGGCCTAAAAAGCAAAGCATTTAAAGTAGTATTCATAGTGATCTATTTCATTTGTATATGCTGACTTACATATGTCAATTGCTGTATCTTAGACAATGACATTTTATTTCAGTAGTTTATAAGCCTCATCCTTCAAATACTGAAAAAGAAAAAAAGAAATGCTCAAACAAGCTTTGAAAGTGTATTCATGGTCTTTAGCTTCCTAGATCTTTCTGTGATTTCTAGCTCACTCCATTTCTTAATGTGGCAGGGGGCTTCCACAGTTGGGTGGAAACAGGGTCACCATGGGCCCTATTGATTTCAGGTCACACAAACGTGTCCCTACTTCCTCAGAGGATAGGCTTAAGAACAAAACACTTCCCTGGGTTTACCTAGATGGTGGCATTCAGGGAAGGGGAGAGGGGATGGCAGTAGAATGCCCAGGCTCTTTTGGGACAAAACTACCGTGCTAGATGGATGGATAAGGTGGCACATGTGCTCGTCTTCAGGTTCCCTCCCCAAACTTATGACTGTCTCAGATGCTTGGGCTCCATCTGCCTCTCTATCTGGTGCATGTGCCCATTCACTCGGGCTTACCCCTACCCACTCTCCAGCGCATAAGTAGATTATCTCTAGATCAAGTGACATCCTTGACTCTCAGCTGCCATCAGTTGATGCAATCGGCGACTAATTAGGCATCAACAGTCTGGTGAATGACAACAGTGGGTTAACATTTAGAATGGACCTTTCTTCTGTCCTGTTTTGGTCCTTAATTGCCTGTTTTGGTTCATCTTAGCAAGCACCAAGCTGAAGCTGGGCATGGTGGCTCAGGCCTGTAATCTCAGCACTTTGGGAGGCTGAGGCAGGTAGATCACCTGAGGTCAGGGGTTCAAGACCAGCCTGGCCAACATGGTGAAACCCCGTCTCTACTAAAATCCAAAAATTAGCCGGGCATGGTGGCACGTGCCTGTAATCCCAGCTACTTGGGAGGCTGAGGCAGGAGAATCGCTTGAACCTGGGAGGCGGAGGCTGCAGTGAGCTGATACCATGCCACTGCACTCCAGCCTGGGCAACAGACAGAGACTGTCTCAAAACAAACGAACAAACACCAATTAAAAAATAAAAAGCACCCAGCCCAGACGAAGCTGTAACACATCTAGCTTCATCCATACACACGTGTAAGTATTCTCAATGGAGTACAGTGGATGGGCACACCCATAGGACAGCTCTGGGTGCAGCTGAGTTTGACTGCCAGAGAAGTGTGGGGTAAATACTATTAAGATGAGCTTGATGCTGCTTGATGGAGCTGAGTGAGTGGTGCCATATGGCAAGGCTGTCATCACGAATAGCAGCAGCTGGGCTAGGAATAAAAAGGTGTCTCTGTGTGCAGCAGCACAGGGGAGGGGAATTCGAAAGACATCACAAAATCCTCTGGGGAAAAGAAACAGAAATGGAGTCAAAATGTGGCTGACCCTTTTCTTTCTCACCCTTGGCCCTGCTGGGAGCAGAAACAGAGTCCTTGAGGTCAAAACACAGCTGGCTTTGTCTTTCCCTTACGATTGTGGCCACACTGCTCTTCCAAAAACAGGTGTAGACTCCAACACCTGTGGTTTGCATGTCAGCTTTGGTGGGTGACATAGATTGGAGGGCAGGTTGCCATGAGGAGGTCCTCAGGCTGTAATATGGTCGATGAATCGGGAAGGTCTGAACACGTGGCTATGAAGGAAGGCAGGGGAGCAGAGGGGAGGCTGCAATCCAAGAGTTGAAGTGCTGGGTATCTCTGAGTTTCGAAGAACAGGGGCTTGAGGTGGGCTTATCTCTAAGGGAGAGGTCAAAGCTCAGAGAAAATCACACTGTGGGCTCTTCCATGCTCTCGGAATATTGCAACCTAGCTGGCATCTGGATAAAATAAGCCGCCTTCTGCAGGAGGAGTAGCTGAAGCAAAGCTGTCATAAAAAGCCACATGTAGCCAGGGCAAATGTGTGTAGAGGGAGGAGGTGGGGATTTTCCTGCCTGAGAGCTGGCTCCGGGCCCACCTGCATTGCCTTGGCAACGGTGATGGGGGAGGAATTTATAGGCTCATTCCTACGTGAGTACCTTAGGTCTTTTTAAATTCCTGCTGGCTTCTCTAGCCACCCACCGCTTCTGTGAATCACTGCATGGGGCTCTGGGAGATGCTCTGTCACAGTCTGAGGCTTGACACAGCTCAGGGGATGTGGAGAGGTTCCCAGGGACTCGGGGAGCAGCTTTTCAACATTTTGCTTTGGTCTCTGGAATGTCAGTTCAAGGGCCTAGATGGAAAAAGCAACTTTGAAGTGTGATTGCTCAAATCCGTTCATTCACCCAAAATGTGAAGGGCCTTCTAAACAGCTCAGTGATGTGTAAAGCAATCAGAAGGTCGGAGTTTCCGCTCTGAACTGTTGATCGGTGCCACCTTGGGTGAGCTGCAGGTCAGATTCCTATCCCTAGTCTGGTCTCCTCTTTAAACATGAGCACTGGACGACCTGGCCACAGTGGGCCTATATACTCCAGCATTTTGTGCACCCTGATTGGACTTCTCTTTGATTAACCACAGCTGGCTTAAGAGCACAGCACCTGTCCTGATTACCGTCGCCAAGAACTTACGAAACCAAGCCAAGCTAGTTGCCTTGTCAGCACCAGCCAACAGGAGTTGAGAGTCAGGGCTCAAAAACCGAATTTGGTGCCAAAAATCCAAATACACCGAACCAAGTGCTCACCTCCCAAATTGCATTAAAAAAAAAAACCCAACACCCCCAGTGCTTGTCCTAAATGCAGGTGATGCTTGTGTCATCCCCACTAGAATGAACCCGGGGACAGGCAAAGCTGGGTCTGAATGTTCACTGCTGCATCTCAGGGCCTAGCATGGAGTGTGGCAGACAGGAGGTGCTCTCTGAGGATCTGGGCTCTAGAAAGCTCCGTCATGAGGTTGTCATATGGAGAGGCATGGAGTCTGTTGTCACTGGCCCATTTTAAAGATGGTAACATTCCATGGTTAATAAGAATAGCTCATGTTTATTGACCTCTAAATTGTGTATAGCATCATCATAGGTGCATCATTTTAAAAAAGATTTTTCTTCTATCAAAGTTACACATGCACATAATTTAAAAAATCAGATTGTAAAAACTCCAGTCCCTACTCTCCTCAAATTTTCTGTTCCCCAGAGGCAGCCATTTTTAACTCTTTTAGTGCATTTTTTTGGCATTAACCTTCATATCTTTATATAATGTGCTTGTCTTGCTATTAGGATTTCTTGCTCTGTAAAGTGAGGATCTAGTTCCCTTTTACTTCTTGCCACCAAGACACAGACATACACACACACAACACACTCCTCACAAACTCCACAAACACACCCCATGAACACACCCCCCAGCACACACCATGAAAACACACACAGCCCCCCCCCCCCACACCCCAAACACACTACACACACACCAAACATACATACACACCCACACACTTTCTGGACCTCCCATTATTGCAATATGGTTATATTGTAATTTTGGATACAATAGTCATTGTTTGCATTTTACAGATATGTAGATGTTCTATACAAATGACATGTAGTAAACTATGATTACTTTCTTTTGCTGCATAATTTCTCTGTTTCTCTTGAGTTAATTATTACCTTGGGTGTTTCATCTGTGCTTGTGTGTTTATGCTTCCTACTCTCTGATTTATCACTAAGTTCACTTCAGACTCTCCTCCAGTTGCAAATCTCTCAATATTTTTCAAGCAATTAGGTATTCCGGTAAATTTCACCATTAAAAAGTATTCAATCTCCTTTCTTGGTTTCATTTTGTAAGGTGGGGAATAAGAACAATTTTAGCTTTTATCTAAGCATCCCACGAGGACAAATCAATTTGTAAGGTCCCCAGACCTGTAATTCTGAATGAGAGTTGGTCTACGTTCACATATTCTGTTTAATGTTGAAATTTTTTTTGTCCACCTGCCTCTAACACCTCCTAGAACTTTCTACTGTAAGACCTAGCTGCAAAAATACTTATGTCTTACAAGCTATAAGTATAAAAGCATATGTATCCTGCCCACTTCATCCTCCTATCAGCCCACATATACTGTGTCTTTTCAGTCTAAATAAGTCGGAGCTAAATTGAAAATTCAAATCTGGCTGGGCATAGTGGCTCATGCCTGGAATCCTAGCATTTTGGGAGGCCAAGGTGGGAAGATCACTTGAGCCCAGGAGGTTGAGACCAGACTGGGGAACATAATAAGGACCCTGTCTCAATAAAAATGAAATAATTTTTTAAAAGAAAATAAAATCTTTAATATACATATCACATTTGAGGTACTTGCTACCACTGTCAAGGACTGACATTCTGGCATGGGGTTTGATTCTAGAATGTAAAATGGCTTGTGCTCTACCTTAAATGCTATTTGCTATCTAAAATGTATAAGATCACCCTTGGAACCATAGGATTTAGTACCTTTCCCACAATCCTCTCAAAGGTAAGAATTAAATGCACTTTGGATTAGGACATCAGAAGGCAGGGCAGCATTCTGGGTGAGACTTAACCCAGTGGCATCCTAAAGGCTAGAACCCTGGCTGGAGAGAATACAAGAAGGAATACAAGACAACTGTATTCCTTCAAATACAAGTTTTGACAGCCTCCAGTCAAAGCCTGTCTGTCTTTGACATTCAGGTCCTTCTCTTTATTCTCAAACCACCCATGCCGATAGGGGGCCAGATATGTACTTCTTACTTTCAAATTAGCCAGATCATTGCCTCACTAAGACAAGCAATTTAGATTTCAAGACGGGATTCTGGCTTTATTTTCACCCTACCCCAATTTTTCCCTCCCTATTTCCTTTCCTTTTCTTCTTCCTTTCTCTTTCCCCATTTCTGCCTCCTCTGCCTCCTCTGCCTCCTCTGCCTCCTCTGCCTCCCCTGCCTCCCTTCCTCCCTCCCTCCCTCCTTTTTTCTTCTTCTTCTTCTTCCTCTCCTCTACCTCCTCCTCCTCCTCCTCCTCTTCCTTTCTCTCTTTCACCTACAAGGGCATGGATGTGAGAGTAAGATCATACTCTTGGGCTAAAATCTGTGTTTGGTTGGCTGTATGACCTTGAGAAGTCTACACAGGCTTGCTAAGCATTTCTTCATCTATAATATGGGGCTAATAAGACAAACTGTCAACTATGAGAATTCAACAAAGTTATGCATGATAAGTACCGGGTACTGGGCTTGCTATATACTAATTGCAGAATAAATGGCTTCATAATAATATCTTAAAACATTCACCTCCAAATTCAATGCTGCTTGAAAGCAATATCCCCATTCTAGGAAATTTTGGCAGTGTTTACCATATGACTCCATCTTTCAGCTCTTTGGAATATTTGAATAGAACAAAATGTTGGTTTGGTTCAGAGAATATATTTTGGTCCATTTTATTCTGGCTTAATTATTTTAATAAATCTATAGATGTTGCTTGGGTTCATATTATGAAAATGTAAAATTGGGGCTGGGTTTGAGGCTTTTTCTTCTGGTGTTTTAGATATTAAAATCTTGGATTCATAGGATGTCATGGGACTCCTACCCTTCTACTGAAGCCCAGAAAAAAACATCCAGGGACTTGTGAAATAACAGACCTCTCACTGCTGGAACAAGATACTGCCCAGGCTAAGTGGCATAGAAAGGATTTGATGAGTCTGTTACCTAATCGCACAATGTCATAGTTATCTGGAACAAACAATTCATGGGCCCATTGCCAAAGAGCCTCTTAATGTGGCTTCTCTTTGGCAGAATTGCATCTAGTGCTCACCTGTCAGTGGGAATGGCTGCGGTAGCTGACAGGAAAGGTGATGGAAAGGAAGCGTTTCGGGACTTTTATCTACAGCAGCACATCCCAGGTTAGACTCTCAGCTGCTGTGCGTCATGAGAGGTCCTGAGTCTGGGTGCTCTGCGGGCTTTTATCTCAATGAAGCACTTGAGGCTGTTCAGGGTGCTTGACGAGAGAGAGGTGAATGGTTGTCAAGGCAACCTTCTTTGGATTCATTCACAGAATGGAAGTTGGAGTATGTAAGAAAGCCCCAGGAATAACGGTCGCATTGGAACTACCCACATCTAGCCAGTTCAGGAAATCTGGGCATTTAAAAGGAGAAAATAATATGAGAATATACACAACCAGGCTTACCTGGTATCTGCATTTTTCTTCTGTGGGTTTGATTTGAAGAAATTGTTTGGCTCAGAGAATAATGTCCCACTTCACTCCATGATGTCACAAATGGCTGCTGTTGTTATGACAGTTTGCAGAAAACACTTTGTGTAAGTCTCTTTTCTGAGTAAAATCCTAAAGATGTGATAGCTGACTTTCCCCGGAATATTTTAATGGCCTCTGCTGGGTGCAGTACCCAGTGTGTTCTGTGCCTGCATTTTGGTTACTTATTCATCCAGCCATTTATTCGACAAATACTGGCTGAGTATCTACTATGTGCCAAACTTTGTGCCCACATGAAGCTTATGTTGAACAAATATTTGTTGTTGAATATGGTGCTGGTATCATGTGCTGTGAACACAGGCAGGAAGGATGCCTGGGTACTTGGGGAGCCCTAGAGAATGCATGTCAGGGAGGCAGCTTCCCAGGCACCTTCATTCCGATAGCCCAACAGAAATGAAGCCCTGTTATTCTTCCATGAAACACTCTCACGCCACCCATTCTCTCAATCCAGGGCTTCCGTCCTGGGCAGAGTTGTTATCAATTTATGGGCAGATTGTTGAAAGAAGTTCCGAATGGTTCTTCCTGACTCCCATCACTAACCCATCTAATTCATCCTCTGCTGTCCTGACCAACACATTTTCCTTAGACACATTTTCCCTGAGAACCATCTTGATGGACCATCAAGGCTCATTATCTGTCTGACTCCAGTGAACATCTCTGGTTTTATTCCTTACTTCAGCTTCCATTTCTGATATGTTCATTTCTTCACTGTGCGTAGGATGGACCTCCCAGTTCTTTATCATGTAGTCCAGCCTGCTTGGGATGCCCTCTGTTCCCCTCCTGACCCCCAAATCACTGGCCCTGTGCCACTACCCCTACTCCCACCCATTGCTCAAGGCTCAGCTGAGCCTCACGTATATGGCCAAGATTGCTGGTTATTCTCCAATATTCATTCTGTCTTCTTCCACGGTGATAGAATTTTAGCTGGGAATATGATTGGCCAGAACAAAGACCACAAGTCCCAGTTTCTCTAGTAACAAAACAAGATCATTCATGAGCAAGTTTGTGCAACTTCTGGATCATATTCTTAAAGGGAGGGGCATCCTCTTTCCTTGCCGCTTTCTGGGATGGGAATGTGGACAGGGTGTGGACTCACTGAACTATGTGGATGCACATCTGTACACTAGGAAGGCAGAGAACCACAGGAAGGGATGGAGTCTCCAACAGCATGGAGCTGCCCTAGAAGGTCCACACTGTATCATCCCTAGATGCTTACTCTTAGACACATGGGACTAATCACTTCTGTTGTGTTTAAGCTTTTTAGAATTTGGGTTTCTGCTACAGCAGCAGAATTTCACGTCTCCTCCAGGAAGACTTCCTGGCTCTTCCCTTCTTGAAACTCTCTACCATGACCATAAAATCTGGTGTGTATTCATTTTCACTTTATTGCTTCCTTATTCGTCTTAAAATCTTTTCACTTTATTGCTTCCTAATTCATCTTCTTTTACCAGCTAGGCTTTAGGAGATGGACCGAAAATTATACCATGTAATTTATAAGTGCCAATAAATACACTTTGGTGATGATCTGACAGGAGGGGTAGCTCAGTCTGTAATGTGAGCAATGGGAAGCGACTGTAAATACAGATGAAGCTTTGCTTGCTTGCCCTCTGCTCAACTCCTGCTGTGTGGCCTGGTTCCTAATAGGTCATGGACCCATAACGCTCTATGGCCTGGGGGCTGGGGACCCCTCTTGTGGAGCACCCTACATAGCTACACAGATATATGCAGGGACGAAGAGTGGGTTTACAGAGAACACACACGTGTGCATGTTTATCTACCATTTATTAAGTATCTTAATCATATCTCCTCCACAGAGAAGCAAACATCCCCCTATTCAAGGTTAAAAGAAGCGTTTGTCTTTGAAGCCCCACTAGAGCAGTTATCTCTAGTGAACTAGGGTTTTTAATGGCCTTTCACAATAATTACAAATTTAATTAACCTCTCTGCTTTGATCAGTCACGGCTGTTTCTCATTACCTTCCCCAATGCCTGTTTCTGAGTCAAGAGCTATTCCTGGGCCTTCCCTTTCCAGCTATAAAGTACTGTTTAGGTTTAATTTAGTCTGGCACAGCTGTAAAGAAAGCAACTCTCCTGCTCAACAGCCTCCAATGACTCCCCGTTGACCACTGAATTAAGTACAAACTCCTTAGCCCGGCATTTGGGCCTTCCACAGTCTGGCCCCAGACCCCCTTCTAATCTCATCCCAACTCTTCCTGCACTTGCACTTTGTAGCTCGTGTTTCTCAGCAGGCCCTTGTCTTCCTGATTTGGGGTCTTACTTCTGCAGCTCCTTCTGCCCAGTCACTTGGCCACCCACATCCTACACCTGCCCCTTGTTGAACTCTCATCCTCCAGGAAGCCTTCCCTGCCAGCTCCCTCTCCAGTTGAATCCAGACCCCCACCCCCTGCCAATCACCTGGGATCATATTACTCCCTGTTCTGATTTTTCACAGAAATTCACACCTTCTCATAATCCTGTTCTGAATGACAGTTATTGTGCATTCATCTTGTTCTCTCTCATTAGACTGTAGATTTTAACAGAAGGAATATCTTACCCATCTTTGTGCTCATCAGCACTTAAAACATCACCTTAACAGCACTACCATAACCATTTCAGAGGTCCTATTTTGGTCCAAGCACTTTGCTAGACACTTTAAATAAACTGTTTTTCTTATCTTCGCCAGGCCAGATTAGGAAGTGGAACCTCAGACAGGTCAAGTGACTTTCCCAAGTTTGCAGCCAGGAAGCACCTACTGGGTTGTGTTGGGGGAAGGGCTGGGGACAGTGACATTGTGCTTGGCAAGCACAATTGCTTTCTGTTGCTACTACTGACCACACTTTTCAGAATGTGGGCCAACATCTCCAGGGAGAACAATGATAAGTTTGCTTCTGAACCTCTGGCAGGGTGTAAGCACTGATCTTCAGTAATAAACCATAGCCTGTGATGTTAGTATCAGGTCTTCTGCTTTGATGATGGTTTGCCAGGCAGTCCTCTATCACCCTGGAGTTGGAACTTTCTCAGCTACTAGAGTGTCCCAGAGTATTTGAGCTCTGTCCCTATAATTGGTCATTTCCCAGGTTCTCCAGCAGCTCATGAAGCTTCTTTAGCAGTTAATGCTGGAAGTTTGAGACCTCTCTCTGGAGCTCCCTTCAACCTCTGAGATGAGGTCTTCATCCTCTACTCTGGGTAGGAGAGAAGATGCTTACCATCCTGAGTGAGTCACACCTGGAAATGGCCAGGAACCAAAACTGCCTGGAGGCAAAGGAGATGTGAAAGGGATCCCAGCAGAGCAGAAGGCAGACTTCACACCTCTTCTTCTTCTTCCCTGATGCTTCCTGTGGGAGCAGCTGGGCATTCTCCAGATTCTGTTTCCTGAAGCTTACCATCCTGGTCCAGCATCCCATGGTCATGACCGCCTAAAACTTACCGGAAATGGGGAGGAAGAGGGCTGGGCTCAGCTCAGCGCTACTTGCTCAGGGAGTGTCCATGTGAAAGCTAGTGTGTGGGGGGAGCTAATGAAGGGAACTGTGGCACACACAGTCCAGGTGGGGTGCTCCAGTGGGCAGAGGAAGGTCAGGGATTGTGTTGGGGCATGGAGGTGTGGAAGCGGGGAATGATGCATCAAGCTTGCTTGACTGACAGTCACATTCGCTTGCTCCATACCACCTTCCTTTATTAGGTAAAAATGTGCTTTTTTGGCATGGAGGGAAACAGAAAAAATGAGATGGCTATTTGGGGGTGTCCTATGTTTCCCCACTCTTATGCCCCAGCTTTATCATTTACACTCCCCACCCACCCATTTATCTACTCCCCCCACCTCTGTTAACAGGAGTGGATCACAATGGGCTTTGGTGCTGCAAAGTGACCTCATGTAAGCCTCTGGCATCTCTGCATTTTTGTTCTCGTTTTTATAAAACTTCTATTTTAAATTCAGTGGTGCACGTGCAATGTATTGTATATTTCAAAATAGAAGAGAGGACTTGAAATGTTCCCACATAGAAGTGATAAATACTGAAGATGATGGACACGCAGATACCCTGACTTGATCATGACACATTCTATGCATAATTGATACATAATACTTTTACATATTGATGGGGTACATGTGATACTTTGTACCTCATAAATATGTAAAAGCATTATGTATCGATCAAAAAAGTAAAAAACATAAGAAATTTCTAAAAATACACCATGATTCATGTCATGATCCTTCTATTATTGACTGATAAGATTTTTTTCTAAATTTGTGTTATTATGAATAACATTGTAAGAAACTTTTTGATATGTAATTTCTTGCCTCCAACACTGATTTCTTCTTTGGGAAGGATTTCTAGAAGGGAAATTAGTGGACCGATGATGTAAAGGTATAAAGATGTAAAGGCATTTGATTGCTTTCCCAAGAGGATGAATCTCTACATATCTCCACCCACAGTCTGTGAGATTACCCATGCCAGACAAAGAGAATTACTGCCATCATGAGTATTATAATTCTTTAAAACATTTGCCAATTTGAAAGGAGATGGAATACCTCTCTGTAACATTAATTCCTGATTCTTTGATTACAAACAAGAGCACCTATATTTCTTTTTCTAACCATTGATTTTTTATGAAATGTCATTTGTGTATTGTTTTTATTTATTAAAGAAAAATGTAATATTTTATTAAATAATTTAGGAATTATTTATAAATTTTTATGTTGAGATTTTTAATTTGTTCCTTTATCCCTTTGTTCATTTATGAATAATCAACAGGTGCCTACCATGTGCCAGACACTGCTCTGACTAGACCCTGGGAATACTGCTGTGAATAAAATAAAGTCCCTGTCCTGTAGTGGGGTGGTGGGAAGAGAATGGATAAATGATGATTGGTGCTAAATAGAAAAGTAAATCAAAGAAGGGGCTACTGAGTACTGGGAAATGCAGTTTACAGTCAGATGGTTAGATAACTTCTCACTGAGATGACTTTCTTAAAGAAAGGGAAATCACAGGAAAATTAACAAATAAGCCATGCAGGAATTTGGAGGAAGTGTTCTATGCAGGAGAAACAGCAAGTGCAAAGTCCCAAGGCAGAAACACATCTGGCATGTTAGAGGAGGAAGAAGGAGGATGGTGTATTTGGAGCAGAGTAAGAAGGGAAAAAAGTAGTTGAAGATGAAGTCAGAGAGGTAAATGGAGCCAGAATATGAGGATTCTTTTGAATCACTCTGTAAACTTTGACTTTCTCCTCAGAATGAGCTGAAAGACATTGGAAGTGTATTAGTCAACTATTATTGCCTAATGCTGCATAACAAGCAATCCCAATTTTCAATGGTTTACAAGAACCAACTTTATTTTTCGCTTATGGTTCTGTGGGTCAATTGTGGAGGCTCTGCTTCAAGCTGAAGATTGGGTTCCTGATGGCTTCAACTGCCTCTGCATTCTGAGATGGAAGCTGCCAGAGCATGCTCTGCTAATGGCAGATAGCAGAAAGACAAGAGGGAAAGCCGCCAAACCAGCAAGCACGCTGAAAACCTCTGCTCACATCCGTTGGTCTAAGCAAGTCATTTGACCAAGCCCAATATCCATGGGGCAAAGATGTAATACAATCTTCCACAGAAGGTAGAGGAGTAGAGAGGTGAACTGATTTTTATGTTAAAAAATTACTTCTAGACCCACAAACCATCACTAGTCTAAACCATGTTTAGTCGATAGTCTTTTTCAGATGCAATATCCCACATTCTTAAATATTTTAAAAATTGTTAATGAGGTAGAAATAGCATAAGTCCTATCACAATTAATATCCTCTCCCACTACTCCCTATCTATAAAAGCAGAACCCTGGAAGCAGGAAGAGAGAATCATTGCAAGTACAAGTTTTCACCTAGCAGGAAGTGCTGTGCTGTGGAGATAAATAATGCTTTCCCACTAAAAACCACATTAAAAAATTAGGGATCCCAGCATCCCACTTGGATATTTATGCAGTAGGTTTGCTGATTTGCCCCTTCTGCTAATTTGGGGAGTAGAAAAATATAACAATTGGCATTATGTTTGGCCGAAAGTAACAAAATCTCAACTATAAAGGGCTTAAACAATAAAGTATCCATTCGTCTCAGGCAAAACATATCTAAATAGGCAGTCCAGAGTTCACAATGTCATCCATATCCCAGCCTCTTTCTCTCTTTGTACTCTGCTATCCTTGGCTTGTGGCTTTCATCCTCAGAGTCACAAGACGGACATTACATCCACATTCTAGGCAAGATGAATGGAGAAAGGGCAACAGGCTAAAGGGGGTCTACTGGTTCAGTCTGTGGCCTTTAAAAACATTCCCCAAATCCCTTCCCGATAACCCTTATTAAAGCAAGCGGGAAGGGGTTATGAGTAGCTCTTGGGTAGCCAATCCGAAGTGTTTTCAACAGAACAGAGGATAAGTGGAGAGAGATGATAGAACAGGGAGCCATGCATGAAAGAACCAGCACTCCTACTATTGGGCATGGCAAAGATTATCAAATCTCTAGGGATCGATTGGCACCAGAGCTAGTGATCTGGCTTGAAACTTCCTGTCTAGGGAAGGGCATAGGGCTGGTCTTGCTACCTGTGCCATAGTCAGGAATGATCCAATTTCATTTCCTTTTTTAAACCAATTTAATTTAAAAATATTTTAATGGACTTTAATTTTTAGAGAAGTTTTAGATCCATAGCAGAATTGAGCAGAAAATACAGAGTTCTGTTCTGTTATCCTGACCGCACACCTGCAGAGTCTCCTTCACTATTGACATTCTGCACCAGAGTGGGACATTTGTTACAATTGATGACCCTACATTGACATGTCATTCTCACCCAAAATCCATAGTTTACATTACAGCTCACTCTGGGTGTTACACTGACAAAGACTCCTGATCCTTGACCAAGCTGTTGTTATGCTCCTCTGAGTCCTCTTCTTGACTAGGCCTCGACCTGGGCCTCCGGCCTGTCCTTGCTGGGCTTGCATCACTCAGTAAGTATCTTGTGGCTGGGCGCGGTGGCTCACGCCTGTAATCCCAGCATTTTGGGAGGCCAAGGCAGGAGGATTGCCTGAGCTCAGGAGTTTGCAACCACCCTGGGCCACATGATGAAACCCCGTCTCTACTAAAATACGAAAAAATTAGCCAGGCATGGTGGTGCATACCTGTAATCCCACCTATCTGAAGGCTGAGGAAGGACAGTCGCTTGAACCCGGAAGGCAGAGGTTGCAGTGAGCTGAGATCACACCACTGCACTTCCACCTGGGTGACAGAGGGAGACTCTGTCTAAAAAAAATCTTGCTCGGTCAGTTTAGTGAGAAACGCTACATCTTTGAAATCTGATCACTCTGGATGTATGATCAATTTCTGCTTCCCCCACTCTTGATATCTGGTCACCCTGGCTTGCCTTTAGCAAGAACCCTAAGTTGGTTTAACAAGAATCTCTCTGCTCTTGATTTCTCCTCTTAGGAATTTTCCACCCACTGATTCCCTCATTCTATTCATGGGCTATGAGTCCTCAGCTGTCTTTGTTATATTGGAATTGAGCCTGAATTCTCTAGCCTGTTGTAGTAAGTTTCAACACCCATCGTAATAGTCCTGAATAAAATCTTCATTATTGTTTTAACAAGTGGCAGAATAATTTCTTCTTTAACAATATAATCTATGGGTTTGGACTATATAAAATGTCATATAGTCACCGTTATAGTATCATACAGGGTAGTTTCAACTGCCCTAAAATTCCTCTATGCTCTGCTTATTCATCCCTCCCTCCCCACTAACCTCTGGCAACCACTGACTATAATAAAGACATCCCAGATACTTGCAGATTTCCTGATCTCGGGTGTTCTATGGGAGTTATGGAGGCCTGTGACCACACTTTGTCGTAAGAAGCTCATGGGAGGGTGGAGTTTTCCTTGCCCAAGAGTGATGCTGGCAGTAGAGGGTAATGGTGCCCATGGGAGCTGTGATCTCAGGAAGATTGGGGGCTGCAGAGAAAATGGTGGGAGACCAGGATGGAGAGGACCAGAGTTTCCTGAGCTCTGATGTCATATAGCTGGGAAGCTCAGAGAGCTGGGGGACACTTGGGGTGGGTGAGTGTCTCAGAGCAATATCTAGTAAGAGCTGACCCAGTTTATGAAAAGTTAATCAATTGCACCAAAACCATTTTTTAAGCAATCCTATCTTTCCTTACCATCTTTCAAATTTATTAAATTCTTACATACATCAAGACTTACTTCTAACTTGTCTATTCTCTTCAGTTGAACTGTCAGTTTCAGTGCCAGTCCCATGCTGTTTTACATATTATAACTTTATAATATATTTTAATGCCTGATGAGGCTAATGCTAGTATCTCCTCATTACTTTTATTTTGCCAAAATATTTGTCAGTATACTTACCCATTTATTTTTTTCAGATGAACTTCAGATCTCCTTTGTTACATTTCAAAAGAATATCTCTTGATATCTTAGTTATGATTGGGGAAGAACTGGCATCTTCCTTTGTACAAACCCCTGGACTATATGAATGAAATGAAGATGAGTAATCTGCCAGGAAGATTTGGAGATCAAATCCTAGACTTCTAACTCTTGGAAGTCTATGTGACAAGGAAGGTAAACAAATGGAAAACTTTAGTAGGAATATTTTTCTCCTCACTCTTTTTCTTACATGTCACTGATCTCTAAGACTTCATGACTTGCCTTTTCTTGATGCTTCCCGCACAGCTGTTTTCTTTTTCCTCACCACCAGCCCCCGAGCACGCACAGTGGAGGAATGAGAGAAGCTTACATAAAAATAACTCTTGTTAATTAAAAAATATCACTGAGTTCCATTATGCAAGTGAGGGATGCCACACTTAATTTGTCATGGTTTGCAGCACTAGGTCCCCCAGACTGATACCTTTCTTTGAAAGAAGAAGCTTGTCATCAAGCTGGTGGGTCTCTCAGGTCTGTTGTGGTTGTGATTCCAGATGTCAAGTCTCATCCCATTGTTGGTGGAAGTCTGGGATGCGGCCCTGCCTTCCAGCTGCTCTGGCTGTTGTTCTGTTATGGAAAATGGAAGCTGTGCTCCTGTGTTGGAAGATGGGAATTATCACTGGCGCATCTGTCAGCCTCCAGCTCTTTGATGGGGATTTTGCACCTTTCGCTTTTGCATTGTTTCACATTATGCATTTTGTAGGTCACTCCCCTGCAAGGCAGAGGGAAAAGGCCATTATTGGAGTACTTTTTTTTTTTTTTTTTAAGATTTACACTTTTTGCTTTTATTACAAAGTATTGTGAAATTTTCTGCTCCAACAGTCGTGAGAGTAGGAAATTTAAGTCTATCACTTCAGTAATATTTTGGCTCTTAGTTTAGGGTTCATCCTTTCCCTAGGGACTGCACTGAGATAAGTTAGATTGAGTGAAAGGTAAAGACTAACACTTTGAACTGATGTCATTTCCATTGTGAAGAACTAACTGCTAAGAGCAAGTTAACAGGCAGCAGTTTTGAGAGACAGAAAAGTCATCCAGACAGGAAGATTGGGAACTTCCTCAATGAGTTTGTCTTCCTCATTTATTACACTCAGTTTGTCAACAATCTTGTTAATTATACGTTTTAAAGGCAATTTTTTCACAAGCTCTAGGACACATTCAAAATATTACATACAAGTGTATGTTATAAATAATCCTCAAGTAAACATACATGTAACTACCACCATCTGGACATTTCACATCAAGTTATAAAACGCTTTCATCATCTGGACGACTTCTTGCTTCCCCTCCCGCCCCCCTCTCTCGGCTGTTTCCCCTCCTCCAGCCCCTAAGGACTGGTGTCTTTTATTTCCCCAGACTTACTCAAAGCCTTGACTTGGTTTTATGCTTTGCTCTTTATTGCACAGATCTGAACAAGGACGGCAGCTGGGGTGACATTTCATTTATCCAGAGATGCAAGGGTGCTGAAGCTTGACATCCTTATTTGCCATCATGAAAAGCATTTGAAAGGGGGAAAGAAGAAAATTGATTGCAGAAAACCTTAGATTGATGAGCATGAGTAAGGGCTGCAGGGGGCACTGGAAAATTCAGGTGCTGTCTCTTTTCTATGAATTCTGTCTTTCCTCCCTGATCTCGAAGACTCTTCAGTAAATAGAACACATCCACTTTACATACTAAGTGACAGAAAAACAATTTTCCATGACATGAGGACCTCCAGTCTATATTTTATTTCTTGTGGTAAAATATACATAACATTTACCATTTTAAACACTTTTAAGTGTACAATTCAATGACATTGAGTACATTTACATTTTTGTGCAAACGTCATAGTCATCTATCTCCAGAACTTTTAATCATCCCAAACAGAAACTCTGCACCTATTGAACATTAACCCCCATTCCTTCCTCCCTCCAGCCCCTGGTAATCTCTATTCGACCCTCTGTCTATATGGATTCGCCCGTTCTAGGTACCTCATGTAAGTAGATTCATATAATATTTGTCCTTTTATATCTGGCTTATTTCACTTAGCATAATGTTTGTGGTTCATTCATGTAGTAGCATGTGTCAGAACTTTATTCCTTTTTAGGCTTGAATAATATTCCATTCTATGTATATACCATATTCTGTTTATTCAGTCATCTGTTGGTGGACATCTGAGTTGTTTCCACATTTTGGCTATGGTGAATAATACTGCTGTGAATATTGGCGTCTGTTTGATTCTCTCTCTTCATTTCTTTTGGATATATACCTACGAGTGAAACTGCTGGATCATATAGTAATTCTGTTTAATTTTTTGGGGAACTACCAAAGTGTTTTCACAGTGACTGCACCATTTTACCTTCCCATCAGAAATGTACAAAGCTTCCAATGTCTTTACATCCTTACCAATATGTTTTTTTTTTAAATTTTTTGTTTTTTGGTAATGGCAATCCTATAAGTGTGAAATCGTATCTTGTTGTGGTTTTGATTTGCATGTCCCTAGTGGCTAGTGACATTGCACATCTTTTGGTACTTATTAGCCATTTGTATATCTTCTTTGGAGGAATATCTATTCAGAGCCTTTGACCAGGTTTGAACTGGGCTGCTCATTTGTTTTAATTATAGGACCTCTTTATATATTCTAGATATTAATTCCTTACCAGATAAAGTTATTTGCAAATACTTTCTCCCATTCTTTGGGTTGCCTTTTCACTCTCTTGCAAGGGTCCTTTAGGGCACAAAGTCTTCAATTTCAGTGAAGTTCAGTTTATCTATTTTTTCTTTTGTTGCTTGTGCTTTTGGTGTCATATCCAAGAAATCATTGACAAATGCAATGTTATAAAGCTCTTGCCCTATGTTTTCTTCTAGGAGCTTTATAGTTTTATGTCTTTATTCCATTTGAATTGATTTGTACATATAGTATAAGGTAAGGTAAGATAAGGTAAGGACCCAGTTGGTTCTTTAGCAGGTAGATATCCAGTTTTCTCAGCACCATTCATTGAAGATGCTGTCCATTCCCCATTGATGGTCTTGGCACCATTACTGAAAATCAATCAACATTATACGTAAGGATTTTCATTCTACTGACCACAAGCTGGTTCAGAGAAATTGGTCTCAGATAGTGCTAAAAAAAAGTTATTACTGAACCACAGCAACAAGTACATTTTCTTGGGTAAATACTATTGTTTTTCAGTCTACATAATACTTTGAATTAGAATATCTTGAACATGCTTTTATCCATTTGTTATTGATGTCTACTTGTTTATGATGCTATCATTTTTCTAAATATGACAGTCTCAATCGTTTCTCGTCCTGCAAGGTGAACAGTGATTTCTTCACTAAATAGTCCTGAAATTCTCAGAGGATCACTTAGAGGGGGATACGGTTTTTGGAATGCTGTGACCTTGGTCTGTGGAGAAGGAGGCGCCTAGGAGTTGGCACCAAATGACTGCTGGAAGTGTAATTTACATGATATTGGCATTATTGTGACTCTATATGCCTTTTTTCCTTGAGACATCTTTCGGGCATTTGAAAGCCCATGTTTACTGCATCCTAATGTTTTCAGATTGTTTTCTTAAATGCTGTCCTATATGGTTCTCATGACCTCTCTGTGAAGTAACCCAGTTAGATATATATTTTATTAGTTAAAGACCTGAGACTCACAGAAGTTGAGTGGCCATGTCCAAAGCTCATAGCCAGGAAGTGGAGGACCTGGGACACGCGTCCTGGCTCCTGACCCTGAGGCTCTCCTTTTACAGTGCACACCAGAATACAGCACCTGCTATTCTGACTTACATCATTTCTAGAAATGGGTTATTGGCAGATGAGACACCGTCTTCTCCCTCCTCATCATGGAAGGCTGAGTATTAGGCAGAATGATAAAGGTGAACTCTACAGAGACTAAGTGCAATTTTTCTTGGTACATTCCCATTGTAAGTAGCAGATTAAGAACTACCAGAAAAAAATATAGCCATGGAGAAGGAAAAGCTTTGCTCTGAAAGACCTTCTCCCCACAGTGAGAATTCTGGTTTCACATGGAAATGGCAGGCAGTAGGATGGCCATTCTCATAAATCATGTCATGTGGTGAAGGCAGAGGCCTCCTTATTTAGAACAATGTTTTAATTTCCCAGATGAACACACCAAGGACCAGGGAAGGAAGTGATTTCCTCATGGTCAAGCTGCTGAATAAAGACAGATCAGGCTCTGGCACCCTACCCTCCTACTTTCAGCTAACAAACCTTGCTAGGGAGCATTCCTATTTCACAGCTACCTTCTCTAGCATCCTCATTTTTGCACATGTGCTGTCATTTTTTTAGATATCAGGATGAATCCTCAATCATCTTGAATAAAAAATACGAACATAGACTTGTTCACCAAATTGTCCTGAAATTCTTTTCATAAAAGGAAACAATTTGAATCTTGGATGGAGTAAACTGAGTGCAAAAAGAAGGAAAAACTGCTTCAGACAACAGGTCACTGTATTAGGCCATTCCTGCATCGCTGTAAAGAAACACCTGAGACTGGGTCATTTATTAAAAAAGAAGAGGTTTAATTGGCTCACGGTTCTGCAGGCTTTATTGGAAGTATGATGCCAGCATCTGTTCAGCTTCTAGTGAAGCCTCAGGGAGTTTTTAATCATGGTGGAAGGCAAAACAGGAATAGGCACATCACATAACAAAAGCAAGAACCAGCGAGAGAGAGTTGGGAGGGAGGTATCCCACATCTTTAAACAACCAGTTCTCGCAATAACCCACTAACAGAAAGACAGCACCAAGCCATGAGGGATCTGTGCCTATGATCCGAACACCTCCCACCAAGCCCCACCTCCAGCACTGGGGATTATGATTCAACATGAGATTTGGCAGGGACAAATATCTAAACTATATCAGTCATTTAATATGCTATATATATATATGAATATTAAAACAGGAAGAAATCTAAGAAAACATAATTTATTGATTGCCTAATTGATACAATTACAATGAATGATAATTCATTGGACACATTTTTATTGCATATTAGTATGTGCTAGGCACAGTGATTAGTACTATGAATATAATGGTGAGCAAAAATGAGCATGGTCCCATCTTCATGAAGCATATAGTCTGGTGGCAAAGATAGGCATCAAACAGATAAACATATAAATACATGTAACATTAATGCTTTAATATGTTTTATGATGAAGAAGTATGTGGTGCTGTGAGGGAATTTAACAGAAGAGAGATCCCTGGATTTGTAATTCAGTCTTTCCTGTAGTTGGATGGAACTTGGAATAGCCAAGGAGTTGAAAGAAGACCAGTGCAGTTGGAATTCAGAGAACAGTAGGAGCATGACGTGAATAGAGGATGTAGGATGGGTAGGAGCTGCAGGGCGCAGGATATCTTATGGAGGATAAGGATTTGATCTTTCTCCAAAGAGCACTGAGAAACCATTAAATGACTTGGATGGGGCACAGAGAAGATGTGGTGGGAGCAGTTATCATATTAATCCTTTGAAAATATATATATTTTTTGACTGCAGGATAATAGGCTGGAAGATGGCAAGAACAGGTGCAGGGAGATCTGTTAAGTGCTTGTTGAAGTAGCCTACGCAGGACACAATGGTGGTTTGACTTTGTGATATGGGAATAGGGAAGAAGAGAAATGGATATATTTGAGAGGTATTTAGAGGTTAAGTGGACTGGATTCGGTAATGCATAAAATCTGGAGAGGGAGGGAGAGGAAAGCACCAAGAATGACTCCAGGTCTCTTAAATTGCACTACTGAATTGACGGCAGTGCCATTCATTGGGATAGACATTGGAAGGGGAGTGGCTCTAATGCAGGGAGAGAATGCTTGGGCTTAGACTGCAAGGTAAATTTGAGGCATCTGTAAGTAGAAATGGAGATACAGTACAGGACCGGAACTCAGAAGATGGTGTTAGCTGGAGATATAAATTTGGGATTTATGAATGACTGGCTATTGAAGCCATAAACATGGACAAGATGGACAGAAAGTACAGAGAGAGAAGATAAGAGGGCCCAGTGTGGAGTCTTTGGTATTATAAGTCTTGATGGCCTAAACTGAGAGGATGAGTAGGTGAAGGACACAGAGAAGGCGCAGCCAGAGAGTAGAAACCATGAGGTGTGATGTGATGGTGACCAAGGGAAAAAGATTGTGTTGAAGAAGAAAGCAGTGGTCTTCTAAGTCAAATCCTGCTTAGAGATTCTGTAAGGTGAGGACTAGAAAAGATACATTGGACTTAATGGTGTGAAGATCATTGAAGAGGCTTAGCTACATCAGTGGATAGCTGTGAGGGGAAGTCTATTGGGAGTGAGATGAAGAATGAACAGGAGGAAAGCAAATGGAACTAAAGTGGTACTTATGGTCTTCCTTTGTGCATCTGCTCATGAAATGTGCCCCAGGCTGGGTGCAAGAACAGGTCCCAGAAAAACCTGTGATTTGCAGTATGACCACTGCTAAATCACCTAACCCTTCCCTGCCTCAGTTTCCTTAATCAATTCTATGGACTATAACCCGGGCTCATGAGGGATAGAAGAGCTTTGGAAATCCAAGCTTAAATTATTCCTTAAATTCACTAAGCGCCAAATGGCAATTATTTTAAAAACTATTTTCCTGTTAAAGATGTGTCCTCCCTCACACCTCAAGAAGATTTTTGGTTTATTTTTGTTTGTATTAGAAGGGATATTCCCCTTTTCCAAATCTGGTCAACAATAGAAAGTCCTTATCTATGTTCTCTTGTGATCTTGGTTTAGGAGATAATATCAAATCTCCCATGTATGTATTGGCTAGTAACGTATTTATTTACCCTTAAGACCTATATTGTTTTTATAATCCTAAGGCTGATGTGAAAGAGGAGAAAAACCTGTTTTTTGTTTGTTTTCTAAATGATCACTAGGTACACTAGAGAGGATTATCCTTCAACAAATATGCCACAGAGTTGAAGGAGGTGATCAGGAATCCCTTAGAGTCTTAGAAGCTCTCACAATGTGACTGATTCCATATGTTTAATGGTAAATATGATAAGCCCTTTAGATTTCTCTGTTAACTTAATTTCCCAGACTGCCACAATGGTGAGTAATTGAATATTAACAGATGAAAATGGAAGCTGTGGACACATGTCAGTTGTCTCATACCAATGGCTCCCTAACGTGAAAAGCCCTGCTGATACCCAAAACCTTACTATGGCCTTTCTTGAAGGAGCAGGTCTGTTGGAAAATAAAGTTATCGTTGGCTAGATAATTGCTATTTGTTTTTTGTTCTCTTGAAGATATTTATAGGGCCCAAATCAGTGGTATGGTAGACTGAGAGTCCTGTGAGAAGTACAGTCAGGGGATATGAGTGAAGATTTGTTGTCTTAGAGCAATGGCTGGAGATTGGGCCAGGCCTGGACCCTTAAAATCTGCTCTATCCTCCGTATTCTTTTTTTGCTGTTTATGTGTTTGGGAGTAAAGGACTCCAGGGTCTTAAGATATAACAGAGTGATAAGATGGAATCAGCCTGGATCCCTGAGTCAACACTTGGTGGTGAGCCTCCAGGAGGAACTTTCCCATTAGACTGCTGCCTGAGCAAGAAATAGACCTTTGTGGTGTCAAGCCATGAAAATTTTTGAGTTGTTTGACATAGCAGTTGGTTTACCCTGAGTAACACATCACAGATCTATAATGCAATGTGAGCTGTGCTATAAGCGAAGCTTATATAAAGTGTTATAAGAAGAGACAAAGGCCTGAGAAGGATAGAAAGATGAGATGATATTTAAGCTTGATAAACAGAGAAGAGTTTGCCAAATGAGACAGGTGTGGAGACAATTTAAACAAGTGGTCTAGTGTGGGCAAAGCCCATGGTGCATGGAAATATATTCTGAGTAAGAGTGAGTGACAAAGTTCCTTTATGGGACCTTTGTAGGGGGCAATTGGAGAAGATGCTGAGGCCAGAGCAAGCACTGAGGGCTATATCTCTTCAGTTTTATCCAGAAGACAGTAAGGAACTGTCAGTATTTCCAAGAGAAAAGCATATGTTAGAAGGATCCTCTGGCATCTGTGTGGGGTATGGATGAAGAAGGTTGCACGTGGAGGCTGGAAGTACATTTAGAAAGTTGTTTCAGACCTGTGATCCCAGCACTTTGGGAGGCCGAGGTGGGCAGATCACTTGAGGTGAGGAGTTTGAGGCCAGCCTGGCCAATATGGTGAAACCCTGCCTCTACTAAAAATACAACAGTTAATTGGCTGTGGTGGCAGGTGCCTGTAATCCCAGCTACTTGGGAGGCTGAGGCAGGAGAGTCGCTTGAATCCAGGGGGTGGAGGTTGCAGTGAGCTGAGATCACACCACTGCACTCTAGCCTGGGCGACAGAGTGAGAGAGAAAAACAAAAGAAAGTTGCTTCAGAAATCTAGCAGGAACTTACAAGAAAATATACATGCAGCACACAAAACACAGGGCCGAACACTAAGAAATATTAGGGCCATTTTGTTTCTTTTCCCTGAATGAGGGAAATGACTGTGGGAATAAAGAGAAAGTGAGTGGATAAAAGAGGCTTTTGGAAGCTATAAATCCTTGATGAACAAGTATTGAATAAATGATGCAGTATCTTTTGGGGATGCTGAGTGGTCTGACTGTTAAGCACCCCATGGTGGGGATGAGGGTTACTAAATAACTGTGTCCCATGTCCTCTCCTCTCACTAGAAGCTCTTAAAAATCCAGACATCCAACAAGAGACCAATAGGATACACTGATGTTTTATGAATGGGGCCAGGACCAGCCTGAGTGTGGAGCCTCGTGGGCTGAGTTTCCCCGGGATTCAGAGCCCTGAGGTTGAGTTTTCTACTGGTCAGCTGGATCAGGTAATCAGTACCTGTGGGTTGGTGGCGGCAGGGAGTTGGGGTCATGCGAGAGGGATTGCGTCTCTGGAAGCCTTTTGTGCTGTCCCATGAAGGGCCCCTTTAGGGAGGGTGGGTGATATGGACAACATGAATGAGGGACAGAGGGCCATATATTCTCAGTTATGCACAAGGCAGCCAGCTCAGCTGCAGGAGGAGATTGCCCACTTGTTCATCATATCCAGATTCTTGCCGTTAGGTCTCCCCTCCTACATGAGGCGTGGATTGGTGGTGAAGTAGGTTGGTGGTGAGCACTAAACGGGAAAGAGTAAAGGTATAGTTGCCTAAAGTACGGACCGTTTCAGGCAATTATAGGAGAGTGGACAGTAATGATGAAATTGATGGAAATTTGGTGCAAGGGGGGAAGAGGGATCCTCTGACAGAGACCCTGCCATCATCAGTCTAGGCAGGGAAGGGACACTGAGATGTCAAGATGTCATCACATCTATTCCTGGAAATGCAGGGCTGCACTTCCAGCCATACCCGGGGGAAGCTGTCTGCTCTTTCTGAAAATATCTTGAGATTTCGTTAACACATTGTCCCTTTTAATATACACCACTGTCTTACCACCCTAGGGAACTTTTTTTCTCTCTCTCTCTCTCTTTTTTCTTTCTTTCTTTTTCTTTTTCTGTGTGTGTGTGTGTCTAATCTAATTCCTTACAGCTGCAATATATTCTGTTTTTCCTTGCAGTTCAGCTGCTATAAAGAGACAGTGCCCGGCCACCCATACAGCATTCCATTGTGGCAGACAATGGACTGGTGAAATGCAACGTAGACAGTCTGAGGACCCTGTGCAATGGAAACTCCAATTGAAATTGTACATAGTCACTAACATTCTACCTATTCAAGGGGGCTGAAGACAGAGTCTAAGAAAAAGCTCTGAAGCCAGAGCACTGTTGCAGCCTCGGCCTCATTTTCCAACAGGTACACTAGAGTTATAAATACACGCATGGGCCACAGGGATGGCAGAGGTAGACAGGAGCTGCGTGGGTGTGGGCCAGCTCCCGGGCTCATCTTTGGCACTATGGAGTGCTGGCATGTTGTACTTGTTCCGTGAGAATCTGGGTCCACACTTCTATTCTGCATCCCTGGTTTCTCAAAGGGACAGTGACCTCTACCAAGAAAACAGCTAGTGGGGCTGTTTACATGGAACAATGAGGCTTGGTGTTGGTCTGGATCTGGTTAACTGGGGGAAAGGAAGGGAGTCGCTATGACTTTATCCCACTTTGCTTTGCAGAAGTCTTTCATATAATCAGAGGGCTAGAAAAGAAACAGAAATACATATGCCGGCTGCTACATTTTACAGAAGAGGAAATGGAGGCACCCAGAGATAAAGCCACTTATACAAAATCATGGTGAGATAAGGGTTCTCAGAGATTGGTTGTGTGTAAGAGAAACCCAGTTGAACAAGGTGAGGGTCAAGGTAAGCCCAAGACCTCGGGGCAAGAAGTGCCAAAAGGAATGGAACCAGGAGCTTAAAACCTTTGGAAACTAAGGTTTCTTATTCTCCTTCTCTCTCTTTTCCATATGGTCTCTCGTATTTGTTTCTCTGCTCATCTCTTTACATCTCGTTTTTCTCAATAGCCCAACCTCTTCATGAGCCAAATCTGTTCCCCGTGTTCTCTCCCAGATGATGCCCCAGCAGAGATGAATGGTGGCCCTAGGCTGGAGCACCCCTGACCACGTTCCAGTGACAGCTTTGGGGAAGTGTAGATCTGACTGGCCCATCCTGGTTCAGGGCTTCCTCTCCACCTCTGCTTCCCAAACCCCTCACCCTCTCACAGGGACTACAGAGCAGGGGTTCTGAAAAGAACAGGGAAATTGGCTACCCTGTCTACTAAGTGATAGAACTATAACGAGCTCTTGGACTCCTTTTCCTGTGCTTTTCCATTACACTGGGCTGTGTCCACATGAACACTCAGAAGTCAAGTACAAGTTGAAATGGGAATTTGGAATGGGGTTTAGGACGAGAGAGAATTATCTGTTTCTTAGATCTAAAACCTCATGCTTTGTTCTGGGCCTTCCATCTGCCTCTGTTTTGTTTTGTTTCTCAGACTCTTTAGATGGATGAGGGTGGCCTGTTTATTGACTTCACCTGAGCTTCCAATGGCTAGCTTGGCATTATTCTAGAAACCTGGCTTCACTAAAATAAATAATAATGAAAAGAGTTTTTCGGCAATTCAGCAATCTTCTCAAATCGACTGTAGAATTTAGAGCTGAAATTGAAAAGACACATTTGGTCGGACCTTCCCCACCTTCATTTTACAGATGGGGAAACTGAGACTCTGCGAGATCAAAAGGACTAACGCAAGTGATCCTAAAATCTAGTGGCAGACATGAGGCTAATGAAGACTCTGTTCCTGATCTGCTGCTGCCTGAAACAGCTGCTTACAACAGCTCCTTCCTCGGGCCTGGAAACCAGATGTGAGGACATTTGGGAAATGATAATCCACTTGAAAAGCTGACCAGTGGCCAGGCCTTCTTTGCATGTTTCTGAAGAGCCCAGATAGTCATTGCCTTCCTCAAGGACAGACAACATAGTCTGCCTAGCCCACCGAGCTGCCAGGAGAAGCCAAGTGTCAGAGGCTTTAGTCCCTGGCGTGGCTCCTCCACTCCAGAGAGGAGCTGAAGGCAATTCTCTCGGTGCCCCGTAGCAGCAGAGAAATCTTTCTCCAGCCCTCGTGTACATCCTTGGGACAGAAACACACAGCCATTCTCCCTGCTCACAGCCAGGCCCCGTCAGCATAGAGAAGCACTTAGGGTTCCTTTGTGGGGTGCAAATCCAAACATGCAGTGATTTAATTTTTCTAACAACAGCATTTCTAGTCTTCCCACAGCACTAATCAGTTGCCACTAGAGCATCTCTTGCTTCCAAACATTTCCCTTTTTTTTTGCTTCTGGGAAAGCCCACAGTTCAGGACCCTTATCCACTTGGATGGCAATTCCATTCTTTGGCTTCTCTGGGGTAGATCAGACTTAAAAAAAAAACGAAAGCAAAAAAATCAAGCTTCCTTACCTATACCTATCTCTTCACAAATTCCTGTATCATGTTTGATTTATTTATCAGCCATGAGTGGATCCCACACTGCAGGACCCTAGGCAGTAATGGATCACCAGAGGGAAGAGATACCCTTTGCAGGCCACTCCTGACTTTTCTCTGCAGCTAGTGGCCTTGGGTCAGAGTCATTTTCCTCTCAGCAGGGCAGGTATCTCACTTGTAAAAGCTGAAGAATAGAAATGTTGGGGCCATAGTGATAGTCATCAGTTGGTCTACTGTGCAGTTTCAGGGTGAGGGTGGCAGCCACATTAACTACGAAGTCAGTGGCCTCTGGAACTGTGTAATACACACCTGCACACCCATGCAAAATGGCCCACTTGGTACCAGAACTCTAAATGCGAAGTTTTCCCAAGAGTTTGCACTGTGGCCAAGGAAACCCAGGATCCTGACTGGCCTGGCTTTTGGAATAATCGTCAAGAACCAGGGCTATGGGTCAGAGACTTTGAGTTTGAATTGCAGCTCTGCCACTTCCCAGCAGTGAGGCCGTGAACAAGTTAAATTTAGTAAGTGCTCAATAAATCTTTGCTAATTCATCATTATTATTCCTACTGCTACAGTGATCCTGTCTTAACCAGAGGCTGGCCCACCTGTGTGGCTCTGGTTCTCCCTCTGGCTGAATTGCACACTTCTGCACTTGGTCTTAGCCAAGAGGCCAAGAAGCAACTACCATTGCACACTTCTGGCCCTGAGGTGCATCTCTAGGTTTTAGGGCCCTTTCCAACTCACCTTGTCCTTGGTTATCTGACACAGGAAATCTGAATTCCTCCTCCTAAGCCTCATCACCCACCTTTTCCATAGCTGCCTAATGTCTTTTCATGGAAAAGTGTTTTGGCAGCAATTTGAATGATGAACTAGCCATTGAGTATTCACGAATAAATGAAGCAAATCCAAAATATCTTGCAATGAACACATTCATTGCAGCAATTGACCAAGCTGTCTGAGTCTTAAAATGAATCCAAGGTCTCCTGGAGATATTTTTTGCTTGTCTTTTGGTGAGATTTGCAGACAGAGCCTACTCCAAATATTTCTGAGTCTGTTGTTTAGTGCTATTTTGAGTGCTTTCACATGTGGAATTTATTCCTATACTTAGCTCTTACCCAGCACCCTGGGGTACTTGAAAATGTTTTCAATTGACCAACTGTAGTGTATTAACAAAACCTTGCATGTGCTTTGCAAAGCACTTAAATCCAGCTGACTTCCTATCTCAGCCTCCTTTTCCGGCATAATCTCCAGCCCAAGCTGTGCTGACCACACCTTTTGCAAAACTTTGACCAAAGAATGTGCCCAGCTGAGGATTGCCAGATCCCACAGACAGCATCAGGTCCCTATTATTGAGTGAGCCACAGAAATAAAATGCCATTGATGCCAGAAAGTGGGCTCTCAGAAAAATTTCAATTGGAGAAATACAACAGAAACATACACAATTAGGAGCATTGCCCAGTGTCTGGGCAATGTAGAATTTTTTACCCAAAGCTCTGTCCTTCTGTGTAGATAAAGGATATCGCTTGTCAAACAACACAGTGGCAATGTTCTGACTTTCTTATGCTTAAGCATGAACAAAAAACCTGGAGCTCATACCTCCACTCACCTTTCTTTTCTAATTGATCAAACTAAGCATTCTGACTCAGCGTTGTCCCGTGTCTAGGAAAAGAGAAACAGTTACCCACCCGGGAAACAGCGAAAGAGTGGTGCCTTGTAGTAAGGCTCTTTATATAACAAGAACGCAATCTGAAACTCCTAAGCCCTAGAAGATTTAGCCCAAATTAAGGACCTTGTTAGCAGCTGATTCCCAAGCCCTTCCTCTCCTTTCATTTCTTTTGTCGACTTGCAGCAAGCCACACAAAAGGAATCTCTTTCTTCTTCTGCCCACAGATTCCTTTCTCAAAAGCCATTCTAAGAAATAATCCAATTCTGTCTCAAATATAAGGGCTTTCATTCTCAGTCCATTATACTGTTTATCTTGGGAATTTCTTTCCAGTTTTAGGTTTTTGTTTTTTTTTTTCTACCCAAAGTTAAGCACATGGCTTGCACTGTGAGGAAGATTGTACTAGTGGTAGGAAATAGACCACCATCTTGGTATTGTGATCAAGCCACATGGGTTCTGGGCCCCGCGCTTTGTAAGCATACTTGGCAGAGGAAAATATATTTGTACTAAGAGGCAAATTATCCACAGTCAAAATGACTAATCATTGTTTAACTTAAATGTGAAAGATAATGGAGAGAGGAATGTAGCATTTGTAAGGAACTGAAAGACTGAATAATGTATTAGCAGGTGAGGTGTGGGCCTGTGAGTATGGACATATACCCATGGTATGTTTGTGTGTGGGGTTTATGTAAAACATAGAAAGACATATCTACTTCTGCAAAAATAAATCAAGAAAATATGCTATCTACTGCTACACTAGCATCACTACAGCACCACTATTAGCTGCTTTAACAAACAACCCAGGCAAGCTCAGTTTTTCTTAATTCCTTTAAAAATGTTTTATATATTTGAAATATCATATAATGGTATTTTGCTGACAAATCATAGAATCAAATGGCAAAATTTTTAAACACAGATAAAAAATTAAAACCATGGTGCAACACATAACACTATAAAATCTCTACTTCTGACTACTTCACAATTTAAAGTGGTGGTTTGTTATGCGAATAAAACCTATTTTGAATTTGCCCTATGAAAAATGACACAGAGATCAATAGTAAACTTTTTGGTGCTTCAAATGGGCTCAAATACATCTTGTTAGAATGGAGAATATCTTAGCATGGCTGATAACACAAAGGCAAATGATCCAGTAGTGTAGAGAAGGAAAATTGAAAGAGATTTTAAATTTGCTCATTCTGGTCTAGGGGAGGAATATTTGCCTGCTAATTTGCTCAAGGGCTGACATTCATGGAGCAAATTTTTCATCTTCGTGTTTCCATCTTAGGGAATTATTCTGGAGACTTCATATGCCTCCACCTCCACATCGAATTGGCCATCATATCCTGCAGAATTCACCTCTGAGGAGCTCTGGGACTCTCTCCTTTCCCCTTTGACTGCCATTGCCTTAAAACCAGCCTGTGGCATCTGCTTCTTAGGTTGCTATATTCTGTGCCTCTAACATCGTTCTCAACCCATTCTCCCTGCTCCAGCCAAAGAGAGCCTTCTGGAATAGAGAGCTACATGCCTTTTAACTGTTTAAAAACGCTCGGTGGGTTCTGGTTCTGGTCAAAATGCATGAAGCACATACCACTTTGTCTCTCCCACTGAATGCAGTGAAAATCCCTGGAGAAAATGCAGGGAGCAGCTACCGGCAGACACAGAAAAGTAAAACAATAACAGACAGATTGGGGAAGAACTCCAAGTACTGCAGAATGGGTAGCAGATGTAGTTGCAGGAAGAGCACAACAGAACAGAGAAATTAAAGCCCTGTATTTCTAGCCTGTGTACCCGGAAGGGGACCACCTACAAGCTGCAAAGTGTTAGGGAGATGCCAGAGAAGAGGGAGCTCAAGGAAGGGATCCTAGAAAGATGTAGATGAACTCCTGGGCTGCACATACCCCTGACTACTTAGTAAAAATCTCTGCTAAGGTGCCGGAACACCTGTGCACGTGGCTCCCACCTCAGGGGCGGCCTGCAAATGATTAGGCAGTTTCCAGAGCCCTTGGCATTGGTGCCAGATGAACCAGGGTTCAAATCTCTGTTCTGTGGGTCATCCTCCTCACCAGCTGTGTAAACCAGACAGCCAACACCCTCATCACCCTCTCTAGGCACAAAAAGAATTAACAAGAATTTGGGGGCTGAGTGAGTAGTGACAGAAGAGATTAGAAAAGTGTTCTACGAAAGGTGCCTGCTTTGGTTGGGATATGGTTTGTTTCCCCCACCAAATCTCATGTTGCGTTTGATCCCTAGTGTGGCTGTGTTGGAAGGTGGGACCTAATGGGAGATGTTTGGATCATGGGGGTGGATCCCTCATGGGTGAGTTGATGTCCTCCATTGGGAGTGAGTGGGTTCCAGGGGTTTGTAGAGGAAGTGGCTGGCACATTCCCTGGGGCTGGAGGACAAAGGAAGGGAGCAGAGGGAGGCTGAGACCCTGGCTTGCCCACAGGCCACCTACATGTTCAGGACACAACTGGGCTGGCTGGGAATGGGGATGAATGACCCGTGATGGCGGCAGCAGTACTCTACGGGTTCTTCCTGCACATGCACTCTGATCAGGGACACATGATGGCAGAACATACAGAGGGCCATATGGAGTTTTGTGTTCTCTTTCCAATTTCTGCATGTATCCTCAGTCTTAACAGTAGAGTCTCTGTTTCCTTAGCTGACATTCTAACTGCCCCCTAGACAGCCCCACCTGAGTCATCCTTCACATCTGTGCACCCAACAACCCATCTTCCCCTTTTTCCAAAGAGGCCCATTAAAGGTTAGTGAAAGTCCAAGAGCAGCATTTCTTCCCATGTAGTGTGGCAGGAAATTCTTCTTTACATTCATGCACTCTTTTTCTCTCTCTCCTGTGAAACTTCATAAAAGTCTACCCCTCTGGCCCCTCATTTTCCTTCCCCTTTGACTTTCCCATCTTGAGTGTCTCTGCCAGTGCCATCTGGCTGCCTCAGGTTCTGTTGTCCTTTTTGTTCACTCTGGACCCTGCTCTCCTGTTCACCTCATTTCAACATGTGCTTCTAATTTTTTAATCATTCTTAGGTTGATGATCGTGCCATGTATCCCCTGAATGAAGATGACAGCATTGATGAGCACAGCTTATTGTTGAAGTCAACACATGTCTATTTTTAATGATAGAAACTAATGAATTTGCAGAATTGTGTTTTTGGTGCACAGGACGTTTCATTATAAGTGGCTCAGAAATAGTGAATAAGTTTCAGTTTCATAGTCAGCTGTATACTTGCGGCGTCAGTAGGTCCTGGTGGTTGGAAGGACATAGAATGTGGAAGATGAAGTCATGTTTCTTCTCCCATTGGAAGGGACTCACCTCTGCTCTCATTTTCACTTGCTTCCTGCCCACAGCTCTGGCCCCAGCCCTCTGATCTGACTTAGGAATGGTTTCTTCAAGTTCCCTTTATGCCAAGCTAATCCCAGGGCCCTCGGGCACTGATCCCACACAGTCCCAATGCCAGGAGAGCAAAAATCTCTGCCAAGATACTGGAACACCTGTGCACATGGCCCCCACCTCAGGGGCATCCTGCGAACGAATAAGCAGCTTCCAGAGCCCCTGGCATTGGTGTCAGATGAACCAGAGTTCAAATCTCTGTTCTGTGGCTCAACCTCCTCAGCAACTGTGTAACCCGGAGAGCCATCATCCTCATCACACTCTCTGGGCTCAGTTTCTTCATCTGTTAAATGGGGATAATCTAGGCTCAGTTTCTTCATCTGTTGAATGGGGCTAATCTGCCCAAACCATCCACCACAGAGCTTTGTGCATTACCGATGGATAAGAAAGGTTTTTAAATTTTTTGTCTATGCTTCCAGCTGTAACCGTGGCCCCTCCTCCTGCCCAGCTAACCCAATCCTGACAGTGCAGCCTGAGCCACTCACATTCCTTTCCCTCTCCTCTCGGGCGGGAGTGGGTTGGCAGTTAAGACTGTACAGTTCATTAGCGGGCAATTGGACAGGTGACCCTGCCTGCTGGCAAAATAAACAGCTCAAGAGAAAGCAAATGTCTGGGCTTAGCACCAGGGTGAGGCAGCTGAGTGGGACCTGTGGGCATTGGGGGAGGGAGGGGATCTTCAGTTTCAATATAACAAAAAACCAGGGGGTGCAGTTAACATCACCACCATCTGGCAGCTTCCTGAACACTGAGACCAAGGGAAGTTTCATGGGGATGAGGCCAGACCAGAAGGTATTTCTCAACCTTCTAGATAGTGCACGGTTTGGTTGGGGAGGGAACTTTAGAGATCAAGTGTAGATAGGTAGATGGTGGCATAAAAAGTGAGCAGAGATCACAGAAAACGAATTTAAGAGACGGATGTTGCAGGACCTTCTTTGTGGCTTTTTGACTGCCCACTCACTCTCCTTCCTCTCAAGCAACAGTCACTGAACTCCACCCCCTGAAACTCCTGAAGGCCCAGGGGTGATGTGAGGAGTGAGCCAGGGTGCAGCTCTACCCACTGTGATATGGGTGGGCTGGGTTCAGCTGGGAGCCCCTCTCCTCTAGTGCTGAGACCCTGGCTCCCACTCCCTCTCTCTGCCCCGGATCCCATCTTCCCGGGGCCACATGGCTGGCCCCATGTATCTGACCACCTGCCCTGCGGCTGCCCGCCGTGGAGAGGCCCACAGAAGCCTCTCTTCCATTTCGCAAGACAAACAGAGGAACAGATGGACGGGGCTGGCTGAGTGCCCAGAGCACAGCTGTCCCAGCTGCCTGCTCTCGTGCACTTTGCACCACCTGACATTGGCCTCTGTGAGCATTCGGCGGGGTGGGTGGTGGGGGGCTGGCCGGAGGACCCTGCAGTAACAGTAATCAGACTTCACGTCTCGTCAACTGTCTCTCCTCTTTTCAGTTGAAGAAATGGACTTCCCTGTCTGCTGAAGCAGGAAATAGGGGTGCAAGAAACAGGACAAGGAATGGGATAAGGAAAAATCTCAAACAGGAAGCCTAGTGCCCAGCCCGGCAATGGCGTGGGTGTTTATTTTTCTCACCACAATCCTATCAGGAATTTCCCAGGTTTTGTGGATATGTTGATCCTGCACACAATACTCAAGGCCCCCAGAGTTCAGCATCTTCAACTTTTCCTTAAAGGGGCAGTCACCTGGAACAGGGGAGTGTTCAGATGAAACATTTGCTCTGCCCAACACTCTGTCGCCTGAAATCCTCCCAAAGTCTGGGCTTCTTGCTGGTCATGGTCTCCTTGGTCTACGAGTGCTTTCTTAAGTTCCATTGCCCTGGGGTAGCAGGCAAGGAATCTGAGTCAAAGGAGGGGAAACTCAACATCAGTGTCGGGCTTTGCTCCCAACAGCAAAATCTTGGCATTCCAGCCTCAGGCACACGCATCCCTCCTTTCTCCTTGGAGATGTCTCCGTGGTGTTCTCTGTCTCTCATGGGCCCCAGCGGCAGTTCTCCTGGAGGTTTCTTTGGGTCACCAGCTCTTCATCACTTCCTGCAACCCCTTTTTCTGCCATGGGGCTGTAGGTGGGTTGGTCCCACTCCCCTGGCTCTCCTGGCTGGGAGCGGCCTTCCTGTTGCTTTCTGTTGGCAAGGTTGTAGCTGCCTTTGTGGCTTCTTCAATAGACGCAGTGCTGAGCGGAGGAGGGAGAAATGCCCTCTCCTTCCCTGATTACGCTCCAGCTCTAAGCCATAGAACTTAATGACCATGGAGGAAGTGCTCTTTCCTCAGGGCTGTTTCTGTCCACTTTCCCCAGTCTTCCTCTCCTCCTCCCTTCCCTCTGCTGAGGTTTGTGGCAGAACGTCTGGGTGGATGGCCCAACGAGGACGTGGCAGACACTAGATTCTGCTCCCTCTTCATTGCTCCTTCCTCAGACCCACAGCCAGTGCCCTAGGACTGAGCTTACACTCACTGACTCGGTGCCTGCAAGTGAAGTGTCCTCCTATTTCGTCCCTTGCCCCAGGGCTTAAGGGACAGTGGTAGCTGACCAGCCTCGGTGGCTCTTTAGACTGTGGAAATAAAACCACGGCTGACCTATCCCTGTGGACCAAGTTCTCAGTCAAACTACAGAAAAACTCTTGAGAATATATGAAATGAAAAACTACAGAGGAGACGATGAGTAGATTCTTCTTGTTTGGGGAGGTTTCGTGACTCCTTTAGAACTTGGAAAATGCTTCCTTTATGAGTAAAAGAAAAATAATCACCAAATTTAGGGTTATGTTGTTGTATAGCTTTATCTTTATTATCTCTGCTTCTATTATGTGATGAAGAGGGATACAGACCCAGAAGGTTAAACAGAATAAGACTCTCTTTTAATTAGCTCTATCAACTGATAGGACATAGAGCCATCAAAGCGTACATGAGCCACATTTTCAAGAGGTGGGGACAGCTGGCCTGAAATCCCAGAGTCATCCTTGGAAGCCTTGGATACCAGAAGTATTCGGGTGAGTTAGAAAGGGCATTCTAATTAGGTCTGGGGAAAAATTAAGGTTAAAGAGGTTTAACTAAGTGCAAGGGTTGTTAAGTGTCTTCGTCATTTTCTGTTTGTATAACAGACTACCATAGACTAGGTAATTTCTAAAGAAAAGAAATTTATTTTTTACAGTTCTGGAGGCTGAAGTCCAAGGTCAAGGTCAAAGAGCCACATCTGGTGAGGGCCTTCCTGCTGGTGGGGACTCTGCAGAACCCTGAAGCATTGCAGGGCATCACATGGTGGGGGAGCTTGAGCACACCAAACTGGCTTTTACTAGAGACCCACTCTCATGATAACTAACCCACTCCTGTGATAACCCATTAATTAATTAACCCACTAATCCATTAGTCAATTAATAGATTAATCCATTGATGAGGGAAGAGCCTTCATGACCAAATCACCTCTTAAAGGCCCTACTTCTTAATACTATTATAATTGGGATTAAATTTCAACATGAGTTTCAGAGGGGACAAACATTCAAGCCATAGCAATAAGAAAGCTATACAATTGTTCCTGTGTGCATATTTCTTTTCTTTTCTTTTCTTTTCTCTTTTCTTTTCTTTTCTCCCTTCCTTCCTTCCTTCCTTCCTTTCTTTCTTTCTTTCTTTCTTTCTTTCTTTCTTTCTTTCTTTCTTTCTTTCTTTCTTCCTTTCTTTCTTTCTTTCTTTCTGAGATGGAGTTTTGCTCTGTCACCAGGCTGGAGTGCTGTGGCGCGATCTCGGCTTACTGCAACCTCCACCTCCTGGGTTCAAGCGATTCTCCTGCCTCAGCCTCCTGAGTAGCTGGGATTATAGGCGTGTGCCACCACGCCCGGCAATTTTTTTTGTATTTTTAGTAGAGACGAGGTTTCACCATGTTGGTCAGGCTGGTCTCAAACTCCTGACCTCGTGATCCACCCCGTCCACCTCCCGAAGTGCTGGGATTACAGGCGTGAGCCACTGCGTCCAGCCTGTGCATATTTCTTTAAACCTTATTCTACTTGTATTGTTTCAATGTATTATTTGGTGAAACTATTAATCCCACCATTTTTAAGATCTCATGTTTAAATATCTCAATTTTGTTTGTAAAAGGATAATAGGATAGAAAAGCATGTGATTATTTTCTACTCTTAACCATACCAAAATGATTAGGAAAGCCACACAGACATCAGCAAGGTACTGTTGCTTGCATAATGCTGGCATGTCCCAACATGTCCCAAATGCAGGCAAAGTTCCAGAGAAGGCATTACCACTTGCTAACAGATTCTGGCTATATGACTCATCTCCAGTGAACAGGATCAGTGTTATTTGATTTTGCACTATCAGAGTGGTGGGTAAATGAACATGATTTTCCTCTCCTGCTTGTCAATGTGTCCAAATGATTAATATCTTATGAGAACAAAATGAATCCAATGATAGCTAGCATTTATCAAATACTCATTATGTATCTGGAACCGTTAGTCATTTCCATAAAGTAGATCATTTAATTCTTCACAAACCCTGTGAAGTAGGCATTATGGTCTCCATTTTGCTGAAGAGGAAAATGAGATGAAGAAAATGCTAAATCACTGCTCAAGGTCACAGAGCAGGTGAGTAGTGGGGAGGGGATTCTGCATCACATCTGGCCAGATTCCAGAACCTGGGCAGAATAACTCCTGGAAGTGAGGGAGAAATTTTAGGTTGTGCCTAAATTAAAAGTTGTCCTTTGCCTGCCAGAGTTTCTAATAGCCCCTTCTTTAATCAATGTACCATTTTTTACCCTTTGATAAAGTAATAATTTTCACCCCCTGCAAATTTAAAAGTATATTGAATCAGGTTAGAACCATTTCTGTCCCAGGAATATCCAATAAAAGGCTTGGTTGTTTCCCCAAGGATTTAGTGTTCCTGTAAGAAGTGTTTTTCCTGATATTATCAAAGTGTATGTCTTATTTTTGCATTGCCTTGACTTCTTTAAGTCAAGATTTTGTAGTGTGGGAGATTGATGGATTGATTGTTGTAAACAAACTTGTGTATGTGAAAATATATGTACATCCACTTTCGTAGGGAACACAACATTTTTTATGGTTGTCAGATTATTTCAACCAAAAACTGAATGCTTTTTATTTAAAAAAATTTCAGCCACAAAATATGTACATTGTATAGGAAATGTATTGGTTACAATATATCTTATATTTTACACCAATTTTGCAGCTTTTGTCAATTTTACTATTTAAAAAATTTATTTGCTTCTGTGATGGTGAATTTTATGTGCCAACTTGGCTAGACCATGGCTTCAAGCTTTTGGTTAAACACTAGTCTACATATTGCTGTAAAGGTACTTTTTAGACATGATGAACTTTTGAATCAGCAGACTTTGAGAAAGCAGATTATTTTTCATTACATGAGTGGGCCTCATCCAGTCAATTGAAGATTTTAAGAAGTAAAAGACTGAGGTACCCCTAGGATGAAGAAATTCTGATCCAGTCTGCCTTCAGACTTGAGCTGCAACATCAACTCTTTCCTGGGTCTTCAGCCTGGCTGTTTGCTCTGTAGACTTTGGACTTGCCAGCCCGTATAACTATGTGAGCCAATTCCTTAAATCCCTCTCTCTCTCTCTCTCTCTCTCTCTACGTGTGTGTGTGTGTATGTATATATATATATATATATACATACACACACATAGACACATGCACACACACATTCTGTTGGTTCTATGAGTATTATTCCTTGCAATATGCATACCATGTTGTGTCCAATAGTCCATATATTATTGATGACACTGAAAGTTATTTTCACACTGGTAGTTGCCAAAGGAAATGAATAAAATTCAAATCATTTCAGCAAATTTGGAGTAGCACATTCTTTGTGAAAAATGTATTTTCACTTTTCAAGAAATGTGTTCCTTCAAAAATCGGGCATAATATTTAAGGGAAAATTTGCAAGCAGCCCTGTTCTCCATGGTGACAACATGCAGAGTAGAGCTACTTCATTGAAACAAGATTTCTAGTGATTAGCTAAAACCCAAAGCTCCAAATCACAGTGAAGTGGATTTTTAAAAGGAAACCCTGTCTCCCAGTGTTTGAGGACTATGTATATATACAGGGTCTCAGAGTCAATGTGTTGAGTATATGAACTCTTAAATAGTCCTTCCACAATAGAAAGAGAAAGAAGTAGTGATGGAGCATCTGCAGGTGAGAGGATTCTAGGATGGGGATTCCAGGAGGGGAAGGGGAAGAGCCCAGAGTTGGTGATGTGGTATGGGTGTGTGGTCTATCACGGCTTCCATAAATGCTCAGGCTGTCTATCCCTTTGGAGCAAGATTACTGTTAAGCCCTATACCACCAACTTGGAGCATAAACAATGTCATTCCAAAGTAGCATCTCAAAGCAAAACAATGAGAGGTCTAGACCTCACAGATTAGCAGGAGACACATCTTACTCCACCCCATCCTTCAAACTTCCTCCAATGGCATATTCTACAATTTTTGGGATGTGTGCCATGTCAAAAGATTAGTTCTAATTATTCTCATTTCTTGGTTGGTGCCAGAACTCTGTTTCACCTTTGAAGGTGCTGCTGTCCTGCTCCTGGAGGCGATATGGCTTGTTTTGCTCTCTCCCTCTGGCAGCCATCCTGACTGGTCTCAGTGCTGCCTGCAGATATATAATGTCCTGTGTAATGCTCGGTCAAGGGGAGCCTCATGAGGGTGTGGATTTGCAGCGTTACAACTCTTTAGGGTTGTGGTTCTTCTTTCCTTTCACTCACTCAGCCATTTCCTTAGGGTGCAAGTCTGTTTCCATGATGGATCACCACTGGGGACAGAATCAGGTGCTGAGGGGGCCTTAAATCCTGGAACCACCATTCCCTCTTAATGCTTGGCCCTTATTGTACTGTCTGTTTCTCCATATGGTGAATTATTTATTTTTCAGAAACACATTGATGTGTAGTCAACAACCAGAAAATCTTGGTGACATATAATCCTGATGTTTATTTATTGCTCATAAGTCTACAAGCCAACTGTGGTTTGATTGATCTAGGTGTGGCTCAGCGGGGCCTGGGTGCAGGTTGCTTTTAGGTCTGCTCCACATGTCTCTCATCCCTTTGGAGTTGGCAAACCACCTGGAGCACAGTCTTCTCATGCAGAAGTGCAGGTGGGAGAACACGTTCCAGCTTTTGCTAACATTGCATCAACACTGCAAATCACATGGCCAAGCCCAAGAGCAATGGCAAGGGGAAGCATCTTACGAAATTTCACCCGAGAGGCAGTGAGGAGTGAATCTCCAAAATTCCAACCAGCACACCATCTAAGCAACTTTACACAGCCTTTCCCTAATTTCTACCTTGCCGACAGTTACCCCACTATGTCTAACAGCCTTAGTAATTTTGAATCCTAAAAGAAAGCATTTGGGTTCTCAGGCTTCTTCTCCCAAGTGTCCACTCTGCTCCCCCAAACAACTGTCTAATCACTTCTCAGCATATTCTAAGCTGCTTATACCAACGCCCCTGTGGGTTACAAGCTATGAATCACCAACTCCCTACCAAGCTGAAGCTCAGGCCTGGTTCAGGCAAAATGTTGTAATAAAGGAATATAGCTCAAAAGAGGTATTATATTGAGTCTCAGCTCTTCATTCCTTTTTATTTGTGCACAGACAAAATATCCACGTCATTCTGCTACTTTGCTGTTCACTTACTCAAATATCTTTGCTTGTTTGCCATTAATTAATATGGAGTTTATTAATGATAGAGAAATAAAAATTATGACAACCTAAGCATGTTCATTATCTGAATATTTGCCAGCCATTATGTACAGAGAGCAGACCAATGTAAAAGATTGTTTTTATATTGCATAATGTTATTTTCTTTAATTGTCTGTGATCAAGTTAGAAATTAATAAATGCATATTTATTCCCTGTGGTCAACCAAGAATCTCTCACTGGTTTAATTTAAATTTGGAAAGGCTGAGTAGAGTAGGACACTACCTAGATGTATGACTGCAACAATTCATTTGGTTTAGTTAGTTTTGAAGGCTGATAGTTGCTAGCAAATAATTACACCATTTATATAAGTCTTTTTGCCCCTTATGGCAAGTTTGATAAGTGATCAGCCAGTAGGTTAATCATGTGTGATATATTTTCAATTTTAATCCCTTATCATTTGGAGTGAGTCTCCCCCATCATTGAGGATGGTTCTACTGAGAAAGGCTGAGGAGGATTGGATGGTAGGAAGTGGGGATTTGGGGGCAGTTCCACCTTAGTTCTCTCCTAACTGACAAAATAAACTTCAACGAGAGCTCAGGCTTTTACTCCCAGACAGGGGAGCGTGTGATGCAGTGTTCAAATCATAGCTCTGGTGTCAGAGACTGGGACGTTTATTTTCACAACACCAATTTTTATTTCTGTGCTTTAAGTGAGTTACACAACCTGGCCAGTCCTTGATTTTGCCTCGTAATATATTTGAAATAAAGTCATATATTTGAAAGAATTTTAGAAAAGTAAGGTACTACACAAATATTTATTTTGTCATTCTCCATATTGTTAACATCCACAGGAAGTTTTCCTTCAATTACGGTTTTCAAAGCAATAAATGCATTTACCTCTCTTTTGTTTCTTTTGTATTTAATGGCAATGTTACAATGGAAAACTTAGGAAATTTGTAGTAGTTTGTTAATATCAAAGCTTTTTTATTTTTCAACACTCCCTGCCTGTTTGTGTTAAAGATATTTTGGTCATGATTGACTTTTACTTTAGTCTTGGATTATATAGTTTCATTTCTTTGATAATAGGAACATAAACAATTTCATGTATTAATGGAAGAGTACTGTGGGTTAGCCCTAAGTTTACTTTTTCCATCTTGGCTTCTCCAGCTCCCACAATGGGTGGCCCATTGTCAGGCTCAAGTTCTCAGCCCTCTCTTGCCTTCAACTCCTGGAGCAGGGGCTGTCTCGAGTGCCAAATTCCCCTAGGTTTATCTGACCTGAACAAAGCTCTGATGTTGAAGGCTGGCTTGACAGTTGCACCTTCCACTCCCCCTCAGCAATACTTTCCTCAAACTGGCCCTTTCTTGTGCCTTGGTTTTCAAACCAAAGCCTGTGATTTGGTTTCTGCTTTGGTCTGAGACCTAAGTGAAGAGCTCCTCTCAGCGCTCCTCCCTGGGGCCTGAAGCCCTGCCCCTGGGCCGGTCTAGGTCACCTGTGAGTCAACCTGCTAAGAAGTATTGTGTCTATGTTTCCACACTGCTAAGGGTGTTATTATTTTAAGAGTTGGTACTGGGTTTTCTCTTAGGGAGAGAAATGTCTTTGTTGAGGAAAATTCCTTGATAAATCACTTGAAGCAGAAGGCAGAAGGTGACAGAGGGAGACGAAAATGTCACCAGTATCTCAAGACACTTGAAATAAAGTAGGCAAACCGGTCTGTACAGGGAACAGGTGCAGGGGGAGGGAGAAGAAAGGAGCCCCTGCCAAGAAGAGGTATATGTGGATCAGGAGCCCCACAGGCAGGTGGTTTTGTGTTCTTTCTGTGCAATGTGTGAGGTCCCTTCTCAAGTCCACAACATTTATTACATGGGTAACTGCCTTGTGTGAGTGCATTTTTTTAAAACAAAAATCAAGAAAGGACTGAGTTACACAAAGGAGACAACACTGCTTGTATTCTTTAGGAGAAAACAGAGAGGCTTCCTCTCAGATGACCCACTGGAACTAGGAAATGGAAGAAAGTGTAACAAAGGGAATATTTTCATGGAGTGGACAGAGTTAGGGGGAACAAATGCAGGAAGGCAAAGTACTTGGAGCCAGCAAAGGGGAGTTGTTTCCCCAGTGGGTGTGAAGGGGAAAGGGGAGGGAACAGTTCCTAAAACCAGAAGGTTGTTGCTGGAGCTGTCAGCTGGCAGCCATTGAGAGAGGGCTCCTAGGGGTGGAAGGAGGATGGCTGACTTGACCTCATCCTCTCTCCCTCTCTGATCTCCTGCTAGTCCCTCTCATTGGTTAAACCCAAAGGGATGCCAAAAGGCAAGCGGGCTTGTGCCTGTTAACCACCTAGGACATGCACCAGGGTGGGGAAGGATGGGACACAAATCTGGAAGGCCAATAAAAAAATAGTATGCCCTGGAGGTAAGGACCCTAGGCAGTGGTTATCTGAGAGCATGACCCTTCCAGGAATGCTCTAAAATACTTGAGATGGCTTTGATGGTCCACAGAATAGTGTTCAAACTAAACATGTCTAGTTTTTGTGGGGTTGGAGCACCCCATGTGCGATGGAGTTATGAAAATGTTACTACCTCAATTGCCCATCTATTGGCTTTGCTTAATAAAACTCACGATTTCCTCTGGAAACACTTGGTTCTGGGAGTTCTTTTGAGCTGTGGCTAAGTTTTTTTTTTTTTTTTTAATACTTTAAGTTTCAGGGTACATGTGCACAACGTGCAGGTTAGTTACATATGTATACATGTGCCATGCTGGTGTGCTGCACCCATTAACTCGTCATTTAGCATTAGGTATACCTCCTAGTGCTAACCCTCCCCCCTCCCCCCCACCCCACAACAGTCCCCAGAGTGTGATGTTCCCCTTCCTGTGTCCATGTGTTCTCATTGTTCAGCTCCCATCTATGAGTGAGAACATGTGGTGTTTGGTTTTTTGTCCTTGTGATAGTTTACGGAGAATGATGATTTCCAATTTCATCCATGTCCCTACAAAGGACATGAACTCATCATTTTTTATGGCTGCATAGTATTCCATGGTGTATATGTGCCACATTTTCTTAATCCAGTCTATCATTGTTGGACATTTGGGTTGGTTCCAAGTCTTTGCTATTGTGAATAATGCCGCAATAAACATACGTGTGCATGTGTCTTTATAGCAGCATGATTTATAATCCTTTGGGTATATACCCAGTAATGGGATGGCTGGGTCAAATGGTATTTCTAGTTCTAGATCCCTGAGGAATTGCCACACTGACTTCCACAATGGTTGAACTAGTTTACAGTCCTGCCAACAGTGTAGAAGTGTTCCTATTTCTCCGCATCCTCTCTAGCACCTGTTGTTTCCTGACTTTAATGATTGCTATTCTAACTGGTGTGAGATGGTATCTCATTGTGGTTTTGATTTGCATTTCTCTGATGGCCAGTGATGATGAGCATTTTTTCATGTGTCTTTCAGCTGCATAAATGTCTTCTTTTGAGAAGTGTCTGTTCCTATCCTTTGCCCACTTTTTGGTGGGGTTGCTTGTTTTTTTCTTGTAAATTTGTTTGAGTTCATTGTAGATTCTGGATATTAGCCCTTTGTCAGATGAGTAGGTTGCAAAAATTTTCTCCCATTTTGTAGGTTGCCTGTTCACTCTGATGGTAGTTTCTTTTGCTGTGCGGAAGCTCTTTAGTTTAATTAGATCCCATTTGTCAATTTTGTCTTTTGCTGCCATTGCTTTTGGTGTTTTAGACATGAAGTCCTTGCCCGTGTCTATGTGCTGAATGCTAATGCCTAGGTTTTCTTCTAGGGTTTTTATGGTTTTAGGTCTAACGTTTAAGTCTTTAATCCATCTTGAATTAATTTTTGTATAAGGTGTAAGGAAGGGATCCAGTTTCAGCTTTCTACATATAGCTAGCCAGTTTTCCCAGCACCATTTATTAAATAGGGAATCCTTTCCCCGTTGCTTATTTTTCTCAGCTTTGTCAAAGATTACATAGTTGTAGATATGTGGCATTATTTCTGAGGGCTCTGTTCTGTTCCATTGATCTACATCTCTGTTTTGGTACCAGTACCATGCTGTTTTGGTTACTGTAGCCTTGTAGTATAGTTTGAAGTCAGGTAGTGTGATGCCTCCAGCTTTGTTCTTTTGGCTTAGGATTGACTTGGCGATGTGGGCTCTTTTTTGGTTCCATATGAACTTTAAAGTAGTTTTTTCCAATTCTGTGAAGAAAGTCATTGGTAGCTTGATGGGGATGGCATTGAATCTATAAATTACCTTGGGCAGTATGGCCATTTTCACAATATTGATTCTTCCTACCCATGAGCATGGAATGTTCTTCCATTTGTTTGTATCCTCTTTTATTTCATTGAGCAGTGGTTTGTAGTTCTCCTTGAAGAGGTCCTTCATGTCCCTTGTAAGTTGGATTCCTAGGTATTTTATTCTCTTTGAAGCAGTTGTGAATGGGAGTTCACTCATGATTTGGCTCTCTGTTTGTCTGTTGTTGGTGTATAAGAATGCTTGTGATTTTTGTACATTGATTTTGTATCCTGAGACTTTGCTGAAGTTGCTTATCAGCTTAAGGAGATTTTGGGCTGAGACAATGGGGTTTTCTAGATATACAATCATGTCATCTGCAAACAGGGACAATTTGACTTCCTCCTTTCCTAATTGAATACCCTTTATTTCCTTCTCCTGCCTAATTGCCCTGGCCAGAACTTCCAGCACTATGTTGAATAGGATTGGTGAGAGAGGGCATCCCTGTCTTGTGAGCTGTGGCTAAGTTTTATCTGCCCCTTGGTAGCCATGCCTTGTTGGATCTTCATGGTCAGTTGGGCCCATTTCCCAGTACTGGGCCTTGCATGGTGGTGTACCCAGTGCCCTGTCTTGGCTATTAGCCTCTGTACCTTGTTATGACTGAAGAGTCAAATGTTCCAGACAAGTCCTGAGGTACTACCTTCTGGGTCTCAAATTTTCAACATTCTTGGCCATCCATGGAGCAGACAGTCACTCATCATCCATTTAGAGGCCTCAGGATTTCTTTTTAGTTCTATAGCCTGTATTTGTTTCCTGAATAAATATGCCTGCACCTGTTCCATCCATGTCGATGAGAGGTACAGGTAAAATGTCTATCTTGCTGGGCACAACGGTGCATTCATATAATCCCAGCTACTCAAGTGGCTGAGGCTGAAGGATTGCTTGAGCCCAGGAGCTTGAATCCATCCTAGGCAACATAATTATGTTTCCATATCTAAATAAATAAATAATAAAATACCTATCTGACATCAACCTTTTCAGGCAAGTGAATATTTTGAAGTTGACTTTGTTAATTTCAGAGTTGCCATTGATATTTTCAAGGAACTCGAATATTCTCATCGCATAGCTGGTTTGCTCTGCAGGAAACCAAAGAGGAGATGCTTTTCTATTATCATGGGAAATATGTTATTTTGAATGGGAATTTAATCGTCGGCCAAAATTTGCTCATTGGGGTTCATTATTGAAGTTGCACATTTTCCCCTCTGCATACAAAAATCCTGTTCTAATCTTTTTTGCTTCTGTCTGAGCAAACTGAATGCTGTTTAATTCACCTTGGCCTTGTTGAGAAGAACCACAGTGGTATTTTGCTTGAAGCTGTGTGTTCTGGCATCAGCTTACATAAGCAGAAAAACCTACATTTCAAAGACAGTACAAACACAAATGCATGCACCTGCTTCCAAAGGAGAGGCTATGAAAGAACTATCTGGGTGACAGGGGGAAAGTCAGCTGTAAAATGTGTGTATTGGTGGAGGCAGAGTAAGAACTAGTTTGCAGGTTTGTGGTGGGACCTAACTGGTCCCGTATATGTGCATGTGCATGGCACATTGTAAGTGGATATTATGTGGTGGCTGCACAACCTTTAATTGTATATTATTCTATAAATATATGGTGCACTTTAGCCATTGTTGATTAATGAGCATCTTTAGAGCAAGTAAGTGAATAAATGCATCAACAATTCTTCCCCCAAGATTAACATAGAATGAAATCTGATTTCAACGAGGAAAGAAAAATGCATAGTTGAGGAAAATCCATATGGATTTCTGGGACCCATGAGTCTAAATAAAATAATGCGTATGAAAATGCATAAAATAATACCAGCAACCAAACACGTACAAGGCAATCAGTTCATTTGCTTCCTATTATTACACCCCAGGAGACAAAAGATGTTTCAGTTAAATTTGGGAGCAGTTCAGACGGCCAGAAAACTAAATTTTCCCAGGTTCAAAGCCTATGTTTCCTAAAGAGAAATTATTTTAAAAAAATAGGAATATACTGTGGGTCTCTAGGATCTTAGACATCTGTCCCCACTCTGGAGGGAAAATGGAGTGCTTACTATGTGGTAGGCAGTGTAAATGTTATCTCATGTATACAGCAGCCCTCTGAGATAGATGTTACAGTGCCTACTTTACTTCAGTCACAGAGCTGGGTCTGTTAAACTACTAAGCCCAAGGTCTCTGCAGGCCACCATGCTGCCTCCAGGACATGTGTGGGCCCCCAGGTATGTGCTGGGAGAGATGGGGTTGGCTCTCATCAGATGGATCCTTTTATAGTATTGACATCGCTACAAATCGGTGTAGACACAGTCTTCCTCTTTTAGTGACTTAGAATGGCATGCTGCCTCTTATCTCTGTAATTAGTCCCTGCCACTCAATGAAAAGATGGTTCTGGGTAGTGAGGAAGCCCAAGGTTGGGAGGTTACCTGGTTCTAGCAGCTGTTAGGAGAGCAGCACAGATTACAGTAAATGGCTTGGCATATTCTTTTAGAAACTCCTAAACCCTCTTGATCTCTGCCGAAGGCCTTTTCGTATACACATGCACCCATGCGTGCACACGCACACAGGCACACACACACACACACACACACACACAGAGCTCCTGTGTCTGGCTGCTATCTGTCTGTGAATGCTCCTGCCTCCTATTTAAAATGAATCTGGGTTTATCTCTGCTGTTCATCTGGGCCTGAAGCAGATCATTCACATAGTACTTTTTCCCCTTGATATGGAGGAGAGGGTTAGCAGTCTGTGAGCTGGTTGAGAAGCATTTGGATCATTCAGGAATTGGTTGATGGAATTTTTTGATAGGTCTGTGCAGAGAGAATAGGTGTCTTTAGAAGTTAACTGATAGCATTACAGTGTGAGAACTGAGCAATTAATTTTCTTCCCACCTGGATTCCCAGCCTATATGCTCTCCTCCAGCTCATCTAGAAATTTTTCCTTCAGCCAGCACTAATCCACTACTATGTTTATAAGACTTCAGTCCCCCTTGTGAATCCCAAAGCCTGCCTGGCACAGAATACAGGAGCTAATCTTAAAGTCCCTTAGCAAAAATTGGTTTAATTTCTATATCCTATCAATGAACTATCTGAAGAAGAAATCAGGAAAACAATTCCTTTTACAATAGCACCAAAAAAATATTTAGGAGTAAATTTAACCAAGGAGTTGAAAGATCTGTATATTGAAAATGGTAAAACATTGATGAAAGAAGTTGAAGACACAAATAAGTGGAAAGATATCCTGGGTTCACAGACTGCAATAATTAATATTGTCAAAATGTCCACACTACCCAAAGCAATTTACAGATTTAATGCAATCCCTTTTAAAATTCCAATGACATTTCTCACAGAACAACAACAAAACATCTTAAAATTAGTATGGAACCACAAAAGACTGAATAGCCAAAGACATTCTGAGCTAAAAGAACAAAGCTGGAGGAATCACATTACCTGATCTTAAAATATATTACAAAGTTACAGTAATCAAAATGGCATGATACTGATTTAAGCACAGACACATAGGCCTATGTAACAAAATAGAGAGCCCAGAAATAAACTCATGCATTTATGGCCAATTGATTTGTGACAAAGATGCCAGGAACACACAATAGGGAAAGGATAGTCTCTTCAGTAAGTGCTGTTGGGTCAACTGAATGTCCACATGCAGAAGAACAAAATTGGACTTTCACATCATAGCATATACAACAATCAACTCAAAATTGATGGAAAATGTAAACGTAAGACCTGAAACTGTAAAACTACAAGAAGAAAACATAGGGGAAACGGTCCATGACATTGATCTGTGCATTGACTCCTTGGCTATGACTCAAAAAACACAGGCAACATAAGTAAAAATAGACACATGGGATTGCATCAAACTAAAAAGCTTCTACACAGCAAAGAAAATAGAATGAAGAGACAACCCGTAAATTGGGAGAAGTATTTGCAAACCATCCATAGATGAGGAGCATCTACCCAAAACATGTGAGAAATTCAATAGCAAGAAAATAAATAACCTGATTAAAAAATGAGCCAAGGACCTGAGCAGACATTTCTCAAATGAAGACATACAAATAGCCAACAGACATATAAAAAATGTTTAGTATCACAAATCATCAGGCAAAGGCAAGTTAATACCACAAAGAGATGTAACTTTACACCTGTTAGAGTGGCCATTTTCAAAAATATGAAAGATAACAAATGTTGGTGAGGGTGTGGAGAAAAGAGAACCTTTGTATACTGCTGGTGAGAATGTAGATTAGTACAGCTAGTACGGAAAAGAGTATGGAGGTTCCTCAAAAAACTAAAAATAGAACCGTTATATAATCCAACTATCCCAATTCTAGGTGTATATCCAAAGGAACTGAAATCAGTGTGTTGAAGAGATATTTGCCCTCTCAGGCTCATTGTGGCACTATTCACAAGAACTAAAATATGAAATCAACCTAAGTGTCCATCTACAGATGAATGGATAAAGAAAGTATGGTACATATTCAAAATGGAACAACTATTCAGCCTTAACAAAGAAGGAACTTCTATCATTTGTGAGAACCTGGATGAACATGGAAGGCATTATGCTAAGACAGTAGACAATCTCTTCATTCTAAATTCTGTAAGTCTGTAAATAGAGCTTAGGACCGAATTTTTGGTTGGCACCCATGGTGGTACCTGAACTCCCTCAGAACTTTTCACAAGAACCACCATTTAGCCAGGTCCACCTCCTGCTGTGTTTGCGCAATTGCTCTTTGGGCCCAAGGGCAAGGTCTAACATGTATTCCTATTAAATATCTTCTTGTTACATTCATCTTTTCTCTTCAACCTGTCAAGAGGAGTTTAAAACATGATTCTGTCATCAAAATAGTAGCTATAATTTGCTCATAGATTGGATGACCTTGCCTTCTCTGTTTTTGTCAATGTCAGCAATCCTTAACCTTTTTCTTCCCTAGCAACTGAGAGATATGATACACTTCCTTCAATAACACTGGCTGATTACTCAAGGCATTGGGGTGAGGGGATTGAGAAGCAAGACTACCTAAATATTAGGTTGCAAGGCATGCATAAAGTGAAGCTCATCCCCTTCCTCCCCGGATTCGTGCTCATAGTTTTCTGATTAGCTGCTTAGAATGGCTGATTCATGCTATACTAATAATTATATTGAAAATACAATGGTACATTATGAATCACTTCACTCCAGGTTGGCCTCCACCTGATCATTTGAAAAATGATCTACTCACCATTTGAAAAATATGTGCGTGTGTGTGCATGTATAATATATATTATATATATATATGTATGTATGTGTATATATATATGTATGTATGTGTGTATATGTATATATATATGTCTCTTTGTGTATGTATAATCATTCATAATTAATCTTCTTGGCTAGTAGGTTATCATGAGACAACTTGTTAAATGCCTTGTTAAGATCTACATACACACCCGGCTCCTGATCCAAAGTTCTTTCATGTACAAGTCGGAATTCGGAGCATTTGAAATTCGGTGCTTTTGAAATTTAGAATTCAAATACAGAGGATATTCAGACTTGGAAAGAGGCTAGACCTTAACATAGCACTTTGTCACAGCACTGCTCTGAGCTCTCTCACAACCAAAGCAGCATGTGTAGGCAATTTTGTAACTTCAACATCATGGCACAGATTTTCATATTGGAGGTATTTTACCTTAGATACACATTTCCTCAAGTCTTTTTCTGGCTTGGTTTATTACCTCTATTTCTTTTAGCCAATTATATGTTAGCCTTTTTCATTTCCTCTGAAAAGTCAATAAAAATGTAATTAGAGAAAAGTTCGGGTAGAAAACGCTATCATCCATTTCATTGTGTGGGTTGCTTAAGAAATGTTTATTTGTGGACCAGGAATTTCTTATTTGCATTGGCCCTGCCTTTGTGTATATATCCACTGCTTAGCAAAATCCTCTTCCTGAGCTGGTGAGCCTGGAAGCCTGGAAATGAAGGCCCATGGCAGACTTGGAACAGGTGTCCTTAACTGCCCCAAATTAACCCTTTCGGGCAGTGGGTTTCTTCTCTGCTCTCACCAGGGCAGGCAGCAGTATTTATCAGATGTCCACATGAAAAACAGGTGTTAGATGATGATTCAATATCTTAAAATATTTCACATATGCTTTTGGAAAAACAGCAACAATAATTAAGAAAACCCAAGAAGGAAGTTTGTTAATCAGATAAATATTTCTGTATTATCTACTGCATTTAAAAAAAACTACATTTAAAACAGGCTGGGCCCAAACCCTGGAAGGGAGTTGCAAAGCTGTGGATGATGTGTTCAGTTGTATAAAATGCCCTTCAGGAACTTAAAATCTAGTCGAGAAAATCATATTTTTTAAAAAAATGTGTTTTCTGTTTATAAAGATGACTTATGTTTGTTGTGAGAAATTTGGAAAATATATAAAAATGTAAGAAAGAAAATTCAAATCTCCCATATCCCACCACCAATAATCACCATTAACATTTGGTGTAGCTTTTAAAAGAAATGTGTATGTGTTTAAATTTCTTTTTGCAAAGCTGAGATTATATTATACACATTTAAATGTGCCTTTTCACCTACTATAGTTGTAACATTTCCCAAAGTCACTAAATATTATTTAAATCTATCTTATGGGTAGGAAGTATTCCATCATTTGGATGCACAATAATTAATTTAACAAATCTTTTTTAGGAATTATGTTGATTGAAACCATTGGCTATTACAAATAATACTGAAGTATATATCTTTGTAAATACATTTTTATGTACATCAATAAGTATTTCTCTAGGAGAATTTCCTAGATGTTGATTTAATGGTCTGAAAAATATAAATGTAATATAGGGTTTTAAAAAACAGTTGGATGCAGTGGCTCATGCCTATAATCCCAGCACTTTGGGAGGTGGAGGTGGGAAAATAGATTGAGCCTAGGAGTTCCAGGCTTCAGAGGGCTGTGATGGTGCCACTGCACTCCAGCCTGTGCAACAGAGTGAGACATCATCTCAAAAAATAATAATAGCAATAATAATAATAATACACATGGCCAAATTCTGTTCAAAATGCTGTAGTAATTTACACACACACCAGTGATGAATGAGAACACCCACTTGCTTTAACCTTGGACATTTTCATTTGTCAATTTGGTAGCTAAAAATAATATCTCATTTTAATTTTTGTCTCTTTGCTTCCTAGAGAAGTTGAACATGTTTTCTTGTTTATGGATCATCTCTGTTTCTTCTTTTGTAAATTGTGTTTTCATGTGTTTAGCCCCTTGTTCTTCTGGAGTTTCACAGTTTTCTTAATGATTTTAAAAGGTCTGTATATACTAATACTATTGTCCTTTGTGTGTCATGTATATTGCAAATATTTTACCTGATTTGTCTATATCTTTAAAATTTTTTAAGCTTACAGAATTTTGAATTTTTTGTAATTTGAATTTTTATGTAATCAGTACTATCAAGTTTTTTTCTATGGGATTCCTCTCCCCTTTTATGTTAGCAAAAACTTTGTCACAGCAAGATTAGCTGTTTGAATTTACATTTATATCTTGTTCTGTTATTGTTTCTCATTCTCTCTCAAACATGTAACTCTTTAGTCTATTTGCAATTTAGAGTATGATACATAGAGTAAAATTTGGCTTTGTCTTCATTCCAAGTGATTCACCCAGTTTGCCGTCATCATTCTTAATTTTCCCTCCAGCCAGTTTGAAATAGCATCTTAATCACATGTTAAATTATTGCATAGACTTAGGCATGTGTTTTTGTTTTCCTTTTCTGTTCCACTCATCTGCCAGTTTGCTAAAATCATTCTGTTTTATTTTTTGCAGCCAAATAACATATTCTAATATCTGACCTTAGGAGCCCATTCTCTCACAATTCTTGCCTTTCAGAATTTCTTGTTTGGTCTTCTGTATGGTCTTCTAAATACACTTTTAAATCATTTTGTTAAAATATCCACCCCTCTTTTTTGAGACATTTTGCTCTCCTGCCCAGGCTGGAGTGCAGTAGTGTAATCATGGGCCACTTGCAGCCTCAACCTCCCAGGTTCAAGCAATTTTCCTGCCTCAGCCTCCCGAGTAGCTTGGACCACAGGTGCATGCCACCACGGCTGGCTAAATTTTTTGGATTTTTTGTAGAGACAGGGTTTTGCCATGTTGCCCAGGCTAATCTCAAACTCCTGGGCTCAAGTGATCTACCATCCTTTGCTTCCCAAAGTGCCGGTATGACAGGTATGTGCTACCGCACCCAGCCAAAATACCTCATTTGTAATGGCATTGAAACATCATTAATTACATCTTAAATTAACTTGGAAAAAATTGATCTCTTTAAAACTTTGAGAGCCTTCCAGAAGAAACTGACAGACAGAAGACACACATCTATTTTCATTTGTGATGCTCCCTTCACTGGGGCATTGCTGATGGTAAAGCACTAGAAAAGTTAGAGGCCACAGCAATTCAGATAACAGAAAGGGAATTCAAAGAATATGAAATTGCAACAAATCCCTGGAGGATGGACAAGAGGAGGAAGCTGCAGCCTGCACTTTGTGTCAGGGACGGCCCAGAGAACCCCTAGACTAGGAGAAGGCAGATGTCTCAGAGGGTGGAGTAACAGTGGGGCTGAAAACAGGGCATTCATTGAAATTCTGTATATGGAACAGATAACTCCTCTGTCCTTTCCAAAAGCCCACAGGGAGAAAAGCCCAAGGCCAGACATCCATGCCCAAGAAAAATGGGAGGTTCCTTCTTATATAATTGCATCAATTGTCTGGGAAAACCAGTGTGGTCATATGGGTTCTAGAAACGTCTTTTTAAAATTTAAGTTCTGTTTTCCTGCAGTCAATCTTTTCCACAGGTTATCATCTTGATGTCTCTTTTGAGGGTTATATTCTACTTCTTAGTTGCAGAATCCTTTCCTTGGCTAAATATGTTTGGTTTTCCCCATGAACAGGGTGGGTGAATTCCCTCCATCGGCTTACTCTCAGAATTCCCCTCTCATATCTTCCTTATAAGAGATGGTTGATATAAATTTATATGATTATCAACTCTTACTTTTTCTAGTAAGAGTTTCTGTTAATGTCTCCTCCAAGGCTGCTCTCTGACTAATGTGGGGGAAGGTGGGAAGCAGTTTTTCTTCAGATTGGCTCTGTTGTCTACCAAATGTCTGGTACAGATGCCAATAACACAGTCCCTGTGGTTCAGTCATGTAGATAACATCTATGCCCAGATTACAGTCCTGATTTTGTCATGTTGTGGGGGGGCATAGAAAGCAGACTGTGAGACATGTGGGTTTATCTCTTCTTACCTGGCAGTGTGAGTGAGATCATCACTTTTTTATTTTTGGATATATGCAAATTATGTGAGAATTTCCGCCTGAGTGGGAAAGGTCACCATGAGTTGGAATGGTCACAGGAAATCACAGAATAAATTATATCTGAGTGAGGACTTGAAGGATCAATGGGATTCAAATTTTGGAGGAGGTTCCAGTCTGGCACAAGCACAGAGATACAATGCATAAGGTGTATTTGTCATGAAGAGAAGTGCCTTGCTCATATGGAGTATTCATGGTAGATTTGTTTTGAAAGATAGGTAGGGACCAGAGAGTCATGGGTCTTGGGCACCAAAAAAGGTGAGTTTGTGTTCTGTAAATCATAACAGGCAGGCCAGGCATGGTGGCTCATGCCTATAATCCCAGCACTTTGGGAGGCCGAGGTGGGCGGATCACCTGAGGTCAGGAGTTCAAGACCAGCCTGGCCAACGTGGTGAAACCCCGTCTCTACTAAAAATACAAAAATTAGCTGGGCGTGGTGGCACACACCTGTAGTCCCAGCTACTTAGGAGTTTGAGGCAGGAGAATTGCTTGAATCTGGAAGGCGGAGGTTGCAGTGAGCAGATATCGTGCCACTGCATTCGAGCCCAGGCAACAGAGTGAGACTCCGTCTTAAAAAAAAAAAAATTATAACAAGCAGAAATTTCATATGCTGAAAGATGTGTTCCACAAGGATTGAGGCAACCCCCAAAAAGAAGAATCTGTCTTCCCAGTGCTAAGGACAGTCAGCTCAGGGCACCAGGGAGGCACCCACCTGTCAAAGAGCTGGTCCCTGCACATTATGGTCTCCACGGTCAACTCCATCAGTAATCATCTAAGCCAGTGCCGCAAACACAGAGAGCAAGGCAAAGAAAAGCAAAGACCTTTTAGACAAAAGACAACACTAAAGAGTATACAATGGATGAAGGAGACTGCTGTGCCCTGGCACACAAGAACTCAATCACTGGTTTGCAGAAGCGGATGTGGCTTAAAGAGCATCCTGTGGCATGTTAGAAGAAGGAGCAGGAAGAAAGGCAGATGCAAACATAGATATCTGCTCCAGAGGAGGAAGGAGAGGAAGCCATGGAAGAAAACGTGGCTGTGCCCAGGCACGTGATCCAATGTCACAAGATTTCTAAGATTCCACAGCTAGTTTTGAAGCCAGGAACAATTTCTCAAGGAAGTGATGCAGCAACCTGGTATCATGAGTCAATCAGGCCCACTTTAGCCCTCAGGCCTTGGCTTATGTTCAGTGTAAGTGGAAACATGAGAGCCTCATACTACGATTTCAGTTTGCCTTTTTTTAGTTTATTGAGTCCAACGTAAAAGCTGAAATCACAAAGTAAAAATAATAGTCACATTCAAAAGGATCATTTTCTTGTTTCCCTATATTAGAAAGCTGACCTTTAGTATGTGCCCAATTAAAACAAGGGCTTTTTCTTTTTTCTTTTTATTTATTTATTTATTTATTTATTTATTTATTTATTTATTGAGACAGAGTTTCGCTGTTGTTGCCCAGGCTGGAGTGCAATGGCGCAATCTCAGCTCACGACAATCTCTGCCTCCCGGGTTCAAGCGATTCTCCTGCCTCAACCTCCCAAGTAGCTGGGATTAGGCACATGCGCCACCACACCCGGCTAATTTTGCATTTTTAGTAGAGACGGGGTTTCTCCATGTTGGTCAGGCTGGTCTCGAACTCCCGACCTCAGGTGATCCACCCGCCTTGGCCTCCCAAAGTGCTAGGATTACAGGCGTGAGCCACTGCACCCAGCCTTTCTTTTTTTTTAAAAAAAGAAGAATGATTGGTGTTCTTCATATCATATACATAATATACACTTATTATGGAAAAAACAGTTGAATAAAAATTATATTATTTTCATCATACCCAAATATTAGCCTATTGTTGTATTCTTTAATCTTTATACATATATACACATGTACATTTATACATATAAACACTGTAAACATAGGATTCTACTGCCCATTCTGTTTGGTAACCTTAAGCAGTGTAAATTCAAAGATGCCAAGATTTTATCTCTTTTTGCAACAATAATAAAAACAAACAGAATGTAATTTTCTAAAAACCCTTTTCTGCAGAGGTAATCATAGCTATTTGTTAAACTATATCAGTAACTGGGGGTGAGAGAGGTGAGTGAATACTAGTCGTTTGTAGGGAGTGGGCTTTACATTTCACCTTCACTGACTTGCCCAGCCTTACAGAAAGCCATGCAAGTGTTTCGTAGGTCCACAGCTATGAGTTGGAAACCACTTGCCATCAGAACCGAGGAAGAAGAATGAGGTGAACAGGGTGGGCCTGATACAGGTACTGTAGGAATTATCCATTTCCGGAAGTGGGAGGGCAACAAACTCATTTTCAGCTTCGGATACAGTCATGCATTGCCTCAGAGAAAATGCATCATTAGGTGATGTTGTGCAAACGTCATGGAGTGCACTTACACAAACCTAGATGGTATGACCTACGACACACGTAGGCTCTATGGTATAGCTTACTGCTCCTAGACTACAAACCCATACAGCCTGTGACTGTACTGAATACTGTAGGCAATTGTAACACAATGGTAAGCATTTGTGAATCTAAACATAGAAAAAATACAGTAAAAATATCACATTATACTCTTATGGAACCACCATCATATCTGCAGTCTGTTATTGACCAAAATGTCATTATGCAGCACATGACTGTTTTTAAAGAACAAATGAGTCACTTAGGAAAGAACACATGAATCTTTTTTCGTAATTACTCCCCATCACGGGTTCATTTTCCAATTCACTAGCTGTACTTTGAGCATATTCATTCAACAAATGGCAGACATGATGCTATGGGTGCTGTTCTGGGTGCTGGTGACAGTGCAACAAAGCAGAAAAACTCCCACCTTCTTGGAGCTTACCTTCTAGTAAGCTAGAAGGGGGAGGCAAAGAAGAAATAAATACGTGGTATGTCAGATGGTAAGGAGAATAATGGGGAAAATAAAGTAGGGAAGGGGATTGGGGTTGTCTGTGATAAGGGGTGAGATTTTAAACACTGGAGGTCAGAAAAGGCCTCACTGAGAATGTGAGCTTGAGCAAAGACCCAAAGGAAGTGAGGGACTGGGTCATGTGGCTGACTGGCCAACGACATTGCAGGCAGCCAATAGCAAGTGCAGAAGGCCCAAGGCAGGGCGTGCTTGGAGTATCCAAGGGATGTAAGGGAGCATCCAGCTCAGAAAGGCTGCCAGTGTGTTAGTACCCGAGATAGAAGAGAGAGAATCAGAGAAGATGAGACTAGCGGAGAACAGGGGAGCCAGTCTTGGTAGGGTCTTGTAAGCTCCTGAGTGATTTGGGAAAACACTGAAAAGATTTTGGACAAGAGGGCACCATGATCTGATTAGGGTCACTCTGGGAGCTGTTTTCAGACTGCAGCGCCTGTAAACATAAATGTAAGGACCCCAGAAATAGGGGCGTCAAGGCTGGAGATGGCAATCATAATCAGGGAGAGGAGCCATTGGGGAAGCTGAATCTCCAGAGGCAAGAGCAGGACCCACGGAGTCCAGTCTCCTTTACCCACACAGTAATTCTCCTACACCACCAACCTTGGAGGATGGGGTTTGGACTCTTGGCAGCTGCGCATAAGGTGGGCTCTCAGTAAGGCTTGTGGATAAATGGAAGAAGAAAGAGAAAACAAAAAGGATCCTACTGATGGAGGCTGCTGGTCAGGACAGCGATGGGCAGGCCCAGGAGGGAGACAGGTTGCAAACACAGGTTCCCTGTGCAGAGGGGAGAGCAGCCTGCAGAGCTCCCATGTAGGGGAGAGCAGAGCCCTTGACCCCACAGGGGTCCAGGTGCCTGTTCTGATCATCTCCCCAACATGCATGCTTCATTCTGTCATCTGGACCCCTGGGGACTTCCTCTTGGCTGCTCATTATGGTTTTACTTCTCTTTAATTCAGCTTTAGAGCTGTAAGGAGAGACATGGCATAATTAATGAGTTGAGCTTTTAGTTTTTGTCCCAGCTGCCAAGGCTACCGAGGTAAAGATGCTTTTGCAGTTTTTTTCTATTGTTAAATATTGGTTTACTCTTCAAATTTTCCCCCACTTTCCAATATCTATAGAATGTACTTATGTATGTCCTTTAGGGTTTGCCATCTGTCAAAAAGCAAGTACAGATGAGGAAGGAGAGGAAGCAAAGATCAGCTAGGGCACATTGTGGTTGGAAAATATGCCAGCTGTGATTCAATTCTAAATTTACTACAGATTCATTGCAGAATCCAAATCACCTTTTCATAAAATGGAGAAATATTATCTTCTAATCTAACACAGAGAGATCCCGTAAACACCCAGAGAGCAGTCGCTGCCTTCCTGTTATGAAGGCTTATGTTTTCTACACTATTGGTCATCTATCTCCAAGGGCTTCTGGCTGTCCAAGAAACTGTGATGGAGCCAAAAACACTTTCCACCAGAGTCCCCACTATGATGGTCACAACATTTACTTACTGGTTAAGACTGCAACTTCCAGATTGCAACTGACTGCTGGTCTGTGGAATGATTTATATATATATATATATATATATATATATATATATATATATATTTTTTTTTTTTTTTTTTTTGAGATGGGGTCTCACCCTGTCACCCAGGCTGGAGTGTGCAGTGGTGCAATCTTGGCTCACTGCAACCTCCACCTCCCAGATTCAAGTGATTCTCCTGCCTCAGCCTCCCAAGTAGCTGGAATTACAGGCATCTGCCACCAGGCCCAGCTAACTTTTTGTATTTTTAGTAGAGATGGGGCTCCACCATGTTGTCCAGGCTGGTCTCTAACTCCTGACCTCAGGTGATCCACCCACCTCAGCCTCCCAAAGTGCTGGGATTACAAGCATGAGCCACTGTGCCCAGCTGATGATTAGTATTTTTATGTGTTCTTAAACAGATCTGTATTAATTTGCTATGGCTGGCACAAAAAAATTCCACAGACTGGGTGGCTTCAACAACAGAAAATATATTTACTCACAATTGCAGTGGCTGGAAGTCCAAGATCAAGGAGTCTGCAGGACTGGTTTCTGCTGAGGACTCTTTCCTTGTTTTGCAGATGGCTGCCTTCTCAGTGTGTCCTCGAAAAGTCTTTATTCTGCATGCAACCATGTCTGTGACCAAATCTCCTCTTCTTATAAGAACACCAGTCATACTGGATTAGGGCCCACTTTAAAGAGCTTATTTTAACTTAACTCTTTAAAGACTGATATGGTTTGGTTTTGTGTCATCTCCCAAATCTCATGTCGAATTATAATTCGCAGTGATGGAGGTGGGGCCTGGTGGGAGGTGATTGGATCATGGGGGTGGTTTCTAATGGTTTAGCACCATCCCCCTAGTGCTGTCTTGTGATAGAATTCTCATGAGATATGATTGTTTGAAAGTGTATAGCACCTCCCCTCTTCTCTCTCTCTCTCTGTCTCTCTCTCTTTCTCTCTCTCCTGCTCTGCCATGGGAAGATGTGCCTACTTCCCCTTTGCCTTCCACCGTGACTGTACATTTCCTGAGGACTCCCTAGCCATGCTTTCTGTACAGCCTGCTGAACTGTGAGTCAATTAAATCTCTTTGTTTCATAAGTACCCAGTCTCAGGTAGTTCTTTATAGCAATGTGAGAACAGACTAATACCAAGACCTTATCTCCAAACACAACTATATTCTGAGGTACTGGAGGTTAGGACTTCAACATATGAATTTTGGGAGGACATAACTCAGCCCATGATGAGATCTAATTGTTTATTTGACAAGCACCTGCTGAGTACTTGATATGAGCTAGGCAGTTAGCCTAGCTGGTCAGGGCACAGTCAAAACTATACTGATTATGTTAATGAGCCAGTTGGCATAACCCTCCCCAAGGACAGACAAGAGAGTATAGCAGAAGTGGGGTGATGCTTCCATCATTCTTGCTGAAGCAGCCCCAAGCACTTGTGGTAGGTGCACCAGAAGATCATCTTCAGGAAGAAGAAAGACATGCTCAGGTTGGGAGACTGCTGTTAGACACAGTGGGCAAACCCAGGACTATGGTGTCCAGAGATGAAGGCTTCCTCTCTGAGCCACTGTAGGGGGCACACTCCACTGGTGTTGGACTCTGAATAGACTTGGGGAATATGGGCTTAAAGGTCTTAAAGTGAAAGGGCCATATGAATACTTTGAAGATGCTAAGTGATGACATGATTCAGTGCTTGGAATGGCTCAGCCATGGCCATATGAGTAGCAGCTTTTGATCAAGTGTCATGGGAAGGTGAATGCGGGCAGGGGGACCAATGCCTGACAGTTGAGGGTAAAAGACAGGACAGCCCAGACATTCAGTGGTGGATAAGAGCAATACCTAACTCCAAAGCAGAAGCACATGAACACATTGAAAGAACACTGGACACAGTCATGGGCTTTATTTTTATATGCCTTAAACCTTTCATATTTATTATGTGATCTTATCCTCCCAACAAACTTGTTGAGTAAGTAGGGCAGGTATTATTAATCCTATAAGTTAAATGAGGCAATAAGGCCCAAGTCAGTCAAATGAGTGGCTAAGACCACACACTACATTAAATCAAAAGCTGTTTCCTGACTCCCATTCCTGAGTTCACTCACCTTTCAGCACTGAGACTGGTTGTGGGATTTGTCAGTAGTGATTTTTTAAAAAGCTCATGCAGTTCTTTTTGGCTTTGTGACAGAAGATGTTTTGGCTGGGTCTGAGCCTTGCCCAGCTGCTTGTCATATGTCAAGAGTCATAATGCAGGAGTGAACCAAAGGCACCCCTTGTCCTTGAATATGCTGAGTGGTCATGAACTAGAATGGTTTTTGAAGGGAGACTTATGGTTGAGTCACGGCAAGGCAAAAGGAAGCCTTCTTCCCTCCCTCCCTTCCTTTCTTGTCTAGAGCTTAAAGGCAATGTCAAGCAGCCTACTGTCCATTCTATTTCCCCTGGGCCACCCCCTTGGCCTTCCTTGGCTCCTAGACTCAAAGTCTCTCCCAAGCAAAAGATGCACCAGCATTTCCAATCTAACTCCAAAGTCCTGAGGCTACTTCCTCTGGGAAGCCCTTCTTGAGCCCCCAGACCTGAGGCAGGGATCTATCCCTTCTACTCCACAAACCCTAGCACTGTCATAGCACCAGAAGCTTTGACTAGCAATTGCCCATTGGCCTTTCTGGGTTCCCTATGAGATTGCGCTTCTCATGGACAGAGGCTAGTCCTTTTGGACTACAAATTTATTCCCAGGGTGACTACAGTGACCCAGGATACTCCCTTGAAGGAATGGAAAGAGGAAACAGGGAGGCCGAGGCGGGCGGATCACGAGGTCAGGAGATCGAGACCATCCTGGCTAACACGGTGAAACCCCGTCTCTACTAAAAATACAAAAAATTAGCCGGGCGTGGTAGCGGGCGCCTGTAGTCCCAGCTACTCGGGAGGCTGAGGCAGGAGAATGGCGTGAACCCGGGAGGCGGAGCTTGCAGTGAGCCGAGATCGCGCCGCTGCACTCCAGCCTGGGCGACAGAGCGAGACTCCGTCTCAAAAAAAAAAAAAAAAAAAGAGGAAACAAAAGAGTGAGGTTTTACAAGAGCTTCACTCCTGCCTCCCCCAAATTCCACTTCAGCTGTAGGTTGTCAGAAGAAAGAAGTAAGGAAGTGTTGATCATTCTTTGCTGAAGCTGGTCTATGGTGGTTCCATTATGGCCACAATTCCCAAGAAACTTGGACAGAAATGGTGGGTGGAGAGAGGAAAATAAGGGCCACCACAAAGATCACTTTCTTGGAAGGAAACGCGGGTTGAAACCAGAGGGATCCTTTCTCTGACCTTGGAGGATAAATGGGGAAATGGAATTCCAGTGGAATGGTGGTAACAGCTATTGATCATGACAGAGACTAAAAGGGTTGGGTCATGTCTGCCATGGCTCATCTTGGCAGTTGCACTCAGATATGGCTTGCACTATTCAGAATCTGAGTTTGGACTCTGAACCATTATAAAAAGACTGGATAAACTAAATATAAACATGCAGAATGCAAATTCTAAGAAATAAAAAAAAATGTGATGATCTTTATTAAAACCCCAAGGCAAATAGTATTTAAAGAGGACACTGATATACATAGGACTGCTGTCACTTCCTCACTCTAAAATAGAGCCTGTTCCAGCCCATCTCACACATGACTATTATGTAGAACAAGCTGTAAAATATGACCGTAAAGCACTTTGCAGACATAAAATGCTACATGACAAATCCTTACTACTACTTCCCATCACTTAATGTCTGAAAATAAATGTCTACCAATTACAATAATTTTATGTGACTTCGATGGCTGCTGGCTCTTACCAAACATGGAAGTAGAAACTGGGCTATCTGTGGAAGGCACAGAGTGCCTTGTACGTAAAACTGCCTTGCTATAATACATTTGTTTGAGTCCTTCATATTGAAAAAAAATTGTTTGCCTGTCTGGAAGATTCTGAAGGTAGATAAAATGTTTTACTTGCCATTTCGCTCCCAGACCGTATCACACGTAGGTAATTATTATAATATGTTCATTGAATGAATTAAAGATTGCATGAATTAATGATCCAAGATAAACTAAGGGTACAAGCTTCTAGGTAGAATGGGAGCCATCAAATACTTTCCCTAACCCGGACACACACATTGCTTTATGACTGGAGTAGGATCATTGGCATTGTCAGGGAACTGGTCCAAGTTATTTCTATATCATGCATTTCCTCAGAGGTTAGGACTGTCAGGTTTAAATCTTTTCCCATAAAAACTGTTTTTATTTTGCATTCATGATTCAGTTAGCCATTTTCTTGGAAAGTGTTAGCACTATTTCATTGTCCACATTAGGATTGTCTTCACTTCGTTCCCCACCCCCAAACAAAAACAAAAAACACTGCAGTTCATACTCTGGACATCAAACTCCTCACTCTAAAGAGTAGGGGCTGGTCCAAATGCTTCCTTTCAACTTAAGACTCCATGATTTTGTGAGGACACCTCAGTCTAGTGCCTGCCAGTGGAATAGAATCATTTTAACAAGAAAACAGGTTAGGGAAGGAGCTGCTGGGCAGCTTCAGCCATTTAATACCATGCTTGACAATACAATTCACCTTGTACTCCTTCCTGAATCACAGCCTCCAATATGCTGCGTGCCCCCGACAGCTGGGGCACCATTTGCTGAGTTGAGGCAAGATACGCATTTTGCAACCACTCTATCTCACCCACGCAGGAAACCATTCACCTTCTGGCTGACCTAGCAACCAAATCATAAGCTCAACAGAGAAGCTGGGGGTGATGTGGAAGCTTAAAGGGGGAAAGAATAAGATTGCTTTATGCAGGGTTATTGTCCAGATTTATTTATGGCCCCTAAGTTAGACCCCCTCCACATGCTGTTGGCTGAGAACAAGAGGGCTGCTATTTAGCAGTAGGATGATTTTTTTAAAAAATATAAAATCCTTGAAATGATTACATATTCCCAAAATTCAACTTGTAACTGTTTTACAAAACCAGAAGACTGTTCCACAATGCCTGTATGTGTGGTCATTAACTACAGTGGTCTGGGGCATGGAGCAGGATGTGGACACACCACACACTCCTACTGAGATTACAGTCAGGAGCTAGGCATTGCTCTTCATTTTGAGTTTAAAATAAAAAAGAAGACAAGACTGACAAATGAAATATTAATATGGAGCACCCGCCAACAGGTTCATAAAAATTAAGTACTCCTTTTGCCTCTTGCCTCCTCTGCATAGTTTCTCTTTTTGGAATCGAACCAGCTCTCCTTGTCATTATCCAATCGATATGGCCAATGGCAATCCTGGGCACTTGGAAATGACATTTATGTGCTCTCCAGCAGCTGCCATCCATCTCTCGCTTTTCCTGGGAGAGCACAGTCCCTGAGATGACCGAGACTCAGGGCGTTTATCTCCACTTTGATACTATTTCTACTTCATCCTGTGCCTCTGTTGACAAAACAGTCAAGTAGACAGAGTCCTACTTGATCCAGCCTCATGAGAAAAAGACTTCATTCTGCTTCAAATGTCTTCAGGACACATGTGTCAACTATCTGAGGTCCTTGGAAGAGAATCTAAATTCAGGCATGGGATATATCATGGTGATCAAGTTAATCTGCCTAATTTCTCTTCTCCACATGTCAGCAGATAGTAACAGGATATAAGTAAGGAAGACACTTGAAGGTTTTTAAGAGGACAGCATGTGTTTCAGACATGATCTCTCAGCTGTGGCAGGGGAGAGGTGTTAGGTGGAGGATAAAGGACAAGGCTTGGGAAGGTACAGATGGAGATAGAGGGTCCTGAAACACACAATGTGAAGCCGGGCTGTTCCATTGCCCTTTTTACCCCTTCCCCGCTGGGGCACAGCTTCACAGGACAGGGCTTCCCATTTCCTGCTACAGTGCAATTCTGACACCAACTACCAGAGTTGGTGCAGACTTTCCTGGTTGGAAGCACAGACCCCCAAAAAACTCCCCACCCTTTAGACCCCAGCCACAAGCCCTGGGGTTTCCAGGCCACCCACACATGATTGAAATACAAGCCACATTATTGATCTCATCTGCAGCCTTCCCCACTCCCCCAACCCCTCTAAGCATATGATTGGCGTTTCTGGCCTGGATAGTCCCTATGCTGAAACTGTCAAGGGCATAGTCACCTCACCTCACCAGCATGAACTCAGGCCTGGCCTTAGGGGCCCAGCATGAGTACCAAAGACACTCCTATCGCTCAGAACACTCCAAGGGTTTAGAAATTCCCACCCAGGAGCCTAGTCAAAGACCAGCCACATTCTTTGTTGTAGAACGTCTGCCTTTCTCCTCTGGAACTGAGACTTAAAAACAGAGGCCAAGTCACATTTTGTTTTACAAACTTGCTTTACCATGGGATTTCTTTTAGCTCAAACTCCCCAAAGCATTTAAAATCTAATAATAACTTCACTGCATTCGTGTGCTTGCCGAGAGACCGTTCTGCACATGGAGAGCACGGTTCCAGTCCCGGCTTATGGTTTCTTGGCAGGGGGACATTGTGTGGGCTGCCTTAGGGTGTGTGGCCCTGGGAAAATATTTTTACAGGGTCTCATCTCTATACAGAAATTTGAGTTACCTTAAAATCTTGGTGTCAGCACCATTCTAGTGCCTCACACAATCTCATGAAAGGATACTCTGCCGACCGGCAGGCATAATCTCTTGATGGGACACCCTCTTGGGTCTGGGCCCAACTGAGGACCCTGGGACAACCCCATAGGTGCAGGTCTTTAAGCTCCTTGGGTAGCTGGTCACCCCAGGGAAATGGGGTAAATTGAGTATTGGAGACACATGAAGGCCAAGGCCCCTAGGGGTCCCACTGCCCTTTAGGGATGGGAGGGCCTAAGGCATGGAGCAGAGCAGCCCCACCCCCACAAGTCCCTTGAGTTTGCCAGGTTCTCAGGATGTTTCTGGATGTTGGACGAATGCCTTAATCTCTGTGTGTCTCTTTCCTCATCTGTAGAATGGAGGTTATAATAGCAATGACTCCTTAGGGTTAATGGAAAGATAGAACCGAAGTAGAGCCTGGCATAAAATAAGTGCTTTTTTAAGGTATTAATTCCGTTTCATGGTTTTTTTTTTTTTTTTTTTTTTTTTTTTTTTTTTTTTTTAAGTCTTGCTCTGTCACCAGGCTGGAGTGCAGTGGCACGATCTCGGCTCACTGCAACCTCCGCCTCCCGGGTTCAGTGATTCCTCTGCCTCAGCCTCCCGAGTAGCTGGGACTACAGGTGCACGCCACCATGTTTTATGGGGTTTTATAAAAAATTAAATGTTAACCTTTAATCCACCCAACTCTTTAAATAACTTCCTATTTGAATTCACATTTCACTGATGAGGAAATTGGGATTTTTAGAAAATTAAAGTAATTTGTCCAAGGTCACATATATATCTGGTAAGTGTCTGAGTCAGAGTTTGAGCCCAGTTAAGTCTGACTCTACTGCCTGATTATTTTACTATATGCTCCACTATCCCTCAATTGCTCGAAACTCAAATTTATGTTATCTTTAAAAAAACCATGGCTAATGCATACAAAGGCACGTTTGTGTGGCCTGATATCAGCATGGGGGCATTCTTTCTGGGGTGCAAGCTGCAGATAACTTTGGCTGCTAGAGGACCTTCTAGAAGCAGGAGCTGCATGGCAGAGTGGAGCCTATAATGCAAGCTTGCCAGCTTATTAGCAAGCATGTAAACACCAAGAAAGTGACACTACAATTATTTCTCAACCCAGCACCAAGTGCCACAACCTGTCTTCCTTTAGGGACTAACAGAACTTTATTCAACCTTCCCTGTAGGCTCCACCAAGCACTGGAGGTTCCTCTGTTCCTGCAATCCCTTGGGGGATATTTGAACATTATATTCTTCAGCCTTGGCTTTGGGAGGGTGGAATTTACAAAGGAGCTCCCAGCCAAGCTTAGGTATGGGGAGGAATCACTTAGCAGCCTGCCTATGAACAGAGTTGAAAAGGGAATAGATAATTCCAGGAGCAGCCTGAAGGCAGTTTCAGCAGAAGAAGGGCACATTAAGATATAGAAGAGAACAACAATTAGAAGTTAGAGGAATCCACAAAAGTGAAAGAAGTCATTGAAGTTGGGAAGAACCCATTAGGCTTGGGCCCTTGGGCACAGCTAAGAATATCTGTGCCAGGTACAAATTCCAAGCCTCATACTTAGAGATTTGGAGCAGAAAAGCTAAGAGGAAACGCAGGGAAAAGAAGTCACTCCTACAGCAAGCAGAAGCGAGTTACCCAACCAGGGAACCTCCCTGTTAGAACTATTCCAGTTATACCAATGTCAAGGACATCACCAGTGAGTTCAGATATTTAGTAGCCAAGGAAATATGCCTCTAGAAAACTGAGGTTCTAGATCAGTGAAGCTGGAAGCACCTCAGTTATGATTCTGACATAGGTAGGAAGGGATGACAAAGACATATTTTTGTGACTTTGTGGGTCTGTGCAGAGCAAAACAGTTTCAAATGATTCCACAAAGCAAAATGATTCGTCTTCTGAAAACTGAATGTGAGAAAAACCACCAAAATCCACCTATTCAAACTTTCAGGTGATTGAGTCACGTCAGGATAAGTATAAGTTGGCATTTTTATATTTGATTCAGAGGTGGTCATAAAGACCTTTTCAAAGAGGTAGGAAATGAGGCCAGTGAGAGCAACTGTGAATGGGAAATGTCAGGACACCAGAGATAGTGCAAATGAAACAGAATTGAGCCAAGAGCTGCAGCAGGTAATTTCAAAAGGCTAAGGTCATCCAATCTCCCTCCGTGGGGGTGTGAGCTTTTCAGCAACCAGAGAGTTTGCAGCTAACACTTCCTGGGGAATTAGTCAAGGTCATATGGGCTGACTGGAGGTAAAAAGGAGGCTGATCACTAAATCTCCTTGCTGATGAGGAGCTGGATCTGAGAATGCAATCTAGCCATGAGTTCTGGAAGGTTTCCATGACTCTCTCCACTCAAAATCGGGTGCTGGCTATGGTGTCACTGACATTTGTCTTCATGGTTCTTTGCCCTTTCTCTTTCAGCTCCTAACAGGACCCACTTCTACCCCCAAACACTGGCCTCTCTCGCCATGCAAGGCCTCCATTCATGGAGTTGACTGAGAAGGCAAATAATTTATGCTCAAGGTTTGGTCATTTAAAGCATTGCTTTCCTATCCCCAGAACTATCTTTGTTGCTGCTGTTGTTTTTGTTAATAATAGTAATTAGATACAAAAGACAATGAATGTATCAGGAGGGGATGTAAAGGAGCCTTCCCTCTTCCTTCAACCCCCACTGCATTCTAGTGCTAATCACTCTGGGTTTAAAGCCAGGAAGCTCAACTTCTAGCCTCTGCCACTTAGGACACTGTGTGATCTTCAACAAGTCATGACACCTCTCGGGAGGCTTATTTTTCTCATCTAGAATGAGGAGGAAAGGATGATTTCTAATAATCTGCTTCAAAAATCTTCTAAATTCTATGAGCTCCGTGTGAGTGAAAGCCAAGCCTGTTAGCATGTCTTGGATCTAACTCCACAGAACACCGCAGGGGGTGTGCAGTGCCTTTGCCAATGTCTATTATGTCTACAACACATTCTCCCTGAGAGTGAGACAGGAAAGCCAATGGAAAACGTTACAGAGCCCACCACACTGGCCTGGATTGCATGAGACTGTGGCCAGAAGCGAGGATTTCAGACATCATGGTCATTGATGTGAGCAAACTTTTGCCTTCTCTACTAATTGAGATGAAGGCAACAGGAAAAGAATGGCCATGCACCCTGGGAGGCAGCCCAGCTCCACATGGGCCCAGTGGAATATTTGCTGGCCTATTTGGAAGTTAGAGAGAAAAGATTATGAAAGTAAATACTATTTAAAAATTTTTCTTTTTTTTTTTTTGAGACGGAGTCTTGTTCTGTCACCCAGGCTGGAATACAGTGGCATGATCTCTGCTCACGGCAAGCTCCGCCTCCTGGGTTCACGCCATTCTCCTACCTCAGCCTTCCGAGTAGCTGGGACTACAGGCGCCCGCCACCACGCCCAGCTAATTTTTTGTATTTTTAATAGAGATGGGGTTTCACCGTGTTAGCTAAGATGGTCTCGATCTCCTGACCTTGTGATCTGCCCACCTCGGCCTCCCAAAGTGCTGGGATTACAGGCATGAACTACCGTGCCCAGCCTAAAAATTTTTCTTTCATACAAAGCCTAGTTCTCTCCCCAGCACTTATTTTTTATTATTATTATTTTTTAACAGCTCTAGTGACCACAGATTCCATACCAGGAGTCATTTTGCTCAAGAAGTACTTTTCCTGGTCTATGTTAGGCTTTTCATAACAGTCGATGATGAAAAGTCTTGACAGCTGCTGTTTGCATTGTAGGTGGGGACAGGTGAGTTGACATGGAATTGTTTGTGCTTCTTTTGTGCAAACATTGAATAACAGTTACCTTCAGTTGAACTTTACCAGGTCAAGAAATTCCACTTTAATAAAACCTAACTCAGGCTTCCTATTAAAACAGAGGTGAAGAACCAGGGGCGCCTTGAGCTAAGGAGGAGAGAGGCCTAAAGTTGGTTTTACTGGCACCCAAGAAACCATCATTCTTTGTTTCTTGAGCTCAAAGCACTTGTTTTTGCCTACGAATTAATTATTAGGAGGTGATTTGAACCCGTGGTCATGCCTACTAGGTATAAGGCTTCTGATAGAAGACAGATTCAGTAATCACTGCCTGGCATTTCCAGTTGAAAAGGGTCCACCCCAAAATTAGTTATGGGATGCCTCTCAAGGCTTCCATGAGAGATCCAGGCAGCATCTCCGAGGAGAGTGTTCAATCTAATCTCAGGACAGGGGAATGGCCTTATTTTGTGATATTGTGCTTTGTCCCCATGACGGGTCATCCCTTTTTCTCTGCTGATTTCTTTCTGCTCTAGGTGAAATCCTCCAGTACGTGGCCCTGGCCCTTCCGGGAGGACCTTCCTGTTTGGCATGCACAGCCAATGAGCTGTGAAGCACTTGCAGAGCTCAAAATAGAAAGTCTGCAAGCACACTGCTCCCCAGGGCCTAGTCTGTGCCTGCTTGCTCAGATGCTAGGGGAGTGGGGCTAGGAGGGCCGGCTTCTCTGAGAAGGCCAGGCACCTTTCAGGGGTGGGCCTCAGTGCAGAGGGAATATGATTGCTAAGTCACCACCCTCATAGTTTTAGAAATCATTTCAGATCTCTGCCAATTGCAACATTATAACTAAGCCCTGGATTCCCTCCCCAACCTAATATCAAGAAAAAGTTGATTGCTTTCTAAGATTAAACCAGCTAAACACACAAATTTTAGGATTTCTGAGGGTATGAAAGGTACTTGGCTATTATCAACATCAGAGAGAGCTATTAAGAGGAAAGAAGGGGAAGAGCTTTGAACAAACAAAAGCCTTTCTCCTGCTCTGCTAATCCACCTTGAGATATGATGACTCATGTCGAGTTGCCTTGGTAACCATGACGTCAGAAGAGGGAGTGTGTGTGTATGTGTGTGTTGGTGGGGAATCCTTTCACACGTCCATCCTGTGCCTCATCCTGTGAGTGCCATGAGCTGACCCTGCATGCACAGACATCGCCCTTTTGCACCTGGAATCATTTTGCTATTGCAGGGTCTGACCACGGGCTGCTTGTCATTGATCATTTTCTTGGGGTGAGCAGTTTTGATGGACAGGGTGTCTGTCAGTGGCCCAAGGGCACCCAGAGTATGATCAGAGACTCTGCTAGCCTCCTTCTCCATCCCCTCCCCAGCTTTCCTGCTGGGGTCTGTGGTTTGTCTTCATCAAACGAAGACCTGCAGCCCCAGGGTGGTTTTAGTTTTTGGGAAGTCTGGTCTGTCCTCCCAGGCTGTAAGTCTGGCCCTGTATAATGACAACCAGGTGGGCACATTGAATCAGAATTAGAAAAGGCATCACCAGCTGGGGAAGGGGGTGTAGACTGTGTGGGTCCCTAGCTTGCCTTTTTTATCTCTAAGTCCAAAGAGAAACTCCTCTAATCCCTGGTTTGCTCTGGAATGCCAGCTGCAGAGAAACAGCCACAACAGTCACTTGTAAAGAGAGGCCCTTTCTTTGAAGCAGAATTTGCAGCCATGGCTAAACATTCAGGTGAAATCATATTACAGCAAATCCTTTCAGGCCGAAGTGGCTCAGCAGAGCTATTCTATATCCTGGGAAGACTTCGGGATTCAGCGAATCCTCTGCGATGAATGATCCTGTGCAGTGACTATTTTATGTGGTTCTAGTCCAGTAACTGTTACCCATACTGTGAAAAGCTCTGTAAAATGAGATCTGTCTGAGAATAACTTGTATCCAAGAAGCAGTGGTGTTATTAAGAGGCAACATGGGGGCCGGGCGCGGTGGCTCATGCCTGTAATCTCAGCACTTTGGAAGGCCGAGGCAGGCAGATCACAAGGTCAGGAGATCCAGACCATACTGGCTAACATGGTGAAACCCCGTCTCTACTAAAAGTACACAAAATTAGCCGGGCGTGGTGGCGGGTGCCTATAGTCCCAGCTACGCAGGAGGCTGAGGCAGGAGAATGGTGTGAACCAAGGCAGCTGAGCTTGCAGTGAGCTGAGATTGCGCCACTGCACTCCAGCCTGGGCGACAGAGTGAGACTCCGTCTCAAAAAAAAAAAAAAAAAAAAAGCAACATGGAGCAGTTAAAAAATTGACCAGTTACAAGTAATGTGACCTTAGACAAGTCTCTTTAATTCTGTGACCTCAGTTTATTTATTTTTAATAAGTTTATTTATTTTTAATGATGAGGCTAGTAGCACTTTTCAGGGTCTTGGTGAGAATTCAGGGAGAGAGTGTGGGAAAGTGCTTCGTGGTCTGGGATGGAACATTCCAACAGAGGCTATTACCATTGCTTCAGATGAGACTTGAATCCCAGCCAATACAAGTACATCAAAATGCTGGACGTTGACATTGTCTTGTCATGAGAATTGTAATGTCTTCCATTATTCCATGAATGCTATCAGTAGAAAATTTGGAATTTTTTTCTAGCTTTATTGAGGTATAACTGACAAATAAAAATAGTATGTGTCTAACATGTATACTGTAATGATTATATATATATATATGTATAGAATTCTTACCATAATCAAGTTAATTAGCATTAATCTCACAGTTACCCTTTAATTTTTTTTTTTGCAGTGAGAACACTTAAGATCTACTCTCTTAGCAAATTTCAAGCATACAATGCATTGTTATTAACTATAGTCATCATACTGTACATTAGATTTCCAGAACATATTCATCTTATAACTGAAAGTTTGTACCTGTTGATCAACATCTCCTCATTTCTCCCACTTAAAATTTGTAATTTTATTTTATTTATTTAGTTTTTTTGAGATGGACTCTCGCTCTGTTGCCCAGGTTGGAGTGCAGTGGCGTGATCTCAGCTCACTGCAATCTCTGCCTCCCTGGTTCAAGCAATTCCCCTGCCTCGGCCTCCCAAGTAGCTGGGAGTACAGGCATGTACCACCATGCCCGGCTAATTTTTGTATTGTTTTAGTAGAGATGGGGTTTCACCATATTGGTCAGGCTGGCCTCAAACTCCTGACCTCAGGTGAGCCACCTGCCTCGGCCTCTCAAAGTACTGGGTGTGAGCCACCGTGCCTGGCCCAAAATGTGGAATTTTAAATAAGAATCTCACACATTATACTTAAGGTATGTGCTTTCTAGATCCCTTGCTGTCGTGCAACCAGGAGCATGAAGTCATAAATGGGGTGGGGTTGGGGAGGGAGAGGGAGGGAGGCACTCCCTGACACTTCCTGCAAGCTGTTGTTACTAAGGCAGCAGAGTAGAAAGATGAAGTGCAAGGACCTGGAAATCAGACACACCTGGGTTCCTGGTGAGCTTCACTGCTTCCTGGTCTCTGATATCAGGCAAGTCACTTAACCTCTTCAATCTTCAGTTTTGTCTTTTATAAATGAGCCATAATAATGATTTATGAGTTTCTTGTGACATTTAAATAAACCAATGTATGTAAATGCTTAATCCACTGACTGGTACACAGTAAGTGCTCAAAAATGTTGGTTATTAATAATTCCCATAATCAATTGATGTTTCCTCATCATTGAATGTTTCTTTTAAATATGGAACTTAGAAAACATCACTCAGCTCTGAGTTCATTTTGCTGAAGGTTGAAAATATTAGAGGACACCTATATCTGTCACCATTTCCACTGATGACTTCAAAGTTGCAGTGCTTAGCGCACATGTCATAATGCAAAAGCATCTAGCACAGTACCCAGCATGGCACGTGGTGAGTGTTCTGGAAACTTACAAGAATGGGATGAGAACATGTAAGCATCTGCAATGCCAGGCTCAGGAATTTGGAATGACTTTGATAACCAACATGGTGCCATCAATGGTTACTGAGCCATAGAGGTGCAAGATCATATCCAGGCTTTAGGAAGACAACTCTGAGAAGAGGTTGCAGAATGAGTTGAGGGGGAAAATGTCTGGATGCTGGGAGATTATGGCTGTGCTGCCAGAGATAAGATTATGGCAGTATAAGAACAGAGAGAATGGGATACACTGAGAAGCATGGCAAGTGTAGGACCTACAGGAGGAACTTGGAGCTGGGGGTCAGGGTAGAGAAAGGAGTGATGGTGAGTGGAAGGTTTCTAGGTCAGGCAGGGTGAAGATGGGCAGTTAAGGAAGGACTGTCGGGGTGGGGAGGCCCCTGTTCATCTGCACTGTTGGGTTTGAGGAGGGGCTGGTGAAGGGGCATGAATGTAGAAATACAGTTTAGAGCAAAGAAGAGAGGGCGGGGCTTGAGCTAAAGTAGAGGGGTCTTCTACCTAAGGATTACTGCTGAGGCCATGGGATTCTCTGCCCATATCCAGGTTAGGAGGGAGGAGCAACCCCAGGGGAAGAGTGGTCAGAGAGACCACTTTCTGTGAAAAGGGGACAGTGGAGTATCACAGACATCAAAGGGATAGAGCATTAAGACTTGTCCAACCAGACTTGTTGCAAGAGTCAAGGGAGGCTCCAGAGTCAAGGAGGCTGGATTTGTAATGAGGATGCCCCTCAGAACCCTAAGCCATCCCCTTTAAAGAAATGGAAGGAATGAAATCATGTCCTTTGCAGCAACATGGATGCAGCTAGGGCCATAATCCTAAGCAAATTAATGCAGGAACAGAAAACCGAACACCACATGTTCTCACTTATAAGTGGGAGTTAAGCATTGAGTATACATGGACATAACTGTGGGAACGATAGATGGGACCATCAGAGGGTGAAGGGAGAGGGAAGTGGGTTACAAAACTACCTCACGGGTACTGTGCTCACTACCAGGGTGACGGGATCCATACTCCAAACTGCAGCATCACACAATATTCCAAGGTAACAAATCTGTGCATCTACGCACTGAATCTAAAATAAATGTTGAAATGTAAAAACAAAACGAACAAAAAACAGCAATTAATGGGTTCACAAAAATATAAGAAAACACAAGATAGAGGGGGTGGCGAATACAGTAGCACAGTTTTACATGTATGAAATACTTAGGATATGCATGAATATGATGATAAATATGGTACTTTTTTTAATACACGGATGTGCAGTTAAGTAGTCGGGGAGGGGGCTGAGTCCAGAAGTCAGTCAGCTGCCCAGATACGACCAAGCATACCTTGGCTATAGATACCAACTGCTTTAGTTTCAAGCCTTGCCAAGAATGATACCCTCCCTTCTGGAAGCTGCGTGTAAAGGCTCATGTTTCAGGAGAGGAGCAGGAGTCGGGAGACTTGGTGGGAACCAGCTGTGCGACCTGGGGCAGGTTTCCTTTTCCTTTCAGGTCCTTATCTCTAAAATGAAGTGATTGATCCAGGTTATCTCCAGAGTGTCTCAATACACTCACTTCTTCTCCCTGTGATAGGAGAAATAAACAAAATATAGTTAATTTGGTAAAAAAGATACCAAAGACAAAACCCCATCAAATCTCAATTGTTTTCCTCTCTGCTTTCCCACCTACATCTAAGGGAATGTCCTCTCCTGCTTCAGTGTCTGGTCTTGGCTAGGACATCACGATGCTTTGCTTCCAAATCTAGAAGACAGAGGAGAGGGGAAAAGAGGAAAGATAACATGTCACTTTTCTTGCCTGCCAGTGATTATATTTGGAGGGAAGGTGAGGAGCAGACGATAAATCTTATTGGATCCTCATCTCACAATAATTCTGTAGAACATATAGAGCAGGGACGATTTTCCATATTTTGTGGTCGATAGAACTGAAACCAGAGAGGTTCAGTAGCCTCCTGAAACTCCTGCAGATAACTAATTAAACATTTACTGGATACCTCCTATGCTTGACTTCAGGGAAACAAAGATGAATAAGGCACTAGCTGTGTGATCTGAAGCAAATGACTTAACATTTCTGGCTTTAGTGTTATCCCCTATAAAAAAGAGGGGACTCCATTCTATGATTTGCTAGGTCCTTATGTTTCACATATTATGGTTTGGTCTCTGCATCCTCCTGTTCCATCACAGGAAAAGGCTGAAGCCTTTGCCTGGGCTCTAACTGGGTCTAGGTTGTGTGAACCTCTAGATGCAGACATCGGGGGCAAGAGGTGAGTCGCTGGTTGCCTTCCAGGCAGATGTAGTTAGAGAGTTGGCTGCAGAAAATGATTTCGCTCTGTGTCTCCAAGATCATAGGCAGGTGGGAGCCCAGAGGGAGGCTATCAGGATTCACATCAGATTGTTAGTTGAGGGGAGTTATTATTTTTAAGCCAGCACCAACTTAAGCACTGCCTTGCTTGCTTGCTGTCTGGGACATTCTTTAGTGTTTTTTCAGCCCGCAGCTCCCATGGGCAATACAGGTCACTCTTCAGTCAGTTCCCCTGATCTGTCCTTGCTATTTCAATCCTTATACTTGCGAAGGATCAGTAGCAAAGGAGAAACCAGACTAAAGAAAGATAAAATTATCAATGTCAATATGAACATAACTATTTGTATGCAAGTTCATGAACACACTTCGCTGTGAGCCCACGAGAATGTTCAGCATAACCACCTGCCAGGGTTGTGGTGGGGTGAGGAGCAGGGCTGACTGTCTGGCTCTCACTTTCTTTTCTTTTTGATATGGTTTGGATCTCTGTCCCCACCAAATCTCATATTGAACAAAATCGCCAGTGTTGGAGGTGGCACCTGGTGGGAGGTGATCAGAACATGGGGGTGGAGTTCTCATGAATGGGTTAGCACCATCCCATTGTTCTCATAATGGTCAGTGACTGAGTTATTGTGAGATCTGGTTGTTTAAAAGTGTGTGGCACCTTCCCACTCTCTCTCTTCCTCCTGCTTCAACCTTATGTAGTGCTGGCTCTTCACTGTAAGTTTCCTGAGGCCTCCCCAGAAGCAGATGCTGCCACGCTTCCTGTACAGCCTGCAGAATCATGAGCCAATTAAACCTCATTTCTTAATAAATTACTCAGTCTCAGGTATTTCTTTATAGCAATGTGAAAATGGACTAATACATTTTATTTTATTTTATTTTTTTATTTTATTTGGAGACAGGGTCTTGCTGTCACCCAGACTGGAGTACAGTGGTGTGATCATAGCTCAATGCAGCTGGGCCCAAGGGATCCTCCTGCCTCAGCCTCCTGAGTAGCTGGGACTACAGGCTCATGCCACCACACCCGTTTATTTTTTTTGTTTTGGAGACAGGATCTTGCTGTGTTGCCCAGGCTGGTCTTGAACTCCTGCCTCAGCCTCCCAAAGTGTTGGGATTACAAGTGTGAGCCACCACCTCTGGCCAGGCTCTCACTTTCTAGGTGGCATTGTGGGTGAAGTATCAACCTCTGTGCTTTGGTTTCCTTGCTGTAGAGTAGAGATAATAATAGTACCTACCTGAAAGAGTAGTTTTGAAGACACAGTGTCCTAATTCATGTGAGGTGCTTAGAGCAGTGCCTGGCACACAGTAAAAACTTAAACTATGAACTGCTCATCAGTTCTTATTATCTATAGGCCGTTAGTTCACAGGCTCACACAATGTCTCTTCACAGCTCTTTGAGGATCCACAATTCTAATCATAATTCAGCCTTTCTTCTTAGAGTAGCTTCAGATCCTGACATTAATTTCCTCAGACATTTAAGGAATCACGAGGTAATGGGTTATTATCTCATTTTTTTTCAAAGTGAAAGCAAGTTTATTAAGAAAGTAAAGGAATAAAAGAATGGCTACTCCATAGACAGAGCAGCCTATTATCTCATTTTATCAATGAAAAGATTTGAATAAAAAATTAAGTATCAGTTTGTGCCCAGTCTCCTTGGGCATCCATAACAGATATGGTAGAAGTATATAGACTCTTGCCTGTCCTGGCTCATCTTACTGTCACCCCTGCCAGCTGTAAGGGTGCACAGTATTCTCATCATGCTGGAAGGATCCTGTCCTACCCCTGGAAACATGGCTGGCCTTTTCAGCCAAAGCACCATCCCCAGAGACTCCAGTCCTGGAGCCCTCATGACACCCATGTCCTGAGGGACCCTTACCCTCAGTCCCCAAGTTGAAAGTTTGCTAGGTTACAGCTGACCCTCAGGAGGCCTAGAGCAAAGGAAGGGAACATGTCCTTCCTCTCTGTGGCCAGGAAGGGTCCCTGCACATCCAATCAGCCAAAGTGCTGCTGTCCTTGGAAGGCTAGGGTGCGAGTGGCGAGAGGGGTTTGTTAGGACCTGTATTATTTTTTTCTTCAATCAAAATAAATGTTCATTAAAAGGAAATAAGTTTAGATTATTCAAATAAACAAAAATAAACCAAATATAACCTATATGTCCTATAATATAAAATATTCACCTATAACTTTACTTATTTCTCATAAATACCCAAAGGAGTAGAGTAGCACCAATGGAAGTATGCTATACAAATAGATTTCAGCATTTTTAAAGTAGAAATTTTTAGTGGCATAAAATCTGGAAGAATGGATGGGCTGCCTTTAGAGGAAACAAGGTCCTAGTTTCTGGGGAGGCTTCACAACATGCAGGGTAACCATTTCACATGGAAGCGGGTTCCATTTTAATGGCCATCCAAGAATTAAAATGAGAATTTTGCAGTAATGAAATAGGCTCCTTCCAAAATAGCACCGAACACTCTCTCTGCAGTGTGTTCAATCAAAATAGCTGTCATAATTTTTTTTAATTGCCCAAACACCTGGTTCATGATAAAACTCCTTGGGAATCTTTAAGATGAAGGAAGGGTCTATGTTAGCTGGGAGTGAATCCTGTGTGAGCAGATCACATCAAAAGGTCATGCTCAAGTATGTTGTATGTTCCAAGCACAGCTCTGGATGCTTAGGGAAATAAAGTGTCATAAGACAGGGGTCCTTATCCCCTGGGCCATGGACCAAGACTAAGCCACGCAGGAGGTGAACGGCAGGCAAGCCAGGAAAGCTTGTCTGTATTTTCGGCTCCTCCCTATCACTCGCATTACTGCTTGAGCTCTGCCTCCTGTCAGATCAGCAGTGGCATTAGATTCTCATAGGAGCACGAACCCTATTGTGAATTGCGCATGTGAGGGAACTGGGTTGCATGCTTCTTATGAGAATCTAAGGCCTGATGATCTGTCACTGTCTCCCATCACCCCCAGAGGGGACCAGCTAGTTTCAGGAAAACAAGCTCAGGGTTCTCATTGATTCTACATTATGGTGAGTTGCATAATTATTTCATTATGTATTACAATGTGATAATAATAGAAATACAGTGCACAATAAATGTAATGGGCTTGAATCACCCCGAAACCATCCCCCCACCCACCAGTCCATAGAAAAGTTGTCTTCCATGAAACTTGTCCCTGGTGCCAAAAAGGTTGGGGACCACTCATATAAGACACAGCCAGCACCCCAAAGGAGCTTATAGCTATTTGGGATATAGGGAATTGAGAGGTCAAACCCATTCTCCTTTTCTCTAATATGGTAATACTGAAAAATTACTTGCCCAGGTCGCAGGGAGTTAGAGGAAGAGCTGGGAGGAGAATCTGGAATTGAACATGAGGAGACAGAAAAGGGAGAGTCCCAGGGAGCACAGGGGGTGCTGGGAGTGAAAACTGACACTGGTGGCTCTGGTTCATAGAAAGAGATGCCCTCCGGATCATTTAAGGTCAGGAGTTTGAAACCAGCCTGGCCAACATGGCGAAACTCCATCTCTACTAAAAATACAAAAATTAGCCTGGCTTGGTAGTGGGCACCTGTAGTCCCAGCTATTCAGGAGGCTGAGGCAGGAGAATCTCTTGAACCCGGGAGGCAGAGGTTGCAGTGAGCCAAGATTATGCAACTGCATTCCACTCCAGCCTAGGCAACAAAGTGAGACTCTTTCTTAAAAAAAAAAAAAAAAAAAAAAAGCCGTCTTCTGCACCCTCTACTACCCCTGGTTCTAGTTCTAACTTTGAGTGGAAAACATCTCATGTTCACTGTCTTTCCTGCTGGCACCAAGACCTTGGCTCTTTTGGGCAGTGGTAGACATGGGATTTCTCTCTCTCCTCCCACACTCCCACCCTCCCTTCCAGAAAGCTGAGGCCCCAAGGAGGGAGGGCCTCTGTCTGCAGCCTGACTGGTACCCCAGTCCTTGCCTTTTCTGTGCTGGAGCTGCACAAGGCCATTTCGTGTCCCATTTAGCAAGTGTGGAGAGCTCTTTGATTTGGTAGATGATAGCACAAGTCATCCTGTCTCCGATGGTGGGTGAAATACCATCTGATTCAGAGCTTCTTTCGTGACTTCCTCCAGAACCGACTGCCTCATTTGTGTCTCCAAAAATAAAAATAGCAAGGGTTAGATCCTATGCCTCTCCTATTCCCTGGGGATGCTGTGATTGAGTGATGACTTTACCAGCAAAATATCGAGGCTGTCGGTCTGTTCCCTTTTGATCAGAATCTAGAAAAAGCAAGTGGAGCAAGTGATGTTATTCTCTGAACTTCGCTGCAGTCCTCCCCAGGGGTTAAGGGCTCAGGACCCTGTTTGGCCCAGCGTTTTCAGCTTGTTCATTTCATGTTGAGCTTTGCTTTCTACAAATCAGTGTGTGGACAAGATCAGTCTTTTAGCAAAGCAGTAGTTAAGGCAGTGCTATGGGGGAAGTGTCAGGGGGGACTACAGTGCCTGGATTTCACCATCAAAGATCCCTTCCATTGGTTACTTCTCACTAAGATCCTTTCAAAAGGTCCTTTGAAAAGAATACAAAGCTTTGGAAAGAGCCACACGAATGTAAACTAAGGTGTGGCAAGGTTATGTTACTCTAGGTCAGAGGTATGGGTGTCAGGAGGCTCAGGGAAGCCATTAGGTCCTAGAGACATTAGGTCTGAGACAAGAAGCTTCCAGAGTCTAGGAACTCAGTGGATAACAGCAAAGACATCAACCCCAGGACAAGGCAATGCCTGTAACCCTGCTGTTATTGCCCATTTGCTCCAGGACACCATCCTCCCTCACCGAGGCTTAGTATTAGGGTTAGAATGGGTGCTCATGATAGAGTATGTATTAAGTTCCTGTCCAGGCTCAGTGGCTCACACCTGTAATCCTAGCACTTTGGGAGGCCAAGGTGGGCAGATCATTTGAGGTCAGGAATTTGAGATCAGCCTGGCCAACATGGTGAAACCCTGTCTCCACTGAAAACAAAAAAAAATTAGCTGGGCGTGGTGGTGCATGCCTGTAATCCTGGCTACTTAGGATGCTGAGGCAGGAGAATCACTTGAACCTGGGAGGTGGAGGTTGTAGTGAGCTGAGATCATGCCACTGCACTCCAGCCTGAATGACAGAGCGAGACTCCATCACAAAAAAAAAAGTTCCTTTCTTTTCCATTAAAAAGAACTCATCTCATCTATGTGTCCAACTATATATAGATCCCAGATCACATTTGAAGATAAAATATCAGGGATCTCCCAGGCCCCTGGCAATGTGGAAAGGAACCAGATTACATACAGGGGCAGTGTGAGTCTCCTTCTTAAGCTCCCCTCCCACCCCCAGAGCAGCAGCCACCTGTCTTTGGAAGAAATGGATCATGGCCGGCACTCCACGCTTGGACCCGTCTCTGAAAGCACAGCTTGGCTTCCATCATTCTTATGATCCCTTTTAATAACAAACAGCAGCCTTCCAGAGCAATAAGCTCAGCCTCTTCCATTGTTCCCACAGCCACAGACACAGGCATGCCTGTGCCCTCTCCTTGGTTCTTGCCATGGACAATCCTAGGGACAAAAAAAGTAGTGTTTCATGGCAACCTTGAGATGGCATGCACCTAGAGGTAAGTCTACAGACAGGGTCAGTATTAGATATAAATTGCAGTGAGACTTGTCTATGGCACCCTCCATTGGCACCTTTCTGCCTTTTACACCTTTCCTGTCCTTTCTCTCCTGCACTTAGTGCTTTGATACACATAGTCCAGGGATGGCAAATACATTCCATTTTCAGTGCCAACTGTGATTAATCAGTAGGGATCACTGTATTGAGAAAGAAAAAACAGCGGTATGTGAATTCTGGAATCAATTGCTAATGTCTGCCATGGAGATATTATTTGCATCTTCTCATTCATCCATGACCCTTAGAAGGCAAGACTGTGGGTTATTCAACTTCAGATCTCTAATTATTGGTGCCCAATTATGTATTATATTTGAACAGTATCTGTAACAACTGTGGAATCTTTTATGTCTAATTTGCTTGTTTTCAGCTCTGCCCAAATTTCAGCTGTCACAGAATGAGTGATCCTCATAGTATAATGGAAATGCATCATCTCAGTTTCCCCATGGCCTGAATGTCCATACAAAATGAGAGCCAGTAGAGAAAAACAGAGGACGTGAGGAGTTTTTAAAAATTGAGGAAAAGTGGAAGGAAAAGTAAGGATGAAGGTGAAGATGAAGGAATATGTCAGAGATGCTAGCACTGGCATCCCCCACCACACAGTACCATGTACTGCTAAAGAACTCTAGAACATACAGGTAAGTGCTATGCTGCAGCAAACTTAAACAAACTTGCAAGAGCTGCTTGTTAAATTTTCAGGAATTTTGTGAGTCAGTTGACATCATGTTCGTAGATTGAAATTAGCTATGATGACAGTATTTATACCATAGGAATTGGCAAAGGCTAAAACATTTACTAGTACCACTTTGCATATATGCCCCCAAACTCTGCGTGTAGATAGGAATGAAATCATTAGTACCAGTCGATAGCATCCAAAATAGGCTAAGCTGTCTTCAGTTTTGAGTCTTGGTGGGGAAGTAGGACTGGCACTCTGGCTACCCTTCATGCCCAGTGGGGATCAGTGGTTGCTGTTCTTTTCAGTGTTCTAGGATTTGATTGGCCCTCTCATATGATTTGGATGTTTCGTCCCCTCCAAATCTTACATTGAAATGTGACATCCAATGTTGGAGATGGTCTTACTGGGAAGTCATGGAGGTGCATCCCTCATGAATGACTTGGTGCCTTGTCCTCATCGTAATGAATGAGTTCTCACTCTATGAGTTCACTAGAGAGCTGTTGTTTAAAAAAAGCCCGGCACCTCCCTCCTCTCTGTCTTGCTCCTACTCTTGCTATGTGACTGCTGGCTCCCGCTATGCCATGATTGGAAGCGTCCTGAGGCCCTCCCCAGAAGCAGATACTGACACTATGCTTCCTATACATCCTGTAGAACTGTGAGCCAAATAAGCCTCTTTTCTGTATAATTACCCAGTCTGAGGTATTCCTTTATAGCAACACAAACAGAGTAACACACTCTCTTATCAGAGGCTCACCTTGACATCAGAGTGGAAGAGTGGTGGCATGTCAAACATGGACGATGGGAAGGGCAGCTGCACAGAGGGGGCTCTTGGTGATTATATGATACTGTAAATTAGTTATCACGTTGCATTCCTGCAATGGCAATTTGAAGAGAAAACAACACAAGAACTCCTAGGTCATGTCATTGACTGAGGAATGCTTTTTCACTCCATTAAAATGAGCCCTGGAGGACAGGTCCAAGCCTACACGGGCAGGGTCCTTTTGGGAAAGCTCACCTGAGGTCTCTGGGAAGAAAGGAGTTTCTCATAGAGGCTCAGAGAATTTCTTAATGTAACTATTTCCTTCTCTGACTAACAAGGGTGTAGACGGCAGTCTTCTTGGGGAAAAAGAGGCTTCAGGATTGCAAGATTTCAGCTACTGTCTCTCCTCGGAGCAGGATTCCATCTTTTCCATGGCTGGGGCCCTTGACACATGTCACTGTGCACTGCTCTTCTCGCTGGGGTAAGAAGGAGTGGGGAGTGCTGGTGGAGAGGGTGGGAAGGTCCTGGGAAAATGGCTGATTTGGAGGCCATTCCTTCATCATACAATGCTGGGGGCAATCTAGAGACCCCTCCTTTGCTAGATCGCGAATTTGGAGCCATGGCTGAATGGGACCACAGAAGGACTGTCCTGCCCATTGACATTGTCATTGATTCAGAGCAGTAGGAATGTGTTCGGTGAAGACAGGACCACAGGGCAAACTAGAGAAGCACAATAGATAAAATGAATGCAAGAAGGACCAGTCTCGAGAGAGGGGAGAGAATGATAGAAAGATAACCCTTGAATAACCTCTGCTCACTTCCTGAAGTGTTTTCTGAGCTTCGGTGATATTCAGCACTCTCTCATAATTTCCGCCACCTCTCCTTCCTTTCCACGTACTTTACTATTTATTTAATATTGTCTTTAAAATCGCTCACTTAAAGAAAAACCTACTCAGCCTCATGTTAAAAATAGAACTCTTAAAATCATAGGTTTGATAGGTGAGTTTTAGTTTCTCTAACACATATGACTATAAAGGCATAACTGTTAAAATGGAAAACTCTTTATGCATCCACCCCCAAAGTCATGGCGGGTCCCCGTGCTGCACCTGGATGGGAGGAATGGTCTCCGTGGACACAGACAGATGTCACTTAGAACAAAACTGCAGAAAGCACCTGAATTTGTCTGTCTGTAATTCATCAATACCTCCCCATCTCCTGCCCAACTCACACGTCAATTTAACAGTAGCGGCCATAGTTGTTGTGGCATTCATTCATTGAAGCTCTCATTTGGCATCAGACACATTTTTTTTTTCCCTTCTGAAAGGCCTCAAGCAGGTGAACAAGAGTGAGAGGTGCTTGCTCTCTGTCCAATCAGGTGTTGAGTTGTGGTGGTTTGTTTCATTGTCAAGAATGGAGTCGTTGCCTGTCTAATGTACTACAAGGTGTTCCACTTAAAAACAGAGTCTCTGGAGGGAATTATTCTAGAATAAGCTATTTCCCTCCATCTAAAATGAAGGAAGAAAAATACCAAGAAGAAATCCATATTTTCATGTCATTCTTCTTCCTGTGTCTGCTCTGTCCTGTCTCCTCCTTTTCATGCCACTTCTCTTGTCTGTTCCTAATTTTCTTAATCCTTTTCTCGCTCTGTCTGTTGTCTCTTTATCATAACCCAAAACTACCAATGTAGGCCGGGTGCGGTGACTCACATCTGTAATCCCAGCATTTTGGGAGGCCGAGGTGGGCGGATAACGAGGTCAGGAGATCGAGACCATCATGGTCAACATGGTGAAACCCCGTCTCTACTAAAAATACAAAAATTAGCTGGATGTGGTAGTGCATGCTTGTAATCCCAGCTACTCGGGAGGCTGAGGCAGGAGAATCGCTTGAACCGGGGAGTCGGAGGTTGCAGTGAGCCGAGATCGCACCACTGCACTCCAGCCTGGTGACAGAGCGAGACTCCTTCTCAAAAAAAAAGAAAGAAAAAAAGAATCTAACTTATTTTTGTTTATAACAGGGTATATTTTCTTGGTAGATGCTTAAGCCTGATGTGTACTTTCTTGGTGGCATAAATCACTTCTGGAAGGGGACTGTAAGACAGGTCTCCCAAACATGAACGGTACCCATCAGCTTTTAATGGTGGTCTTGGCTGTCGGCTTGGATTATACTTCCACTAGGGGGCGCTCTTCCCTTTAAATGTCAAAAACTATCTTCACTGGAAGTCAATATTGCAACAGGAACAATGGAAACGTTTATTTCCTTTCGGAAATAGCTGCTACTGAGCACAGCTCTGGAAGGAGATTATTAAGGATATGCGAGTTGCAAAGAAAATACTTGGTTGTAGCAGCAAATTCACCTACTATTGAAGACATAATGTCAATGAACAGTGGTGGCTGTAGTTGCTGTGGGATTCCTGATGTAGTGACTTCTAGGAGATCCTTTCCTACTCCACGTGGCAGCTAGCAAATTTCTCTCTCTAAATTCAACCTGGAGTCAAGGGATCCTTCTCAATAATTTCACAAACTTTTGGGCCTGTAATCTTTCTAGGTTGAATTCTAGGTTTGATTTGGTGACTTTAAATCTTGTGAGATCTCAGCCATTTCCAAGTCCTAACCCTTCACTGCACAAATAAGGAAACAGGCACAAAGAGGTAGAACAGTGTGTCTAGACCATACAGCACAAAGGGGCAGATCTTCTGATGCCGTGTTTCAAATTACTTCAGTCCTTAGATGTCTGTGTCTTCATTACGAATGCCTTCTTCCAGCTTTCCACAGTGTCTTTTGTCGATAAGATTTATTTAAAGTCTTTTCAGACTTGACAGGGTTCACTGTAGCTCTGACCTTGTAATATTTTACTATAGACATTAGGTTATGGTAGTTTTTATATACTCGGGGCTACTGCAGTTTTTTCAAATAATTCACACGTATTGAATTCTAAGTGAATGACGTTCATTGGGCCCTCAACACATGAACCATCGTGTCCAGGATATAATAAAAGAGAACAAAAGAGCACTGACTTTCTCAGCACCCACGGACTGATTTTTGAGTTCCGGCCACATCTTAAAGAACAAGTTACTTTGGACAAAATTACTTAATCTTCTTTGGGCTTTCATCTTCTTTTCTGAAGAGAGACTTTCTGTGCATTCTTTTGTTTACTCCTCGAAACAGCCCTCAGAGGTCAATATAATTCTCATTGTCCCCATTTTACAGAAAAGGAAACTGAGGCCCAGAGAGGGCAAGTGAATTTCCCAAGAGTGTCCAGATGATACGGAGCTGAGCTGGAAAGTGAGCCTGGATCTCTCTGGTTCTGAAAGCTTTGCTCGAAAGCACAGGATGACACCTCCATTCAATCAATAAGCACTGAGACCCTTCCATGGACTCAGCAGGTCCTGCTGTCCCTGAAGGTTGACACTCTCATTTCAAACCACAGCGAGAACCCCAAAAGGAAACAGTGCAAGGAAAATAATGTGATATTTGAGAGGCAGCATGGATTATTGGGGACAGGGTTCATGTCCCTTCTCTCCCACACACGTGGCATGATGTTAAGCGGGTCACCTCACCTCTCCAGGGTTGTTTCCTCAACTGAGAAAATGAGGGGGTTGAGATGAACGCCAGCCCTGGGGTGCTCAATGCTGCAGTCTAGGGTGGTGTGGACTGGAATCAGAATTCTTTCTCCTCCGCTCTGGGTGCTGACACATGATCTCTGGCTCTCACTCCCCACCCCTAATCTTGCCCATCTGAGTTTCAGGTTATTTTTTCCTTCCTCCTGCTCTTCAATTTCCTTATTGAGGAAGCTCTTTCCTGCTGCCTCTGTCCCCGCTGGAGCTGTTTGATCCAGTAGAGCCAGTCGAAGCCAAGGGGACCCTGACTTGAATCTTGCTTTCTGACATGCTGGCTGTGGCTTGCTTGGGACCTGAATAAGAGCTTGCTTACTCCCGGTGTTCACCACAGCGGAACCATGGGTGCAGAAATGTAATTCTCAACCAGCCCAGTTTAATCAGCGAAAGACAATAGAGCTTGCAGGCGGTGTCATGCTGAGTATCTGAACACACCATGGCTGCTGTCGCCCTTTTCATTAAAATGATTGAAAATGTATTTCTAAACAGAAGTGAGGGTCCCTGTCTAAATCAAGCCGCTGTATTGGGCTTATTGTCCCGATCTGAAGTGCTTCAGCTTCTAGTGCTTCTCAATAGAAGTTCATTATTACAACGATAATAACAACTGTATAGATACACAGAAAAGAAGTTCCCATTTCATAAGGAAAAAAGAAACTCATTCAAACCAAGAGAGAATGAAAATTGCTCTTGTTCAGCAGCTCTACAATTCCTGCTTTCCCTTTCTGCTGGAAAGGAAGTTGAATTTAAAAGCTTATCTTGGTTCGATTTTCTTTTTCCCTAAACCAAAATAGAATAGCTATTTAGCTTGAAAATTTGTAAGAGCTCAAGTCAATTGGTTAACCAAACACACACACACACACACACACACACTTACATGCGCATCTTAATATCCTCATTATATAAAATCTCAATCACCAAAAATGACCCCCAAAATTATAAGACTCCAATATATGATTGAGCAAAGGACATAAACAGATGGTTCATAAGGAGGAAAGACACATGATAAAAAATATGAAAAAATTTTCAACACACAGATAATAAAAGAAATTCAGATGATAACGAGATATTGTAGGTGCTAATCAAAGTATCAAAGATTTTAAAAATTATAGCAAAAGAGTTCCTTGCTTTTGTGTAATGAGTTCCCAGATAATATGTGAAATTCACTCATCCTCTTCCAAATCAACATTACTGTCTGTGAAATGAACAATACAACCAAGCACACAGATCCTAGCCTCTGCTGGGAAAATCCCGTGTAAATCCACCATCCTTTTTGTTTCTTAAGTTCCTCCTTGGTAAAAAGTTGTTTGGCTCATGCCTGTAATCCCAGCACTTTGGGAGGCCGAGGCAGGCAGATCACCTGAAGTCAGGAGCTCGAGACCAGCCTGGCCAACAGGGTGAAACCCCATCTTTACTAAAAATACAAAAATTAGCTGGGCGTGGTGGCGAATGCTTGTGATCCCAGCTACTTGGGAGGCTGAAGCAGGAGAATCACTTGAACCCGGGAGGCAGAGGTTGCAGTGAGCCGAGATCGCGCCACTGCACTCCAGCCTGGGCAGAAGAGTGACACTCCATCTCAAAAAAAAAAAAAAAATGTTGTTTGTGTTCAGATTCTGAAATTTCACAATTCTCCCCAGGTACTGTTTTTCTTTGCCCCAAAGCCTTTAAGTCTTCGTTGATGGATATGTAGACACCTAATAAGTATTTGACCTGAAAGTGTCTTTCAAAGCATAGAATTCAGATGGTGATTTTACAAATGAAGAGAGTGAGGCTCACACATTCTGAAGGGGGGAGTCAGGCTTTTTACCATAAAAGTTTTTCCTTGGGGTAATGGTCAATATCCACCAAAATCCAGGTGGCACATGCTTGATACCCTTCTGAAAAGACTTAGTCTACTTCACTACTGGTTTTAGCAGGGTAGAGCCAGGGTCTCAGAACACAATGAGCTGCTCAGGTGAAAGAAGATCACACTAGGATTTCTGCTTTCTAATGCACCATCCTTTTTAAATTTTCATTTTTCTTACTGTTATAATGTATAGGTTAGTAGAGCACTTTACTTCTTGGGGATACATAATTAAAGTTGTTTTGCTGGTAGGATAGTGTTATCAAAAATTTGCAGGCAGCTGGAATAGTGAGATGTGAATGTGTCTGATCTCGTGCAATTCAGGAAGCAGGGCCTTCAGAGTGAAGGGAGGAAGGAAAGCTGGCTGTGGTCAGAGGAGATGACCAGCAGAGCTCCTAATAGAGGGCAAGAGTCACCTCCTCACCCCACAGGCTGCATTGAGACTAAGGCAACTGGAAAGTTCAACTGAATCACAAGGGCGTGCTGACATGCTGGGGAAAAGCCAAAATTTTTAAAGGTCATCTTGCCAGAAAAGTGGCTGCTGCTTAGGTCCTGTCCTGGCACCCTGGGCCCAGGATCCCAGGACTCAGCTCATGGGGAGCAGAGGGCTGTGGCATGCCAAGTCAAAGGTCTCATGGAGATGGTTCCAATTGGGAATCAATGGCAGAGATGCCAAGACAAGCTAAGGGGCATGGCAATCTGAGGATCCAAGCCACCTAGCACAGACACAGGGACAGGCAAGGGAACTAGAGACCTTAGCAGCTTGTCAGAGGGGAAGCGGAAGGCAGCAGGGGCCCAGAAGCAAACTCCCTATGTCAGATAGAGGTGTGTGCAGTGAAAATGAAGGGGGAACCAGAACCCCTTGCAGGAAATGTCCAGTGGAACTCCATGAAGTCCCTCGAGTCGTCTTTGAACCGCTGAGCCAGGTATTAGAGGACCCACAGCACACTTCTGAGCCTCGTTTCTGTCTCTCTTACCTACCACAAACTCTGGACAATCAGCTCGCACATTTGTTCCTTTATTCCCAAGGAGAACATGAGGAAAGGACGTAGATATCACCCAAATGTATAATTTACCAGGTAAGAAAAGCCCAATGGCTTTCTAATTATTTCTGGATGTCCCAGCAGCCTCTGTCAGGAGTGCAGGTGTAAGTAGCCTCATGTGCCTTTGCTCCGGCCTCCTTGTGGGAGTCCAGTACCCCAACCCCATCTTGGGAGATGCCGCTGGTCCAACCTCAGGATCTCCTAATGGAGTCAAGAGGTAAGGCTGATTTGAATTCACCCTTCTTCTCCTTAAAGCTAGTGCAACTCACAGAAAATTGAGAGCCAAATGGGAAACAAACTGTCAGTTTTCCTAACGGGTAGGCAGGTGTGTCTTAACCCCCAAGGCTTTCTGGGGGAGCCAGAGAGGAGAAAGTGACTTAGACCTGAGGACAAAGGAGATCCACCTGCTTCTCTAATTGTAGACCTTAAGCCTGCCTGTCACATGGACTGTAGCGTACTGAGCACAGGGGTGGTGCCGGGCAGGTACAGCTCCCAGCACTCTGCTGTGGACATCCTAACTCGCTAGAAGTTGACTCAGTCACAAACTATCTAAGTTTATAGCTGAAGCTCTAGCACCTGTTCTAGAACAGGAGAATCTGAAGGAGGAGATGAACTGAATTTAGCACTGATTTTCTTTAAAAATATTTATAGAAACTATAACATTTCTGAGTTATCTAGAAATGTTATTTTTGTTTAGTTTGGCTTTCTTTTTTTTTGCTTTCATCTGAAAATTAAACATTTTGAGGTAATTGTAGATTCACATGCACTTGTAAGAAATAATACAGGGAGATCCCTCTATCTTTCACCCAGTTCCTCCAACTTGGTAGTATCTTGCCAAACCATTGTACTATTTCATACCAGGACATTGACATTGATACCATCAAAATACAGACAATTTCCTTGGCTACAAGAGTCCTCCACATCCACTTCCCTCCTGCACCCACCCCTTCCTTAATCCTTGGCAACCACTGTTCTCCATATCTATAATTTTGTCTTTGCAGGAATGTTATATAAATGGGATTATACAGTATGTAATCTTTTGGGATTGCACTGTTTTTTTATTTGCAGCATAATCCTCTGAAAGTTGTTGCATGTATCAATAGCTTTTTAATCTTTATTGCTGAATGGTATTCCAGGGTATGGCGTACTACAGTTTGTTTAACCATCCACCTGTTGAAGGATATCTGGGCCGCTTCCAGTTTGGGCAATTGCAAGATGCTACAGACATTGATATACAGGTATTTTTGAGAACATAAGATTTTACTTTATTTCTCTGAGATAAATGCCCAGAAGAGCATTTGCTGGGTCTTATGATAAACGCATATTGAATTTTTTTGCTTTTGAGATGGAGTCTCATTCTGTCACCCAGGCTGGAGTGCAGTGGTGTGATCTTGGCTCACTGGAATCTTCGCCTCCAGGGTTCAAGTGATTCTCCTGCCTCAGTCTCCTGAGTAGTTGGGATTACAGGCACGTGCCACCATGCCCGGCTAATTTCTTATATTTTTAGTAGAGACGGGTTTTCACCATGTTGCCCAGGCTGGTCTCAAAATCCTGAACTCAGGTGATCTGCCTGCTTCGGTCTCCCAGCTTTGGGATTACAGGCATGAGCCACCATGCCCGGCCAGTTTGGTTTTTTTAAAGGTTGAGTTTTGAGAGTTCTTTATGTATATTCTAGATGCTAGTTCTTTGTCAAATACGTGATTTGAAAATATTTTCTCTCAGTCTATAGCTTGTCTTTTCATCCTCTTCACAGTGTCTTTCACAGAGCAAAAATTTTTAATTGTGATTTATCAAGATTTTCTTTTAAGGATCACACTTTTGGTGTCAACTCTATGAATATTTTGTCTAGCCCTAGATCCCCAGGATTTTTTACTATGTTTTCTTGTAAATGTTTTAGTTTTATATTTTACATTTAAGTCTCTTTACATTTTGAGTTAATTTTTAAAAAATTAGGTGTAAGAATTAGGTTGAGCTGAGTTTTTGTTTGTTTGTTTGTTTTGTTTTGTTTTGTTTTGTTTTTTGCCTGTGAATGTCCAATTTCTCCAGCACAATTTGCTGGAAAGGCTATTTTTCTTCCATTGAATTGCTTTTGTAACTTCATTGAAAATCACTTGGGCATACTTGTGTGGGTCTATTTTTGGGTTCGTTCCTCTGTTCTATTGATCGTTGTGTGTATTCTTCCACCAGCATCAAACAGTCCCAATTACTGTAGCTATATAATAAGTCGAAAATCAGGTAGACCGATTCCTCTCATTTTGTTCTTCCCTTTCAAAATGGTTTCAGCTATTCTAGTTCATTGCCTGTCCATATAAATTTTAGAGTAGTCTTGTCTATATCTACAAAGAAATCTTGCTAGGATTTTAATAGGAATTTCATTAAAGCTGTGTATCAATTTGGCAATGAATTAACCCTTTGCTGTGCTGAGTCTTATGACATGGTTTGTCTCTCCATTTACTTAGATCTTTGATTTCTTGCAATATTTTGTGTTTTCAGCATGCAAGTCCTGCTTATATATTAGATTTGCATCTGTATTAGTTTGTGATGGCTTCTGTAACAAAATACTACAAACCGAATAGCTTAAACAACAGAAATTTACTTTCTCACAGTTCCAGATGCTAGAAATCTGAAATCAAGATATCAGCAGAGTTGGTTCCTTCCTAGAGCTGTGAGGGAGGATCTGTTCCAGGGCCCTCTCCTTGGCTTGTAGATGGCTGTCTTCTCCCCGTGTCTCCTCACATCACCTTCCCTCTGTGCTCGTCTGTCTCCATGTCCAAATTTCTCCGTTTTATAATGGTGTTGTCAGATTGGATTAGAGCCTACCCTAATAACCACATTTTAACTTTACCCCGGTAAAGAGTCTATCTCTAAATAAGACCATATTTTGAGGTATGAGGTTTAAGATTCCAGCATATCTTTTTGGGATGAGAGGGGCAAAGCATAATTCAACCTGTAGCAATACCTAAGTGATTTGTTTATTTATTATAGTACAATTTTGAGTGGTATTGAATTTTCAATCATGGCGTCCGTATATTGAATATGAAAGATACTCAACAATATTAGTCATCAGGGAAATGCAAATTAAAATCATGATATGATATAATTTAACACCTCATATGTTAGCTAACGTTTTTTAAAATGATAATAGCAATTATTGGTGAGAATGTGGAGCAACTGGATTGCTCACATATTGCTGAAAAGAATTTAAAATCTTACAACCACTTTGAAACAGATTGGAAACTTCTTATACATTTTAACACATACACTTACTACACGACCCAGCAATTCCGTTCTTAGATATTTACCTAAGAGTAGTAAAGACATGTGTTCACATCCAAAGACCTTTAAACATATGTTCACAGCAACTTTATTAATAATAGCCAAGGACTGGAAACAACTCAAATATCCATCTTCTAATGAATGGATTAACAAACTGTGGTCTGTCCATATAATGGAATCCTATTCAACAGTAAAGCGTGGTGAACTACTGATACATGAAACAAATGGATGGAAATCAAAATTATTATGGTAAGTGAAAGAAGCCAGACACAACTGCCTGTATGACTATGATTCAATTTATATGACATCCTAGAAAAGGCAAAACTAGGGAGAGAAATGTTCAGTGTTTGCCAGGGATTCAGGGTAGAGACAGGGCATCAGCTACAAAGGTCCATGCCTGAACATTTTGGGAGTGATACATATGTTCTATATCTTGACTGTAGCGGTGGTTGCATAGCTATATGCATTTGTCAAGACTCATCTAATATAGTACCCTTTGAACAGGTGAATGTTTTTGTAGGCATATTTTAAAAGCATTTTAAAAAATCACATCAGAAAATTTTGTTAAACATGGTGGATTGAATAGATGTGTTATATTTGCTTCTTTCTGAAATCCTGTGGAAATGATTGCAGATGAGGGATGGGAGAACATTTTGGATGACTGAAAGTGGATGGACCATTGGTAACTCAGCAAAGTAGAGAAAGCTAATGTTTAATTGCCAGTCAATAAGAATGTCGATAAAAACCAAGATGATATTCTCATTAGAACCCAAGAGAGCCTAAGGACTAGAGGTGCTGGTGAGCTTTGAAAGGCAAGACAAGAGGTGGGGTGGATATGAAGATGATGAACTTAGATTTAGACTTCCAGATTCCCTCACTCACCTGCATACTCAGGTAGCATCTCCTCCCCGAACCTAGCAGGCAATAGAGGTTTATCTTCCTGAGCAACGAATCCGGAGAGACTCTGGACTTTGGGTTATCAGAGACAGTTGAGTAGGGAAGTGAGGAAAGAGGCAAAACAAAGGGTGAGCTAAAAGTCTCTCTACTGAATGGTGAGACACTCAGCCCGAATCTCCTGGCTCAAGTGATCCTCCCACCTCAGTCTCCCAAGTAGCTAGGACCACAGGCACACACCACCACTATCCACATCCCTTAATCAGTTCCCAGATTTTAGCAGCCAGGTCTATATTTATACCAGGCAGCAGATTAGGTATTTCTTTTCTGGGCCAACAGAAAGAAAGTACACAGAGATACTGACATGTCTACATCCCCCTAAGAAATGGGTAGGGATGCCCTACAGTGAGGCCTGCTAGTCAGCAAGCCCCACCCATGTGGTGTTTTTATGCCTTATTCCAATCACAGATGAATTGCTAGGAATAAACCAGACATCGGAGGAAATCCTCTGTGTGAAAGAAGGAGACCAAACTATTTTAACCGGAAAAACAGGACTTAGAATAAATAGTGGTAATTTTAAAAGACAAAAAAAAAAAAAAAAAAAAAAAAAGCAGAGTAAAAAGGAATTTTTAAAGACTCTAAAATATTATCAGAGAAATGAAAGAAAATTTCACACTCATTAAACAAGAAAATATTATTTAAAAGATCATTTCTTTTTATATTAAAAATGACAGCAGGCCAGGCACAGTGGCTCACATCTGTAATTCCAGCACTTCAGGAGGCCGAGGCGGGTGGATCACGAGGTCAAGAGATTGAGACCATCTTTGGCCAACATGGTGACACTCCGTCTTTACTAAAAATACAAAAAAAAAAATTAGCTGGGCGTGGTGGCGCGTGCCTATAGTCCCAGCTACTGAGGAGGCTGAGGCAGGAGAATCGCTTGAACCCCAGAGGTGGAGGTTGCAGTGAGCTAAGATCACGGCACTGCACTCCAGCCTGGAGACAGAGTGTGACAGACAATTCAAGATTTCGCTTTTAGGTTTTCACTAGAATTTAAGGTTACTAAGAGTTAAAAATTATAATATATGTAATTCTTTATACAAACTGTACAAAAATGATGTGTTTTTAATTTAAAAATTATAAGAAAGGCAAAATAAATAAAACAATAACACTGACAGAAAACTAGGAAAGGAGGTGGACTTCCTCAATACATTCAAGGGACTCTACAAAGCCCTACAATTAACATTATGCTTCATAATGGAAGAACAAATGCTTTACTTCTAAGATCAAGAATAAGGCAAAGTCCTTTCAACTTCTTACAGGAAATCCTAGCCAGTTGAAATAAGCCACAAATAAGAGATTAAAGGTGTAAAGATTGTAAAGAAAGAAGTAAATCCGCCTTTATTTGCAATTCAAGAATTAATATATAAAATGAAAAAAATTAAAACACTGTAGGTATACTACTTAGAAATACAGTTAGAAATTCAAAAAGAAAAAAATAAGACATTAAATGATTCAGGAGTAGGGAGTAGTGGCATAATAAACTGCTTTTTGCTTTATAAGCTTTGTAGTGGCTTTTGATTTTTTTTTAAAAAAAACTCCATTTTACTTTGATAAAAACATAAATTAAAAAGAAAAAGAGAAAAAGTCCTCAGCAGGCATTTAATATATTATTGAACTCCAACTATTTCTTCAAAGACAGTTTCTTTATTTAATAAAGCCTTTCCCTTGACTATTCGCTGAGTAAATTAAAATGTTGTTGAAGTTTTGCTGTCTTTGAAAACAAAACTTGGGAAATTCAGAAGTACTTAAAAATGCAAGCACATTTTCATTTATTAATAGACTGTAATCAAGGCTTGGAATAAAAATAAAAATGTAAATTTTTGGCATAATTAATGAGTTTTAAAATTGTTTTTCCCATGGCAAGAATTAATAGTTTTTGGCTGTTAGCCCCAAGGGCAAGCTACTGTGCTAACACAAATGGTTTGTCAATAAATAGTTCCTATGTACACGCAGACATATCTTTTTATGGTTCTTTGCGTAAATATCTATATATATGCATATGTTTATGTCCTTTGCCTAAATATTTAGCAAAAGATGATTTTATAGGTATTTTTAGTTTTGTGGTTTGTTTTAAAAACTTTAACCAGAAAAATTCTACATTGGCTTTAGATTTATGTGACTTACCTTCACTTTTAGTATCAGTTATACATGTTATATAGGCGGGCATAGTTCAAGCATCTTTCTGAGTATGGGCATTCAGTTCATTCAATCTCAGGCCAAAAGAAAAATCAAGGAAAGGAAAGGAATAGCATGTTTTGATTGGGGACCCAATACCCCTTAGATCTGCTTCCTTACTTCTTTTGACTTGCCACAGTGCTTATATTATGAATAAATATATTGCTGCACTTAGTGGATATAGTCCATGGTCTGTGCATTCTTCTTTGTATTTTCATAGATTAAACGGTTGTCCCCAAATTAACTTATAATTAACATTTTATATAAAGTCAATAGATGGCAGTTACTCAATAACTACCAAGCAAAGCTGCTCATTAATGGGGACAGAATCATCCCTCCAAGGGAGTGCGTGTAAAACTCATGAACTGCTTATCAAGGGAAAGGGGCAGAAATGCTGTCATGAAGAGTAGATCTCTTTTGGAAGGGCAACACCCTCTGCAGAGTCTTAACTATTGTCCAGGGGGACCATTGTGAGTGGAAGACCTATAACGTTAAGTTCAGCAAGTGACACTGAAGCAGAACTTTGAAAGGCGAAACAGGATGTCCCCTTTGACCCATCTAATAATGGAGCTTTTCAGCTTAAATGTCTTCTCCTCAGAGGCCAGTCAATTGTAGTCTCTTATTATCTTGGATTCCAGTACTGTGTTTGCTTCTTTCCCAGCATTCATCACAATGTGCTATTATTGTATTTCCTTTCTTTGGGTTTGTCTCTCTGGCTAGAATATAAGTTCCCTGAGGGCAGAGCATTGTTGATCTTTCCCATCACTCCATGTGCAGTGCCTGGTACAGGGCCTGCCGCATACCTGGCTTGGCCTCATCCAGAATATGTGATTTATAAACTATGGCTCAAAATTGATATTTAGAATTTATTATTATTGTTGTTGTTGTTTTATGTTCAGGATATAGCCCTATTCTTTTGTTTGTTTGTTTGAGATAGAGTCTCAGTCTGTCACCCAGGCTGGAGTGCAATGGTGCAATCTCGGCTCACTGCAACCTCTGCCTCCTGGGTTCAAGTGATCCTCCTGCCTCAGCCTCCTCGAGTAGCTGGGACTACAGGTGGGCACCACCACACCCGGCTAATTTTTGTATTTTTAGTATTTGTAGGAGAGTCGGAGGTTTTGCCATATTGGCCAGGCTGGTCTTGAACTCCTGACCTCAGGTAATCCGCCTGCCTTGGCCTCCCAAAGTGCTGGGATCACAGGCATGAGCCACCGCACCCGGCATAGACCTATTCTTTAGAGGAAACTGTCAGTGATAGTTTCACAAAGAAGCCAATTGTCTATAAAAATGCAGTGCACACTGCCTGGCAGGGAATAGATGCCCAGTTATCACTTGCTTGTTTAGTAATCTCCTCTTAATCCAACAAGTACCCTCTGAACCTGAAATGATTTGTCTTTAAACACAGAAATCAAAAGATATGATAGGCAGATACACACAACATGTGATTCATTTTCTTAGCCATTGCTTCATTTATATATTTATTTGTTCATTTATTGATTCATATATTCATGTTATTTATTTCTTCATTTTACATTTACCAAATATTTACAAGTGCTTAGTGCTATGCTGCAGTTCAGACAGAAATTTCTCAAGAGAAAGATTTGATGGAAATCAGCGTGATTGATTAGAATAGTTCAATAGTCCCCAAAAAACTTTTTGGAGATACATGCTCTCTAAATTATCTTTTCCATAAGTTAGAATTTTAAAGCATTGGATTTCCCTAAAATAAAACTAGCTTTAAAAGAAATACTTTATTAGCTATCAGGATTTTTCAGGCTTACAGCATATTATTGATTCCACCTGGGCTGCCTCTCCAATCCTCCAATGAAAAATGAAGAGTGCCCTGGTTTGGAGCAGATTGAGGCCTTGGGTGCCTTAAATGCACCCTGACTGGCTGAGAGTCAGTAACACACTCTGCTGAAATGTTATTTTAAAATCTATGCTCTAATATACGATAGGGATCTAATTGGAAGAAGGCGATGCCGATCAGTAAATCATTATGACATTTGCAGAAACGTGGGGCATCCACAAATGATGGGAGAGTACTATCACACGTAAGCTTCAAGGGGCAACTAACAGCTGAAAATACCCACTTAGAGGGAGACTATTCACTCTGTAAGAAGAGAAAAATGAATGTTCTCTCCAACTGGGAGAAGCCAGGGAGATGCACATTCAGCCTGAGAGGCCTGAAGCCTGAAAGCCACAGCCATCCATGCTGCCTCCTGAGACCACATAATTAGAAGATCCATGAAAGTAGGAGGAAGAGAAAAAAGACTGGGAGTGGGAGCTAAGGCTCCTTCTCGAATCTAGAGTTCCATTCTTAGGCTGTTGAACTCAGAAGAACTTTTGAGTTGGAGGAGATGGTCTAGAGCCATGAAGGAAATTAACAGCTTTGAGTTCTGAATGAAGCTGAAGATAGCTGTGTACAAGCCTAGAGTGAGTTGGATAAGAAATTGGTGTTTTTTGTCTTTGAGACTGTGAAGAGAAAGTGTAGAAAACATCAAGAATCTTTATAAGAATGATAATTACTAAAGAATAGTATATTAAAATATTTATTTAAAACCATGCACCCATTATTTAAAAGCATGCAACCATATTGCATGCATTATGCAGACATTTCTATACCCAAAAGAATATAAATCATTCTGCCATAAAGACACATGCACATATATGTTCATCACAGCACTACTCACAATACCAAAGTTATGGAATCATCCTAAATGCCCATCAGTGGTAGACTGGATAAAGAAAATGTGGTACATATACACTATGGAATACTATGCAGCCATAACAAAGAATGAGATCACGTCCTTTGCGGCAACATGGATAAAGGTGGAGGCCATTATCCCAAGCAAACTAATGCAGGGACAGAAAACCAAATACTGCACGTTGTCACTTGTAAGTAGGAGCTAAACATTGAAAACACAACACGTGGACACAAAGAAGGGAACCACAGCCATCAGGGCATACTTAAGAGTGCAGAATGGGAGGAGAGAGAGGACTGAAAAACTATCTTTTGTGTACTATGCTTATTACCTGAGTGATAAAATAATCTGTACACCAAACCCCCGTGACATGCAATTTACCTACATAACAAGCCTGCATATGTACCCTTGAACCTAAAATAAAAGTTAAAAAATATAAAAGAATGCACTACAAGATTGTACACTCTTCAAATGAATTTCAATTCAACGCAGACATAGGCACAGAGAGAACCTACAATAGCTCACCTACAATGGCTAATCTGACAGACATTGTTCCTGCCCTCATGGACTTTTCAGTTCACTGGGAGAAGGATATTAAACAATCTGTGAAGAGGAAGGCAAATCTCATCAATGAAATATGTCAGGTAAAGAACTGCACCAGCCATTAGATTTTCTGTGTTGCCATAGGTGGTAAGTGGTTACTGGTGCCTTTAGGTGGGCTATGTTCTTGTGAACTTGTCCTGATCCCCACCAGGAGATCAAAACCTAGCAGGTTGCTTGTACCTCATGGGAAATCATTGGGATAATCTTTGGGAGGCCGTTCACATATCTCTCATTTTTGCTTTGCTCTACATCCAAGCCCCACCAACCTCTTTATTTTGTTTTTTCATTGAAATAAATTATTTTAAAATTATTTTAAATTTAATACTTTCTAAATTGTTTCCAGGGGCCGGGTGCAGTGGCCCATGCCTGTAATCCCAGCACTTTGGGAGGCCGAGGTGGGTGGATCTCCTGAGGTCAGAAGTTCAAGTCCAGCCTGGTCAACATGGTGAAACCCTGTCTCTACTAAAAATACAAAAATCATCTGGGCGTGGTGGCGCATGCCTGTAATCCCAGCTATTAGGGAGGCTGAGGCAGGCGAATCGCTTGAACCCGGGAGGCGGAGGTTGCAGTGAGCTGAGATTGCGCCAATGCGCTCCAGCCTGGGCAACAGAGGGAGATTCTGTCTCAAAAAAAAAAAAGAAAAAAAAAATGTTTCCTGGGTCTTCCGTTTGTGAGAAAATAAAGTAGACACACATTTCCTCATTCTTCCCACTAAGTGCAACTATAAAGCCTGGATCTTGTATATAAACATACAAATATAAGAAGACTAAAAGGTATAGAGAAGAAGGCAGACCAGCTAAGAACTTGAGACCCTAGGTATGCTAAGGTGGTAGGTTCTCAGTTTGCTTTTGGTTTTGTTGTTGCTGTTATTTATTTGTTTGCCTCACATCTCCCAAACTTGGAGCTGAAGATACTATCAATTCAGAAACAATAACAGGTTCAGACCAAAAGCCCCCAACAAAAACCTGCTCTCTCTGGCCAAAGGACCAGGATAGAGGGGCAGCCTAGCAGGACAGAAAAGTTCTAGATAATAACCACTCTAATCCAGCCATTCACCACAGAAAGGACTGTGGCCCTTCCAACATCCATGTCAGCAAAGGTCAGGTGCAGAGCCTGGAGTTCCACCCTGGCAAGGGTGTAATGAGACCTCTCAAACCCACAGCAGGTAGTATTACAAAAGGCCAAGTAGGAAGCTGGGACTTTCATCTCTGCCACAAACAGATAACCTCCCTCCCCCAGCTGTATCAAGGGAGACCACATGGGGAGTGCAGCCTGGACTGTCATCCCTACCTGGCAGTAATGAGGCAACTCCCAACTTGCTGGAGTGGTGTCAGAGGAGGCCTGGACGAGGGTCAGAACTTTTACCACTACCCAGCAGAAAAGAGGCCATCCTGCTCTGGTGGTGTCAATAGAGGCCACATGGGGAAGAGTTACCATGCACTGCCGCTCCTTCCAGCCAGAGAAGGCTCAGTGGAGGCCTAGTAGGGAGCTGGAAATCCCGCCCCTGCCCAGCAGTACAGAGGGAGCTCCCCATCTCCATGGGTGTTGACAAAGTGGAGAATTCGACTTCTTGGCCCACCTGGCAGTAATAAGGCAGTACCCCTTGTTCTGCTGATGGAGCAGTGTCAGCAAAAGGTGGCTAAAACAGAAAGTTTAAATAAGATCTAGGGTCTCATGACATAACGCCCCAACTTTGTGGGGCATTTTCAATAGAAAAGTCACACGTCATACCAAGAACCAGGATGATCTCAAACTAAGTGACAAAAGATAATGAACAGATGTCAACACTGAGATGACAGAAATGTTAGAGTTACCTGATAGAGACTGATTTTCTTTTCCATATAGTCTCTCATTTTGTCTGAAATGGAAAATGTTTTGTTTTCTAAACACTTGCCACTAATTCACCCCATCTTAACCTCAGTTGTGTAAATCTCCGAATTGTATGTTTAGAACATTCGACATCTTATCGCTTTTCATTTTGGGGAGAAAACACCTCTCTGGAGCCATTTGATCTGCCTCAATCTCAACTGGTTGCTCTCTGAGCTTACTGCATAACTGCTGCTTGAAATCTTTTCACCACTATCTTAGAAATTTTCTCCAGGTTTTTTGTGCTGCCTCCCCTTTTACCTGGATTCCATTGCTTCTGCCTCACTGTTTTATTCCTTTATTTTGGTGGAGTACTACTTTCTAGGAGGTTTTTGTTTTCATTTTTATCTTCCAAACTTTTTATTAGGTTAGACTTTTTTCTATTTTTAACTTACAAGAGTTCTTTTTCAATCCTTTGATATATCTTTTTGTTAAAGAAAAACAATTCCAGCCTGATTGTTTAAAAGATGCTTTTCTCTGTGAAGACATTAATGATAGTTTTTGAGATTTTCTCCTGTCTGCATTTTCCATTTATTTGGGTCTTCAAATTCCTATTAGAGCCAAACTATATCATTCTGCCTCTGGCCCCTCCCAAATCTCACATCCTTCTCACATTTCAAAACACAATCATACCTTCCCAACAGTCCCCCCAAAGTCTTAACTCATTCCAGCATTAACTTAAAAGTCCAAATCTAAAGTCTCACCTGAGACAAGGCAAGTCCCTTCCATCTATGAGTCTGTAAATTCAAAGACAAGTTAGTTACTGCCAAGATACAAGGGGGGTACAGGTATTGGGTAAATGCTCTGGTTCCAAAAGGAAGAAATTGGCCAAAACAAAGGGACTTTTCTTTAAGTGCTTGGGATTTTCTTTAAGTGCTTGGGAAATTGTTATCTGCTCACTCAACACTGAAAGCTGACTGGAAACTCCATGAGTGTGGATGGGCTTGTCAAACTGTACTATTCCTTTTAGGATCTGCTGGTCCATTGCATTGGTGCTATGGTGTGAATTTTTGTGCCTCTCCAACATTCATATGTTGAAACCTAGTCACCAAGGTGATGGTATTAGAAGGTGTGGTCTTTGGGAGGTGATTAGGTCATGGGCGCTCAGCTCTTGTGAATGAAATTCATGCCCTTATAAAAGAGGCTCAAGTAAACAGACAACCCACAGAGTGGGAGAAAATATTCACAAACTATGCATCTGACAAAGGACAAAGAATCTACAAGGAACTCAAACAAAAAAAAACAAATAATCCCATCAAAAACAAATAATCCAATCAAAAAGTCAGCAAAGGACATAAATAGACATTTCTCAAAAGAAGATACACAAACAGCCAACACATATATGAAAAAATGCTCATCACTAATTATCAGGGAAATGCAAATTAAAACCACAATGAGACTGGGCACAGTGGCTCATGCCTGTAATACCAGCACTTTCTCGGAGACTGAGACAGGCAGATTGCCTGAGATCAGGAGTTTGAGACCAGCCTGGCCAACATGGTGAAACTCTATCTCTACTAAAAATACAAAAATTAGTTGGTATGGTGGCGGGTGCCTGTAATCTCAGCTACTTGGGAGGCTGAGGCTGGAGAATCACTTGAACTCGGGAGGCAGAGGTTGCAGTGAGCCAAGATCGTGCCACTGTATCCTAGCCTAGGTGACCAAGACTCCATCTCCAAAAAAAAAAAAAAAAAAGCCACAATGAGATACCTACCAACTTTTTTTTTTTTTTTTTTTTTTGAGACAGAGTCTCACTCAGTCACACAGGCTGGAGGGCAGTGGCTCAATCTCCGCTCACTGCAAGATCTGCCTCCTGGGTTCATGCCATTCTCCTGCCTCAGCTTCCCAAGTAGCTGGGACTACAGGCGCCTGCCACCACGCCTGGCTAATTTTTTTGTATTTTTTTAGTAGAGATGGGGTTTCACCATGTTAGCCAGGATGGTCTCGATCTCCTGACCTCGTGATCCACCCACCTTGGCCTCCTAAAGTGCTGGGATTACAGGCGTGAGCCACTGCGCCTGGCCCCTACCATCTTATTCCTGCAAAAATGGTCACAATTTAAAAATTAAAAAATGATAGCTATTGATGTGGATGTGATGAAAAGAGAACACTTTTACACTGCTGGTGGGAATGTAAACTAGTACAACCACTAAGGAAAACAATACGGAGAATCCTTAAATCCTACTACTAGGTATCTACCCAGAGGAAAATAAGTCATTATACGAAAAAGACAGCTGCACATGCATGTCTATAGCGCACGATTACCAATTGCAAAAATATGGAACCAACCAATGCACATCAACTAATAAGTGGATAAAGAAAATGTGGTATATGTACACCATGAAGTACTACTCAGCCATAAAACGGAATGAAATAATGGCCTTTGCAGCAACTTGGATGGAGCTAGAGGCCATTATTCTAAGTGAAGTAACTCAGGAATGGAAACCCAAATATTACATTTTCTTACTTACAAGTAGGAGCTAAGCCATGAGGATGCAAAGGCATAAGAATGTTGTAATGGACTTTGGGAACTCAGGGAGAAAAGTGGGAGGGGGGTGGGGGATAAAAGACTACACATTGGATATGGTGTACACTGCTCAGGTGATGGGTGCCCCCTTATCTTAGAAATCACTACTGAAGAACTTATCCATGTAACCAAAAACTACCTGCACCCTGAAAACTATTGAAATAAAAATGAATAAATAAAAATAAAAGAGGCCTGAGAGAGCTGCCTTGCCCTTTTGCCATGTGAGGACACATACAAGGCACCATCTGTGAGGAGTGGGTCCTCACCAGACACTGAATCTGCTAGTGCCTTGATCTTGGACTTCTCAGCCTCCAGAACTGTAAGCAATACATTTCTGTTCTTTATAAATTACCCAGTTTAAGGTATTTTGATATAGCAGCCTGAATAAACTAAGACAATTGGAGAATCTCAAATGTCAGAGTCTTTCAGTCTCTTTTTATGGGGTTAGTCAGCTTCCTTAGAGAAGCTCTTACAACTTGATATGGTTTGGGTCTGTGTCCCTGCCCAAATCTTATGTCAAACTGTAATCCCCCGTGTTGGAGGAGGGGCCTGGTGAGAGGTGACTTGATCATGGGAGCAGATTTCCCCCTTGCTTTTCTCATGATAGTGACTAAGTTCTCATGAGATCTGGTTGTTTAAAAGTGTGTAGCACCTCTCCCCTCTCTGTCTTCCACCTTCTCAAGCCATATGAAGTGTCAGCTTCCCCTTCACCTTCCACAATGAGTGAAGCTGAGCAGATGCTGCTATGCTTCCTTTACAGCCTGCAGAACCATGAGCCAATTAAGTGTCTTTTCTTTATAAACTACCCAGCATCAGTGTTTCTTTATAGTAATGCAAGAACAGATTAACACACAGCCTCATCCCTGGAGGTTAAGAGTCTCGGCAGGGGCTGTCAATTTTAGTATTTAAGCTTTGATTAATCTCCCTATTTTATTAAGTTACCCATGCCTTCACCTGTAGCTGATAACCCTAGTTCATAGGCTTCTTGTGACCTACCTCTTCACAGAATAAACAGCTGGTCTTCTGCCAGAGGTAGAGGACTTTTATTCACCTTTAGAGAATGAGAAATGATCTAAACGTCTAAGTGCCATATAAGTCCATTCTCGCACTGCTATAAAGAACTACGTGAGACTGGGTAATTTATGAAGAAAAGAGGTTTAATTGACTCATAGTTCCACAGGCTGTACAGGAGGCATGGCTGGGGAGACCTCAGGAAACTTAAAATCATGGTGGAAGGTGAAGGGGAAGCAAGCACATCTTCACATGGCCAGTGATTGAGAGAGAGAGAGAGAGCAAAGAGGGAAGTACTACACACTTTCAAACAACCAGACCTCATGAGAACTCACTCGCTATTACAAGAACAGCAAGGGGAAAGTCTGCCCCCATGATTCAATCACTTCCTACCAGGCTCCTCCTCCAACACATGGAGATTATGATTCAACATGAGATTTGGTTTTAGAAACAGAGCCAAACTATACCATTCTGCCTCTGGCCCCTCCCAAATCTCACATCCTTTTCACATTTCAAAACAAAATCATACCTTCCCAACAGTCCCCCAAAGTCTTAACTCATTCCAGCATTAACTCAAAAGTCCAAGTCTAAAGTCTCACCAGAGACAAGGCAAGTCCCTTCCATCTATGGGTCTGTAAAATCAAAGACAAGTTAGTTATTGCCAAGATACAAGGGGGGTACAGGTATTGGGTAAATGCTCTGGTTCCAAAAGGAAGAAATTGGCCAAAACAAAGGGACTACAGCCCTATGCAAGTCCAAAATACAGCAGGGCAGTCGTTAAACCTTAAAGCTTCAAAACCTCCTTTGACTCCATGTCTCACATCTGGGCCATGCTGATGCAAAGACTGAACCCTCAAGGCTTTGGGCAGCTCTTCCCCTGTGGCTTTGCAGGGTACATCCCCTGTGGCTGCTTTCATAAGCTGGCGGTGAGTGCATGCAACTTTTCCAGGTGCATGGTGCAAGGTGTTGGGTGGATCTACAATTCTGGGGTCTGGAGGACAGTGGCCCTCTTCTCAGAGCTCCAATAGGCACTGCCCCAGTGGGGACTCTGTGTGGGGGCTGCAGCCCCACATTTTCCCTCTGCACATTTTCCCTCTGTGCTGCCTTAGTAGAGGTTCTCCATGAGGGCTCTGCTCCTGCAGCAGACTTCTGCCTGGATATCAGGCATTTCGATACATCCTCTGAAATCTAGGTGGAGGCTCCCAAACCTCAACTCTCACACTCTGTGCACCTGTAGGCTTAACACCACATGGAAACTGCCAAGGCTTGGGTCTTGCACGCTCTGAAGCACCCTCTGAAGAAATGGCTTGAGCTGTACCTTGGCCACTTTTAGCCACTGCTGGAGCTAGAGTGACAGGGATGTAGCGTGCCATGTTCTGAAGCTGCACAGAACTGTGAGGCCCTAGGCCTAGACCATGAAACCATTTTTTTTTCCTTCTAGGTCTCCAGGTCTATGATGTGAGGGGCTGCTGCAAAGGTCTCTGAAATGCCTCTGAGGCATTTTTGCCATTGTCTTGGCTATTAACATTTGGTCCCTGTTTGCTTATGCAAATTTCTGCAGCTGGCTTGAGCTTGAATTCTTCCCCAGAAAATGGATTTTTCTTTTCTACCACATGGTCAGGCTGCAAATTTTCCAAACTTTTATGTTCTTCTTCTCTTTTAAATGTAAGTTCCAGTTTTAGATTATCTCTTTGCTTATGCAGATGAGCATAGGCTTTTAGAAGCAGCCAGATCACACCTTGAACACTTTGCTGCTTAGAAATTTCTTTTGCCAGATACCCTAAATCATCTTTCTCAAGTTCAAAGTTCAATAGATCCCTAAAGCAGGGGCACAATGCTGCCAGTCTCTTTGCTAAAGCATGGCAAGTGATTTTTACTCCACCACAGCCTGGACATCATTGTCCATATCACTATCAGCATTTTGGTCACAACAATTTAGCCAGTCTTTAGGAAGTTCCAAACTTTCCCTCATCTTCCTGTCTTCTTCTGAGTCCTCCAAACTGTTTAAACCTCTGCCCATTACCCAGTTCCAAAGTCACTTCCACATTTTCAGGTATCTTTAAAGCAATGCCCCACTTCTCTGGTGCCAATTTTCTGTATTAGTCCATTCTCACATTGCTCTAAAGAACTTTCTGAGACTGGGTAATTTATGAGGAAAGGAGGTTTAATAGACTCACAGTTCTGCAGACTGTACAGGAGGCATGGCTGGGGATGCCTCAGGAAACTTAAAATCATAGCAGAAGGTGAAGGGCAAGCAAGCAAATCTTCACATGGCCAGCGAGAGAGAGAGAGAGTGAAAGGGGAAGTGCTACACACTTTCAAATAACCAGGTCTCATGAGAACTCACTCACTATCATGAGAACAGCAAGGGGGAAGTCTGCCCCCATGATTCAATCACCTCCCACCAGGCTCCTTCTCCAATAGGTGGGGATTACATTTTGACATGAGATTTGGGTGGGGACACAGAACCAAACTATATCAGTGCTTCTTAAAGATAATTTTGAATTAATTCTTCTATTATTTTGCCCCATTGTCACCCCAACTATCACTGCCAATTCTTGAGCCTTTACAGGTAAAGGTTCAGTGTCCTTAGTGTAAATTCAGTGTAAATTAAGTTGCTTCTCAGCTTTTCCCATCATCTGCTTAGGTTCAGGTTTTTTGTTTGTTTGTTTGGTTGGTTGGTTTTGTTTGTTTTGTTTTGTTTCTTGGTTTCCTGAGCTACTAGCTCTTATACTTTTTTTTTTCTGTGCTTATAGGCTTATTATGTTTTAAATATATTTTTAACTGCTGCTTTAATGGGACTTTGACAGGAAATGGATGTAATAGAATATAAAATTTTTAAAACTACAATTATATGTTGTTATAACTAAAATTCAACAACTGGATAAAAGTTCATGTAAGTGAAAACACCCCAAAATAATAGTAGCTTATCTAGTGCCTATTATGCTCTAGGCACTGTGGTAAAAAATTTAGTATTCAGTTAGCTTATTTGATTCTCAAAATAGTCCTGTGAGCGAGGTACTGAAGTAGTCAGATTGTCATTAGCATGACTTTGGCATCATAACTGAAGGACCAGATGAAGGTATGGGAGATATGCAGCATCTGACCAAAGGAGTTGTGCCCTGTCAGATAAGACAGATAAAATAAAATTTAAACAATAAAAATCAAAGCAGGATTCAAAGAGACAGTAAAGAGATTATTGAAAGAAATTGTACTCAAAGAGTGTAGATAAATGTAGATGAAATAATTAGGTAATAGTGTACCTTGCCTCAGAAGACATCAGTAAAACCAACTTCACTTGAATAGTAATGACTTTCAATCCTCTATTACTGCAACAACACAAAAATTAATCCATGTATCTATCAGTGGGTGGAGAGAACTTTCCTAGGTATACAAAGCCCCCAGGTTTCTTTTACTGGTCTTGAATCTGTAGTCATTACGTTTCTTTTACTTGCTTCATTTCTCTTGGGACAATTGCTACAATTCACTGGGAACATGAAGCTAAGAGTCTTTTAACTCCAGGAAGGTTTAAAATTGAAGTTAGAGGAGATAAAGTAAATGAAATCCACAGTATTATTACCTTCATGTTAGGTTTAAGAAAATTGAAATAATCTTTGTGTGTTTATTGTTTAAGATAATTTAAAATGTATTATATTTATAAACTTCACTCATTAAATTTATAATAATTGAGTTTATGGAAACTCAATTCTTTCAATTTTGGCTAAAAGGTAGATATTTGAAGAGCCTATAAAGGAGATTGAATATATTAAATTTATATAGAGTTTAGGTACCAATTATTTGAATAAGTTTTACCTGTTCAACTTGAGTTGATCAAACATTAATCAAAGGCCATATTGAAAGTGACTGTTGAAATTTGCTATATTTAGATATAGAATTGTAATAATTTTAAATTAAATTCAAGGACTAAAGAAGACTAGGGTTGTGAATATATATCTTAAATAAATTAAATGTTAAGTTAAAATCTCATGTAGCAAAAGTAGTCTTTTCTGAACTTGGGAAGTTGACTTTATATGAAAAACAAACAAACAAACAACAACAATAAAAAAAAACAAAAACAAAACCCTCACTTTGACCCAGAGAAGAAAATCCAGACACAAAGAAGTTAATAGACACTTTAACCAATGAAATTATATCACATCTAAATATACTTCTTGGACATATATACTTTAAAAAATACCTCTTGAGATGGGAACAATTTAGTGTATCAGTGCAATTTGGTAAATCTCAATTGTGAAAAGAACAGTACAAGCAGTCCCAGGGTGACTTTGTGTTTATCTTAAATTGAACTTTAGATGCTCTTTAGGGGTGGCATTTAACCATGGGTAGTTATTGTTGGAAATTAGCTTATTATTGAAATAAGAAGCAACATCTGTAAAGTGTAAGGATAGCACTTGGGGGAACATGGCTCAACTAAAAATTCAGTGCAGGTTAATGCAAGTGGGGACAGAAGGACAATTAGAATATTTATTAATTGTTTCTATTTATGCTACTATCCCCAAATCTCAATATTTAAGTAAAAGCCTCCTCTTTGATTACAGCAGCAATAAATGAAAGTGCGTTTGCAATTCCCAACTAGGTTTAAATTTATAAGTCTTGAATCTTACACCAGGGAGCCTGAGTCAACAGCCCTGTTTATGAATTAAAAATACTTAGGAGAGAGCCTGGTTAGGAAAAGAAAATGGGCTTCCAGTTCCTGCAGATCTAGGTTCCAGAACTGCCTTTTTTTTTTTTTCTTAAAGCTGTGTGACCCTGAGTGAGATATGAACCTCTCTGGCACTCAGGATTTGTGAAATGAGGATAATGGTGTCTATCCCTTAGAACCACAAGGCTGGAGATGATCCACTAAATCATCTAACCCAGGGCCTGGAAGGGACACTGAAAATGATAGCTATTGTTAGGCTGGTGTAAAAGTAATTGCGGTTTTTGCTATTGTCTTCAAGAATAAGGACTTCAGCTAAGGTAATTAGACAACCAGAAGAAAATACAAAACTAAAACAATGCATTTATTGTATAATTTTCTTTCCAGTATTGGATATTTGTTTGTTGCAAAATGCCTTATTAATGTGGAAAATAACTGTCTTTTATTTGAGATGCATATTTGGCGGGAAGGTCAGTTACCAAGAAATTAAATAAAATGGAAAAACTTCAGATTGGCATTTTGCATAATGGGAGTCAGATTCTGACAGACACAGGAAAAGATTTTCTCCCATGATAATTTCTTTAGTACAAAATGTTTTTATTTGAATAACATCCTTGATAAAAATCCCTGAAGGCTTCATCTCTGTCTCAGATGGGTGACCAAGCTTTTGTTGTTGTTGTTGTTGAGAGTAATTGGTTTTGGGTTTCTTTGTTTTCTTTTGTTTTGGTTTGGTCTTTCTTTGAGGATATCTGTCCACTCTTGCATTTCAGCCCTTACAGCCAGGTTATCGTTGAAAAATAAGGTAGGTCCTCCAGGTCCTCACTTAAAATCATGGATAGGATCTTGGAAACTGTGACTTTAAGTGAAATGACGTATGCTGAAACCAATTTTCCCATGGACTGATATAAACATGAGTGAAGTTCCTATGGTATATTTCTGGTCACAAAAACATCACCAAAATTCTAAATAAAGATGAAAACACTGCTAATATTAAACATTTAAATAAATGTGAGCTATACATACATTTCAGAAAGATTAATAAAACAAGTAAAATCACTACTTACTCCAATATTCTAGTTTACTGTTGTGAGTGGTTGGAGCCTGTTGCAGAAGCTTAGAATGCAAGGCAGGAACCACCCCTGGCCAGGATGCCTTTCCATCTTAATCATACCCATCCACACTCACTCATACTGGGACTGAACAGGCACACCAATTCACCTAATGTGCACAGCTTTGGGATGAGGGAGCAGGCCACAGTACAAAGAGAAAACCCAAGCAGACATGGGGAGAATGTGCAAACTCCACAGAGACTTTGGCTACAGCTGGAAATTTATTTATGTTTTCTCATCAATGTTACAAATAAACAACATTGAGCAAACGACCTTATTCAAGGATCTGCTGTAATGTGTTGGCTTTATGGTATTACTTTGAAAGGTTTTGCAATAGTGCAACATGTGGATAATATCATTGAGAAGTATAATTATAAGGGAAATGCCTTACTGTGTTGCTGCAGAGGCTAGCAAGTCATGTTAGGGCAGGAAAGAAGCAGAGACATGTGTGTAAGCATGTGGCACCTCTCTTGATCTCACTGTTAGCTCACCAGTTATTTCCTCTGCCTACCCCACACTTCCTTGACTTTAGGATGGGCATGATATTATTTCTCCAGCAACCTCTAAAGACAAAATAACTAAAGAGAGTCAACTGATTAATGAGACAATATTTTCTTAAAAGCCTTTGAAATCTTTAAATAAATGATACTATTAGGTTGGTGCAAAAGCAATTGCATTTTTGGCCATTACTTTCAATGGCAAAGACCGGAATTATTTTTGCACCAATCTAATATATAGCTGTCTATATACTATGGCATGTGTGTGTGTAAGTGTGTGTGTGTATTTATAGTATTGTTATCACTGATTAGTGAAAAAGAAATCTACTCAGCCCATTAACTTTCAAAAGGAACAAATATACATGTGGGTGAGGGTGTAGGATCCAATAAGTCAGTCTGTGAGTGTAGACCTGCATTCATTCCATTGTAACTGACCACATGCTATGTTTCAGACACTTTCCTTCATTCATTCAATTGTAACTGACCACATGCTGTTTCAGACACATTTCTTCATTCATTCCATTGTAACTGACCACATGCTACATTTCAGACATGTTCCTTCATTCATTCAAGTGTAACTGACCACATGCTATGTTTCAGACACATTCCTTCATTCATTCAAGTGTAACTGACCACATGCTATGTTTCAGACACTTTGCTAACCATTTTGGTTACAAAAACAATAAGACACAAGTACTAGCCTTGGTTCCTGGAGGAATTTACAATCTAGGGGAGAAAACAGGTATATAACTAAAGCAATTGTATACAATGTGGCGTATGCAATGATAAAAGTGGTGTGAAACAGTTGCCAGGAGGATTTGACACCTGAACTGAGTAATAAAGAATGAATAGAGGTTGACTGAGCAGAGAGGGGTGAAGAGGCCATTCAGGTCCAACAAGAACAAAGAGAGGCACAGAGTAAGGGAAGGCATGGTATAGATGCAGGAAGCATCAAGCAATTTGTGTCACTGGAGAGTAGGGCAGAAAGCCAGGAGTGGTCAAAAATGGGGATGGTGGTATTGTCTCCCCTTTTAAGAAATATGAATTTTATCTTGGAAATACTAGGGAGTTTTTTTTTTTGTATGAAGATGCCTGTTATAGCATTCTTTGTAAGAACAAAATATGAAGAATAATCTGCCTATTGGTAAGAAATATGTAATCCGTGTAAAATTCAGAGTATTAAATATCAGGCAACCACGGAAAAAACAAAGTACCTTCATAAGGAAGGAAATGAAAAGATCTCTAAGAATACATTGTTAAGTGGGAACAAAAATGAAAGAGCAATGCTATGGTTTGAATATGTCCCCAAAATGCTTATGTGTTGGAAACAGTCCCCAGTGCAACATTGTTGGGAGGTAGGGCCTAAAAAGAGATGATTGTTTCATGAGGGCAGAGCCCTCACAATTTGATTGATGTCATTATCACCACAGCAGGTGAGTCATGTTTGGAGTGGATTGTAATAAAATGGGTGCAGCCTCTGGTGCTTTTCTCTTGTGCTCTCTCACCATGTTATGCCTTCTGCAAGGGGTGATCCTCACCAGGTGCTGCTGCCGTGCTCTTGAAATTGCCAGCCTCTAGGACTGTAAAAAATAAGTTTATTTTCTTTAGTAGTTTTTTTTTTTCTTGAGACTGTAACAGTGTATGGTATTCTATTATACCAACAGGAAATGAACTAGGACAACCAACTTGTATGATATGATCTTATTTGTGTAGGAAAACAACAACATAGGGTTCTTTCTCTCTACTTTGTTTATCTCTGTTTCTCTGTGCATGTCAACTTTATTCTTTCTTCCTTTTATGCTGACTGGCTGCCTCAGCTTCTCCACTCATCAGGGTAAGAAGTCTGGCCACCAAGCTTATGAAATTTTGTGTCTGACATATCTATCCATGGAGAGAAGTCAACTGGATTCTTTAAGCTCAAGTTCCAACACCACAGGAAAGAAGTCTCAATATAAACCACGTAACTGTGGCCCAAAAAGAGACCAGAGAAGAAAATGACAGCTTCTAGGGGGCACTTTATGGAGTTTAAAGAGGTCCAATTCTTAGAAGGAAGGAAAAGGGAGGAGGTATTGGATAGAAAGGGGACAAAATGACAGAGGCTTCTTTTTATTACTGTATATGCCCTTGTATTATTTGACTTTCTATGGACAGCATGTATTATTGTGTAATATTTTTAATGGAAAAGTTAAGGACAAAAAGAACTATTGTTGGCTCTGTATTTCAAGTGCATCACTCTCAAGTCTATATAGAGAAAGCATTTGGAGAAAACAAAAGTGGTAGAAGGCAGACAAATGAAGCATTTTCCTCCAGCCTAAGAGAGCGATGAAGGAGGCTGATATTACCACCACACTGGCAAAGATAGAGAGGAAGGGGAATTCTGAGAAACACTCAGAGGTAAAACTGATAGATCATGGAGCTTGATGTAGACAGGAGGTAAGAGAGAGAGAAGCCAAGGATGATACCAAAGTGACATCAAGGTTCTGGCTGGGATGGTTGTGTCAGTGATGATGGAGAAAGGAGAAGAAGGAAAGGTACATGTTTATTTTTTGGACATATTGAGGTTGAGACATCTGCGACTTCTAAGTAGAGTGTAAACTGGTGTCCCAGACGACAATTTAAGGGTGAGGAATGGGTTAGAGAATAACATATGTTTAATGGAATCGGAGCATCCTCATGTACCCAAACTGAATGTGCATGCCTCCCAGAAACACTCAGGCACTTGGCTGCTGAAAAGGGAAGTCATCTTCCTTTTTATTTCATATCTAGTAGGCTTGTCTAGGAGAAGGGTAAAACCCTAATAGTCCTTCCTTTTGGTTATTACAGTTAGTACCTAAAACTAATCAGCTCAGGGCCATCCTAGGTCCAAGAGCTGGTTTGAGTGTGAAGCAGCCCCAAGCTGGAACACTGTCATTGTGCTGCCAAGGATCATGCATGGTGAGCCCTCACATAGGCACTAGTCCAGGCTTTGTGGGCAGCGCCCAACCCAGGGAGGCCTGAGCCCTTGAGTTCCTCTTCTCTCCGTGGAACACAGCACATTAGGAACTGAATGAGTACTTACCTTTCCTAGAACCACCCCTGGAAACAACTATCTGGGGTCACGTTTCCTGGAAACAGACAGAGATTTCTGTGCAGGAATTTTATTAGGGCATCGTTGCATAATAATAAAGAATTTTTCTGGTTTTTGTTCAGGATTCCTCACATAGAGCTTCAAAAACGTGCAATATCCTGAGTGATAGAAGTGTCTTTGTTTAGCTAATGAGATGACTCAAGATGGACACCTAATAGCTTTAGAATGGGAGCCTTATAGCTTCAGGATGAGGGCTGGTCATCAGAAAGGCTAACCACCTGATTCGATGATTGGAATTTTGCACTAGCTCAAACTTCAGGGAGAAGAAGGGGACTAGAAATTGAGTTTAATCACGTGCTCAACCGATCATGCCTACATAACGAAACTCCCACCAAAAACTCTGGTCTCAAAGCTCTCAGTGGAGCTTTTGGTTGTTGGTTATACATCCATGTGCTTGGAGGATGGGGCACCCTGATTTCATGCAAAGAGGGCACAGGAGCTCTGTGTTCCCTCTCATACCTCACTCAATGCATCTCTTCATTTGACTGGTCATCCCTGTGTATCCTTTATGATAAAACTATAATAATAAGTACAGTGAGTCTCTGAGTTCTGTGAGTCATCCTAGTATACTATATATCAAGCCTGAGGGGGGTTGCGGGAACCCGCAAATTTGTAACGAGTTGGTCAGAAGTGCAGGTGGTGTGAAAACTTGCAGCTGGCATCTGAGGAGAGTCTTAGGAGGACTTTGCCTTTAACTTGTTGGGGTCTGAGCTCACTCCAGGTGGTTAGTGCCAGAATTAAATTGTATACCATCCAGTTGGTGTTAGGGAGTTGGAGTCTTAAGAGAGTAGCCATACTCTACACCATACTTGTAAGAGAATGAGAGAAGCAGCATTTGGTATACAGGGAAGTTGAATTGCAGTGCTATAGCAAGAGGGACCTCAGCTGATCCCATAAGGAGCTTTGAAACTTGAATGGTCCTTTAGAGACATCCTGAAGTGAGGCAAGAGGACTGGCCTTTTGTACTCCCACATTGACTTCCCAGAGAGAGGACATAACTTTGGCACAGGACATTTCCTCAGGAGGAACTCAGCTATAAGTCATTAGCATTCCATATTCCTGGCAGCTGAGGAAATAAGTGACTTGACCCTGAAGGAGGTTTTGGGGAGGTACACTACAGCATCCACTACAGTGGCCTATGTAGTGTATATGCAGCATCATATATAAGTGTCCTATGTATGGTGAATTCATGCTTGGATTATTAAGCATCTAGGCACATATAGCTGATTCCCAAGGTCTGAAATAAGCCAGCACTTAAACTTGCTCTCCTTATTAAAGGAGAAATTATCTCCAGAAACAATGTGTATGATTGTTGTGATTTTTTTTTCATTTGCAAGCCAGCCACAATTGTGTGTCATTAAGACTCATCAAGTTATTATTGTTGGGGCACAGGAGAAGGTTGTAATAGCAGGTAGAAGTATGTGCAGGGACTTTATGTAAGGTGGGACTTTTCAAAATGAAGTCTAGAGGTAAAATGCATTGCCATTTTCAGTTTCCATCCTCATTATTTTATACATAGATCATATCTTTCTGTTCCAATCTCATTTATTTTCCACAGTGTTTAAATTCTGAGTAATTATTTTATTTTATCCACTCTGATAATCTTTGTCTTATAACTGGAGTGTTTATTCATTTACACCTATTGATCTACTTAGGTTTATATCTGTGTTTGATATAATATTCTTCCTTCTTGTTATATTTTATTTTTCATCCTTTCTTGTTTGATTCTCTTTTCATCATACTAATTCCCCCCTCCCCCCACCCAGCTGGGAAGGTATATACTCTGGTTCTGTCCTTACAGAACTCTAACTTTGCTGACTCCAGGGGTCCACTCTTGGACCCTTAGCCTGTGTTTTAATTTAATTTTTCTTTCGTGGACCTTAGCTATACAAAATTGGATTAAACCATAATCTCTGGTTCATGGCATACTCTCAATATTGCTCTGTTCATTACCCTCTTATTTGGTTAGTTGGTTTTAATAATCTAAAAAGCCCCTGCAAACTCATTTCCTAAGACACACACCAGGATCTTAACCATAATTTCATTTAAGCCCATTAGTTTTCCCCATCCCATCTTCCTGTCTCCCCCACCCAGGTAGCCATCATCCTGAATCCCAGGTTTATCATTCCAAAACTTTTCTTTTTATGTAGTTGTAGTGCTTCTATTTGTATTCCTAAGATATATATATATATATAAAATTCCAGTTGCTTTTAGCTGCATATGATGTCATTCTGCATATAACCTTTTGAGACAACTTTCCAATTGGCTGCATATGATCATTTTTTTAACTGCTGCATAGTATACCTGCATAAACCACAGTTTAGTAATCTGTTCTCCTATTGATAGCATTTGGAATTATTTCCATGTTTTTGCTAAATCATACTGTTACGAACATTGTTTATATATGTCTCCTGTACATGTGCAAGAATTTGTCTTCAGTACAAACCTAGGATGAATTGTTGGACTATAAACAGGTTAACATTCAACTTAGAAGACAATGCCAACCCACCTTCCAGTTTATAGACCCATAAGCACCATAAAAGAAAGCCTCTGGATTCACATACCTTCCAACACTTGGTATTGTTCATTTTCTAATTTTTGATGATTGAATGGGGAGAAAATATAATCTCACTGTGGTCTTGAGTCTCATTTCCCTGATCTCTAATGATGTTGAATAGCTTCTTATATCTTTATTGGCTACAGTTCTTCTGAGAAATGTATTTATGTCTCTTGTTTACATTTCATTCCTTCCTATATCTTAGATCTTCCAATTATGATCACTTTCTGTCTGAACTTCCTCTTTTAGTATTTCCTTTAGAGAGATACTGCTGGTAGCAAACTGTTTCCACTATGTTTTTAGAAATGTCTTCATTTTGCTCTCATCCTTAAAAGATAATTCTACCATGTATACAATTCTAGGTTGGCAGTTACTGTCTTTTAGTGCACTGAAGATATTATTCCATTGTTTACTGACTTCATTTATTGCAGTTAACAAGTTTGCTGTTAGTTTAATTATTGCTCCTTCAAGAACAATAAATTTTATTTCATTTGATATTTTTTCTTCACCTTTGCTCTTGTGCACTTTTACTATGACATTTCTAAGTGTGATTGGTTTTATTTTGTTTTTCGTTTTTATCTAACTTGCTTGGAGAGTCTTTGGAATTCTTGATTCTGTAGTTTGTTCTCTTGCATTGGTCATGGAAATGCATGAAAATTTACCACCACCTCTTCAAATATGGTCTTGACCTTCATTCTTTCTCTTGTTCTGGAACTCTGATCGTATATAGATGAAGCTCTTTCATTCTATCCTTCATACCCACTCTTCTATCCTTCACTCTTCCATATATTTTTACATCTTTTTGTCTTTCTGGCCTGCATTCTGGATAATTTTCTTCTCCTCTGTCTTCCAGTTTGGTAATTTTCTCTTCAGCTGAATCTAATCTGCTCTTAATTCTATCCATTAAACTTTCTATCTCAATTATTACATTTTCATGTCTAAGAGTTCTATTTGGTTAATTTTTAAGGCTTCTTGGCTAGTATTTATAGTTTTTGTTACCTGCAGATATGTATAAGTTTGTCTTTTACTTTCTAAATATACCAAGCATAATTTTTCTCTATAGTGTCTAATAGTTAAAACATCTAAAGACCTTGATAGTCTATTAGTGTAATTAGTTATATGTATAATTTCTTGACTCCTGGTATACATGGTAATCTTTCTCTTTGAAATGCTCATTTTCCTTGGAAAATTATAAGAATTATTTGAAGCCTAAGATGAAGGTGAATTTTTTCAGAAACAAAATAGGTAAAGTTAATATTTGAAAATCAATAGCCTTTATAAACAAACAAAGCAGTGTGAAGATAGGGCTATCAGATTGCCAATAGGTGATAATGGGAGAGAAGTTAATCATTTATGATAGTAACAAGAACCAAAAAAGGAAAAAATACTTAAGGGGTAAACTTAATAAGAATTATGTAGGCACTATAGGAAGAAACATTTTTAAATGCTTTTGAGAGGAAATAAAGAAGACTGGAACAACAAAAACACATGTGTGTTGAGTAGGAAGATTTAGTGTCATAGAGGTAGCACCCAAAGTCAGTAGGGAAGAGATGAATTATTCAATACATGGTGTTGAGACAATTAGATAGGCATTTGGGGAAAAAAATAAGTTGACTACATGCCTCACACTTTGGACTAAAATAAATTCTATATAAATGAAAGCCTTAAAGTAACAAATGAAATCATAAAATACTGTAAAATACTAATTGATTTTTTTCTTCAGAGTGGAGAATTTATTATAAAAATGATATGAAAACCTGACACTGGTGAATTTGAGTACATAAAAACAAAGAGTTTTCTGCCTGGAAAAATTATTTTAAATAAAGTAGGAAGACAAATGATTAAGTGGCAAAAAATATTTGCAACTCATACGAGTCAGAGGAATAATTTCTTGCATACAGAAAAGCTCTCATATATCAATATAGGAGCTAAATTAAAAAGAAAATGAACAGAAGGATTTAAATACATAGTTCTCAGAAAAGGAAATACAGATGACACCTGAACATAAGAATGAGTGATCAGTTTCATTCATAAAAAAGACAATAAAAATAAAACCACACTGAAAAAACACTTTTACCTTACTAGGTGGAAAAAAATTAAAAATTGGAAGGGTTAGTAAGAGTAGAATAAATAGGCAAACCATGGATTGCTGGTGGGAGTGCAAATTAGTACATCTTTGTGTGGCAGTTTAGCAATATCAATCAAAATATAAACAACCTCACTTTTTGATCTAGAGATTCTGACACTAGGAATTTATCCCATAGATAAACTCACACATATATGAAATTATGTATATACAGTTTTATTCATTGTACCCTTGTTAATTACAGAAAAATATTGGAAGGAACCTAAGTGCCCATCAATAGGGAACTCTTTAAATACATGACAGTACATGCATGCAACAGAATACTTGCTGCTAGAAAAAAGTAAAGAATAAGAAAAATATGCCAGGCATGGTGGCTCAAGCCTGTAATCCTAGCACTTTGGGAGGCCGAGGCAGGAGGATCACCTGAGGTCAGGAGTTCAAGACAAGCCTGGCAAACATGGTGAAACCCCATCTCTACTAAAAATACAAAATTAGCCAGGCATGGTGATGCAAGCCTGTAATTCCAGCTATTCAGGAGGCTGAGGCAAGAGAATCGTTTGAATCTGGAAGGTGGAGGTTGCAGTGAGCCGAGACTGCACCATTGCACTCCAGCTTGGGTGACAGAGAAATACTCAATCTCAAAAAAAGAAAAAATTATGTATTGATGTATAAAAATGTTTAAGATTATTACATAAGAAAAACAAGATGCAGAGTAGGATGTAGAGTGTGAATACATTTGTGTCAAAAACTGGAAACAGAATATGTATGCATATTTGCTTATATGTACACATATTTCTGGAAGAAGAAATATGGAATGTCTCTGGAAGAAAACAAGAAACTGATGTTGGAGGGAATCTGCATATGTGAGGGACAGGGTTATGGAGGGGAGATTTGTTACTCTCTCTTTTTTGAATATATTAAATTTTGACCATGACTATGTGACTATTTTACTTCTAAAAATATGTTAACTTAAAACAAAAATCCTTCCTATGGCTTTGAGAGAGTTAAAAATATTTCCTAAGGTGACAGAAAAGATTTCTGGCCACCATTACTGTGTTGTGATTTTTCAAGTGGGAGAAGGTAGGGTAAAATGTGGCCTATCTCAAAATCTAAAATTAAACATCAGCTGATTGAAATCCAATTCGGAGAAATGTTCTGATATTTCTATGGCTACCATCTGTTGGCATGGGCCTCCAAGCCTAGGAGAAAACTAACCCTTCAGGAAGCTTTTAGAGAGAGAGTTCCTGTAGCGGGGATGGTAACAAGTTGAGCAGGTAGGACTAGGGAGAGAATATTTTGTTGAGAATCTTGGTTTCCCAAGCTGACTCAGTCCTTGACTGTGGTGATACCATATTGCCAATTTGGTTTCTTACCTGCCTTGCCATAGAATGTTGCTTAAAAGCCTCTCAAGTATATTAGGAGAGCATTAACTCATCAAAGAGAATCTTCATAGGAAGAAAGTTTAGAGGATGAGATGAAGTCCTGTCTTCAGTTTTCCTATTGTGGTAGCTAGCTTTCAAACAATGGCCCCCACAAACTGCACTTCCCAGTATTCACACCTCACTGCAGTTCCTCCCACATGGGATCTGAGCTGAGCCTGTGACTCACTCGAAACTATAGAACTTGGCAGAAGTGACAATGTGCTGGGCCTTAACGATGCCTGGCAGCTTCCTTCCTTGCATTTTTGGAGTTATGCTGTCAAGCAAGATGTTTGGCTATCCTGCTGGAGAGACCACACAAACAGACCACCTGGAGAGGCCTTGTGGAAAGGAGAAGCCCTGAAGCTATGTGGAGAGTGAGAGAACCAACCAGCTGCAGCTGCCATCTGCCTGAAACTGCATGAGAGACCTCGAGAGAGACCAGAAGAACCGCCCAGCTCAACAGTCCACCCGCAGAACATGAAAAACCATCAAATTAAAGCCCCTAAGGTTTGAGGTGGTTGTCATGACATGATAGATAGTAAAACACCCACTTTTTTTTTTTTTTTTTTTGAGAGAGAGTCTCACTCTGTTGCCAGGCTGGAGTGCAGTGCCACGATCTCTGCTCACTGCAACCTCCACCTCCTGGGCTCAAACTATTCTCTTGCCTCAGCTTCCCAAGTAGCTGGGACTACAGGTGCCCACCACCATGCCCAGCTAATTTTTGTATTTTTGGTAGAGATGGGGTTTCACCATGTTGGCCAGGATGGTCTTAATCTCTTTACCTCATGACCCGCCTGCCTCAGCCTCCCAAAGTGCTGGGATTACAGGCGTGAACCACTGCGCCCGGCCATAAAACACCCACTTTTACAGAAGCATAACCAGAAATGAGAAAACACTCTTTCTGATGTAGGCATTTGCTGATAGGGTCACAGAAGCCTTCAGAAGCCCCCTTCTATCTGTCCTGCAACTTGCCCAACCAATCCTAAACACAGGGCAGGCTAGCAAACAGCTTGGGAAGAAAAAATGCAGACAAATCTGATATGATTTTTAAAGGGAAGGCAAATGAAATGCCAAGTAGGAAATTGAATCTACATGTCAAAAAAAAAAAAAAAAAAGAAAGAAATGAGAAAAACATAAAAGCCCTGTGATTGGGAGAACAGATTGAGGGAGGAAGTTGAATTGTGTCTCATCTCTGTCAGTTACTGGCTGTGTGACCTTAGGAAAGTGATTTAATGTCTCTGAACTTTAATTTTCCTTTTGGTAAAATGAGGCAAGTGTACATACCTGCAAGTTTACTATCAGGGCTGAATGAGATAATATATATATGTAAGTTGTAAGCAAGGACCCTAGTATATAGTAGAAACTTAATTATTATAAAAACAATAACCACTGTTTTATACTTGAGAGAAAACAGCAAGTCATTGAAAGGTGGGCGTAGTATAGTACCATTTATGTAAAAGCAGTAAATGCATATAACAACATCATTAATTTTAATTTTTTAGGCATACATAAGTACGTAGTAAAAGTATAAAAGCATTCATGGGAATGTTACATGCTGACCAGTTATTGATGGAGTGGAAAGGAGAATGGTATATTATTAATAACTGCACCTGTGATTCTACAGTGTTTTATTTCTGAAAATAAAACAACAAAAATGATATTTGCAGTGAACAAGACAAAATGTTAACATCTGTTAAATATGGATATGTGGGTGTCATACAGTATTCTGTACTTTTATTTGTTTGAAGTATCTTACAATTTAAAAATCTTAAAAAGTAAAATAATTTTGCAGTCATCTTGAATGGCTGCACAATATCCCATTTTACATGTATTTATGTGTGCATATAACTATATATTGCATAGGATTTATATTATACTTTATTTGATATATTTTCTATATTTCCTATCTGCAATCTGCATAGTAGATAGATCATTTTATAGTAGAAGAAATAGAAGCTCAGAATGGTCTGGTGTCTTGTCCCAAATTTCAGCTAACATAGCCTCTCTACTATCGTAGTGCTGTAAAAATTGCTCTCCCATGAGGGGTAGATAAGAGACTGTTACTGAAAGGAGGAGAGTCCATGAGGGCAGGAGCCTGACCTTGGAGTCAAGAGGCCTGGGTTCCTCTCTCAGTTTTGCCAAACACTAGCTGTGTGACGGTAGGGAGGCTACTTGATCTCTCTGAGCTTCCATTTCCTTATCTGCCCTCTAGGTGTTCTTATATCTGCTCTCTATGTCTCTTAACATTTTGAAGATTAAATGAGATCATGTAAGTAGAGTGCCTGACACTTCTTATACACTCAGTAATTGACAACTGGTGTGTACTTTCTAAGGTAAGACACTTTGTGTGCAAATAACACAGTAATTATAATGCAAAAGACACATATCACCTCCAAGATTTTGTCTTGAGAAGATGTCTAAACCTTTGAAGGGTAAGAGAATTGGCCCTGAGGTAGGCCAACCACCCCCTACGTGGTTATATACATGCATTTATTTTCTTCTTCAGAGCTAACCTCACCTCTAAACTCAGACACGCTTATCCAGCTGTCTATCTGACATCTCAGTTTATGACTCACAGCCATCTAACATCAATATGAGTTCCTGATTTTCCCTGTATACCAATTTTCAAAGCCGGTGTTTCTGCACATCTTCCCCACCTTGGAAAATTGCACCAGCTGGCTGTGCATCTAGAAGCCCAGAAGTCATTCTTAATTTTTTCTTTCCTTTAAGCTCACATCTAACCCAAAGCAGACTTTGTCAATTCTATTTCCAAAATATATCTCACATCCATCCACTTCACTCCATCTTTATCCAGAACACTATTATTGCTTGTTAGACAACTGGTACAGCATGTACATGGTTTACCCATTTCCAACTTGACTCAGCAGCCATCAAGAGTCTCTTTGTTAAATATAAATTGAATCAGAGCACTCATTTGCTTTGAACTCTTCAGTGGCTCCCCATTTCCTTTAGAATGAACTCCAAGGTCCTGCATGATCTTCTTCCGGCCTGTCAATTCAACCACATGTCATGACACCCTCTCTAAGTTCTAGGAACACTCTCTTCTGTTTCCTTTCATCCTTTAAACTGGCCAAGTCTCCCTTCTACCCAAGGCCGTGTGCATGATATTCACGCTGCCTGGAATTCTCCTGTGCATCATCTGGCTCTTTAACAGTGAGCTTGTTTCAACTCAAAGCTACCTCTGAGAGAGGCCTTCCCAGCCTCTCCATCTAAAGCAGTACCTCCCAACTTCTCTCCCCACTCTGTTCTCTCAACACACAATCTGAGCTACTTGGCTGCTGCCTTCACAGCACATATCATAATTTGCAACTTTAAAAATTTCTTGTCTATTTGTACATTGTCTATCTTCTTTACTAGAATAACATTTGATAGCAGTAAAGATTATTTTCACCTAGTTCCCAGTTATAGCGTCAGGATCAAGCTAAGTAGTGGATGCTCAGTAAATACTGAATTAATGAAAAAAATGAGGATTTACAAAAATGTTCAAATTGTACTTGTGAATCACAAGCTTGGAGTCAATGTTTTTCCAACCCTGTGAGCTTCAGTTGTTGAACTGTGTGATTTCGTGAGAGTGGCTCATCTGTCCCGGACATGTGGGATGGTGGAATTGACTTCTATAGATGTGCTCCTAGTCATTCGTGTACTTGTTAGAATTTTCCTACCTCCCAACTCTTTTTAAATACATGTGGGCAGCTTGCTTTATAAAAGAATATTCTATTATGAATTTTTTTTCTAAATGGGATGATTCATTCCCTAATTTCTTTTGGACTAGTCTAAAGACAGATATATTGCATAATTTTTATTAGAAAAACTTTAAAATTAGTTTAACTTGGAATATTTGGAGATTCCCCAGGGGTTGAGACTTGATGCCTTGGGCAATATATTTTTGCCTTGTTTAGCAGGGCCCAACAGGGTTTGGCAGGGCTTTACCATCCAGTTCCAAGCACACATGACTATACTAGTCCAAGAATAACATTAGGTTCTCCCCTATAGATGTATCTCTCTGATACCTGGAATACCACAAAAGGCAGAAAGGCCATAGCACAAATGAAAAATAAGTATTTGTGATAATATAAGAAGTGCTACTGATCACTCATGGTTCAGTGCCACGACTCACTCTGGACCCTCTGAAGGAATCCACTAACTCACCCTTGCACCCCCTGCACCCCTGCTAGCTCTCAAATGAAATGTCAGGGCCATATGATAGCAGCATCTGAGGCTAACCCTTCATGATACCACCTCCCTCTGCCCTAATGATGCTCAGCCTCATCTCCCTCTCTCCCTCCAATCTCTAGGCGCCTACTGGACTCTGATGCCTGACTCTGGCTTCCACCAGGTTTCATGCAGGACCTGGTTCTCCAATTAGCATTTTGGGCTTTGCCCTCCTAAGCAGCTTCTACCTTTGCTCATTCCGAGTCCTGGCATCCCCCACTGATAGAGATAAATAGTGACCACTCCAGCTTGTACCATCCATTCCACTCTTCCACACTCTGGAAGCCCACCTGGGACTCCAGTAAAACAGCCTCCCCCATTCTATAGAGAGTGAGGAATTAGAAAGATTTATCAGAATCTTTCTTAATATGGGGAAAAGATAAAAAGGGCATGCAATTTCTAAGTGCTTCAGGACTGACCAGAAAAGAAAGGAAAGCATACCTTAGTATTGGTGGGCAAAACTTCTTATTTAACTATAACTATGCATGTCTCAGACTCATCAAGTTTTCCTCCAGCTACTGAAGGGCCTTTCTAATCCAGCAGGAGAGAGGAATGGCAACATCAATGCCACCAAAAGCCAAACAGCGTGGCACAGCCAAATCATCATTTCAGTCATTCAACAGGCATTTATTGAATAACAGCGTGGTGCCAGGCACTGTGTTGGTTTCAACCATGTTAGAACACAGTCTCTGCCCTTAAAGAGCTCAAAATCTGGAGAGGGTCAACTGCAAGAAAGCAAACAATGGCATTACAATGATAGCTATTAGGAGAGAGATTTCTACGAAGAGTTACTGTAACATGAAAAAAGGAGTTGTTCGCTTTGCCTGGGGTAGGGCAGTGGGGATCAGGGAGGACTTCAGAGAGCAAATGATATCTGAGCTGAATCTGAAAGAATGAGCAGGAGTCTTTCAGGAAGAAGAAAGCTGAGCAAATAGCATTACTGAGGCATGGAAGCTGGAAGGTACCAGTGGGCTTATGGGAAAGCGAGTGGTTCAGTGTTGCCCTAGCCACCAGGAAAGGAGGTTGTAGAAATAGAAGCTAAAGGATTTATGGCTAGACCACAAAAGCACAGGCAACAAAACCAAAACAAAATAAGGACTATGTTAAAATAAAAGGCTTCTGCACAGCAAATGAAACAATCAACAGAGTGGAATCTGCAGAATGTGAGAAAATGCTGGCAAACTATTCATCTGACAAGGGACTAATATCCAGAATATGCAAGGAATTCAAACAACTCAACAGTTAAAAAAAATCCCATTAAAAAGTGGGCAAAAGATATGAATAGATAGTTCTCAAAAGAAGACATACAAATGGCCAATAGGTATATGAAAACATGCTCAGCTGGGCACGATGGCTCATGCCTGTGCTCAGCTGGGCACTTTGGGAGGCCGAGGCAGGCAGATCACAAGGTCAGGAGATCGAGACCATCTTGGCTAACACGGTGAAACCCCGTTTCTACTAAAAATGCAAAAAATTTACCGGGCGTGGCGGCGGGCGCCTATAGTCCCAGCTACTCAGGAGGCTGAGGCAGGAGAATGGTGTGAACCCAGGCGGCGGAGTTTGCAGTGAGCCGAGATCGTGCCACTGCACTCCAGCCTGGGCAACAGAGCGAGACTCCATCTCAAAAAAAAAAAAAAAAAAGAAAAGAAAAGAAAAAATGCTCAACATCACTAATCACCAGGAAAATGAAATCAAAAACACAGTGACATATTGTCTTATCCCAGTTAGAAGGGCTATAAATAAAAAGACAGAAAATAACAGATGTTAGCAAGGATGTAGAGAAAACTTTTATACACTATTAATGGGAATGTAAATTAGTATAGCCATCATGGAAGAAAGTATGGAGACTTCTCAAAATACTTCAAATAGAACCACCATTTGATCCTGCAATCCACTAGAGTATTTAGCCAAAGGAAAATAAATCATGGATACCTGTACTTCCATATTCATTGCAGCATTATTCTCAGTAGCCAAGATATGGATTCAACCTGAGAGTCCTTCAGTGGATGAAAAGATAAGGAAAATGTGGTATATATACACAATGGAATACTATTCAACCATGAAAAAGAATGAAATCCTGTCATTTGCAAAAACATTAATGGAAATTGAGGAAATTATGTTAAGTGAAATAAGCCAGACACAGAAAGACAAATTTTGTGTGTTCTCACTCATATGCGAGGGAGCTAAAAAAAGTTGATCTCATTGAAGTGGAGAGTGAAATGATAGATACTTGACACTGGGAATAGTGTGTGGATGGGTGAGGAATGAAGATAAAATGGTTAATGGGTACATACAGTTATATAAAAGGAAAAAGTTCTAATGTTCAATACTAGAGTAGGGTGACTACAGTTAACAACAATGAATTGTATATTTCAAATAGCTAGAAGAGAGGATTTTTAGTGGCCCCAACACATGCAAAAAAAGATAAGTTCTCAAGGTGATGGACATCCTAGATACCATGACTTGGAGATTGCAAACACTATGCATCTCACAAAATACATATGTACCCTCATAAATGTGTACACATATTTGTATCAATAAAAAAAGATAAACAACAAAAAAGAAGTAGCTGAAGGACAGGCTACTACCAGAATATGAGATGTTTAAGGAGCTGGGACTTCATTATGGGCATTGGGGAGACTAGGCTTAAGGACTTTAAGCAGGACAGTGACATGACCAGATGTGGGTTTTGGAAAAGTCACTTGGCCAACAGTATGGGGAGAAGGCCAGGTGGTTGGGGGCAGGGTGGAAGAGACAGAAGGAGAAGATGACACTAAAGGCAGGAGGAAGAGCTTGGAGGCTGTTGTCTTGGCTTTGTTGAGTGACTGTGAGAACCTAAACCAAGGGATGATATTGAAAGGGATAAAGGAGTCAGAGCACAGACACAATCTGAAAGTAGAAGTGGAAGGGTGTGGTGATGGCTTCACACAGAGCAAACAGCAGATGGAAGAGCAGGGGATGACGTCATCCCATCTGTCCTTTGTAAATTGTTTTCTATCTCTTAGGATACCTAGATGTGCATCATTGTTTGGGTTTTTTTCTTTTTTTGGAAGCATCTCAAACTTACAGATAAATTACAAATACAGAACAAGGAATCTTTTTCCCCAGACCACTTATGAGTAAGTTGTCAACATGATTTCTCATCAACCCTGAGCACTAGTATTTCCTACAAACAAGGATATTCTCCTACATAACCACAATATAACCACCAAAGTCTAGAAATTAACATTGATACATTACCACCATCTAATCCTCAGACCTCGTTCAAGGTTTTCCAATCTTCCCATAATGTCATTTACAGTGAAAAGATACAGTAGTCCAGGATCACACATGGCAGTTAATTATCATGTCTCCTGAATCTTCTTCAGTCTGGAAGAGCTCCTTGGACTTTCCTTCATGACCTTGACACTTCTGGAGATTTCAGATCAGTTATTTTGCAGAATGTTCTTTCACAAGCTCTCACTGTTGGAGAAGAGGGTTATTTCTTTGTGGTTAGATTCACATGATGCATCTTTGAGTAGGATATCCCAGCAGTGATGCTGTGATCTTCTCAGTGCACACTATTTGATGGCACGTCATTTCAATTTACTCCATTACGGATGCTGTTCATTAGGATAAGTTGATTAGGGTGGTGTCTGCCAGGCTTCTCCAGTGTAGTCTTACTCTTTTTCTCCTTATAATTCTTAAATATTTTGTAGAGGGGACATTTGAGACAATGTAACTACCCATTTCTCATCAAACCAGTATTCATGGATTCATATCTTTCTGGACTCATGGTTTCTTCTTTTAGTCAATAGGTTATAATTTGCTACTACCATTATTCATGGTCAAATTGCCTCAAATATGGTCAGTGTGGAGTTTCTTCAAGCTGGTGCCAGTATTGTCATCATTCTTAGAACACACCCTTAATTTCTGGTACAGCAGGGCACATCTTGTACTCTCTCTGCCCCAGCTATGGAATCATCTATTTATCCAAGGAGCACTGAATTCCTTTAATGAAACATGGTATTTGGGCATCAACATGGGGTGTTAAGTGTTCTCAGTGCTACTGGGGGGTTGCTGATCCTAGGATCTCTCAGTGGACAGAGGTGGAGAGCACACACACACACACACACACTCTTGCATTTACATCTATATTTGTTTCTACGTCTATCTAAAAACAACTCTAATTTAACATTACTGGATCTATTCTAATTTTCTCTCTTTCCATGTTGGTAATTCCCTTCTTCAACAGTGAAGGCCTGGCTCCCATTGTCTTTAATATATTTATTTGACCCATCTCCCTCTATGTAGCCAATTTCCTGTGGTTGGGACCACAGCCAACCTACATTGTATGTGGGTTTCCTCCTCACCTTTCTCAGGCTTTTTCAGACACTCTGATCCAGACCACCCCACTGCTAGGAGAGTCTCCTGGTGGGGGACTCTATTACTTTGCATGAGGCTACCTTCTCACATGGCTGCCCTGCTGACACCCCATTGACTCCAGGGAAGGAAATGGAAGGCTGAGACAGGAGAAGACAAAGGAAAGAGAGAGGGAAGGATGGCGGTGGAGAGAAGAGAAAGGGAAAAGACATTCTTGCTTGGATCCCTACAGCATTCCTGTCTGATGGTTGAAGCTGGTACTATTCTCCTTGTCCAGGTGAGAAAATTGGTGTTGAAGGGTTAATGTCTTAACCGGAGCCTCACATGCAGAGGAGTGTAGAGCTGAGGACCACTCCTTGGTCTTTTGAGTCTAAGTCCAATTCTCTGACCTCAACACCATATTACCTATGTCCTGAAGGTCTCCCAGGGACATGTAGATATGCCAAGAAATGAAAATTACTATTTGAGTTAAAATGTGTCTGCAAGAAATGTAGTTGTAACAGTAAAAATGTGTTTTGGCTGCTGATGGTTTCGCTGTGTCCCCACCCAAATCTCATCTTGAATTATAGCTCCCATAATCTCCACATGTCATGGGAGAGACCCAGTGGGAGGTAATAGAATCATGAGGGCAGGCTTTTTCCATGCTGTTCTCATGATAGTGAATAAGTCTCACGAGACCTGATGGTTTTATAAAGGGCGGTTCCCCTACACATACTGTCTTGCCTGCCACCATGTAAGAGGCCTTTCCTACTCCTTTGCCTTCCACCATGATTGTGAGGCCTCCCCAGACATGTGGAACTGTGAGTCCATTAAAGCTCTTTTTCTTTATAAATTACCCAGTTTTGGGTATGTCTTTATTAGCAGTGTAAGAACCCACTAATGCAGCTTCTAATTCACAGAGATTCCTAATAGTCCCTGGAAGACCCCTGAAAAAAAAAAAAAGCACTAACTGTGTATCCTTGGGCGGTCAGCAGGGTGTAGACTCTCTCTCTCCAGCTCTTCCTTACTCTCTCCTTCAGAGAAAACAAGTTGAGCGCATCTTTTTTCCTCCCAGCAGAGGATCTTTCCTTAACATTTACCCCAGTCGGGACAACCTTTCAAGGTCTTTTCTGGAATATTCTGAGTTTGATCTCTGGGGACATAGAATGGCATTACTCAAAGGATGGTGGCAGCAGAAACATCTCCTGGGAACTTGTTAGAAATGCAAATTTTTTAGCTCAACCCAAGGCAACTGAAGCAGCATCTTTTGGGATGGAGCCCAGATCTTCCAGGTGATTCAAGTGCTCACCTGTTCTAGAGCTCTGGGCTGGGCTCTGAGATTCTACATTTCTACCAAGCTTCCAGTTGATGCTGATGCATAAGTCTGAGATCTACCAAATCAGAACCTGCATTTTAAGTACATCTAACAGTATTCAAATGTCCACTAAAGCACTGCTGTAAAATTCTCTCTTTTTAGTTGCATACATAGCCCTTGAGGCAAGTCAGAGACAAAATGCCTTCTGAGTTGTATTGCTTATTGACTGAAGTGAAATTAATAGGTATCTAAAGTAAATATCTTTTCCAAGTTGGTCCAATGTCATAAATTACTTTGGGATTAAAACTTTTTAAATGTCATACCCAATTGGGACCTTTGCATATGCTATTATCTCAACCTGGAATGATTTTTCTCTCCCTTCTTTTCCTAGATTTCCAAAAGACCTTGGCTCAGGTGTCACTTTTGCAGAAAAGCATTTACTGACTGTTGACTTGGCCAAATCCCTGTGCTGTGTTTCCTAGTACGGTGAGTTGCATTTTCACATGAACTCATGCCTACCTTCTCTTGTTTTATAAGCTTCATGAGGCAGGTACCATGTCTCATTTTTAAAAACTTTTATTTGGTGAACCACTTAGCACAATGCCTGGAAAGCAGTAGACTACTGATAAGCATCTGTTGAATGCAGGAGTGTGGTAGGCAGCTTCTAAGATAGCCCCTAGGGATCCCTTTCTCTTGGTATTCATGCCCTTGTATAAATCCCCTCATCTTGAATGTGGGTTGAATACTGTGACATTCATCTAATGAATAGAGTATGACAAAAGTAATGAACTACACTTTCAAGGCTAGGTTACAAAAAGTCTGTGCCTTCATTGTGCGTGCCTTCTCTTTCTCCCTTATTCAGCATTCTGAAGGAAGCCAGCTTCCATGTTGTGAACTTCCCTATAGAGAGGCCCACATGACAAGGAACTAATTGAGCTCATCAATAGACAGTGAGGAAATGAGGCCATCTAGCAATCATGTGAGTGAGCTTAAAAGGAGATCCTCCTTCAGTTGAGCCTTCAGATGAGACTCCAGCCTTGGCCAATACCTTCATTGCAGTCTTGGGAAAGACCCTGAGCTGTCTTTAGTGAGGGTCTTTTTGCTGATAGAGGTTGTCTGCAGAGTCCCAAGACCCAGCTACATTGTACCCAGGTTCCTGACCCAAAGATAATAAACGTTTGTTGTTGGAAGCCACTATGTCTTAAGGGTACACGGAAATAGATAACTAATGAAAAGTAAATGCTGTGGTTTGAATGTGTCCTCCAAAGCTTATGTACTGGAAACTTAATTACCAATGCAGCAGTGTTGAGAGATGAGAACTTCAAGAGGTGATTAGGTCATGAATGGATTAATGTTGTATCATGGAAGTGGGTTATGCAACATTTCCTACCTGTGGCCCACTGGCCACATGCAGCCCAACACAAATTCATATGCTTTCTAAAAACATGAGTTTTTTTGTGATTTATTTTTTTTAGCTCACCAGCTGTCGTTAGTGTTAGTGTATTTTTTGTGTGGCCCAAAACAATTCTTCTTCTAATATGACTCAAGGAAGCCAAAAGATTGGACACCCCTGGTTAGTTATTGAAGGAGTGGGCTCCTAACAAAAGGATGAGTTCCCCAGTTTCCTAACTCTGTCTCGTGTGCTTATTTGCCTTTCTGTCATGAGATGACCTTTGCCAGATTTGGCACCATGCTTTTGGATTTCCCAGTCTTTAGAACTGGGAGCCAAATAAATCTCTGTTCTTTACAAATTACCCAGACTGTGGGATTCTGTTACAGCACAAGAAAATGGGCTAAAACAGTAAATTAATGAATATTATAGGTGTGATGGTTCATCAGTCCTGGCTTTAACCCCTCACCTAAAGATAGTATGTTATCCTTGCCTTGCAAACGAGCATATGGATGATCAGAGAGATTAAGTAATTTTCCCTGGTTATAGCTAGCAAGTGACAGGAGCAGGATTTAAACTCAAGACATATTTTTCACTTTCCACATTCATTAGTCTCTTAGTCCATTTTCTATTGATTACCACCGAATGGCTGAAACTGGATAATTTATAAAGAAAAGAATTTATTTCTTACAGTTATGGAGACAGAAAAGACCAAGGTGCTAGGGGCCACTCGAGTGAGGGCCTTCTTGCTGGTAGGACCCTCTGCAGAGTCCCAAGGCAGCCCAGGGCATCACATGGTGAGGGGCTGAGCATGCTAGCTCAGGTCTCTCTTCCTTTTCTTATAACGCTACCAGTCCCACTTCTATGATAACCTGTTAATCCATTAACCTCATAAATGGATTAACCCATTCATGACGGCAGACCCCTCATGATCCAATCACCTCTTAAATGCCCCACCTCTCAATACTACCACATTAGGAATTAAATTTCAACCTGAATTTTGGAGTGTACAAATATTCAAACCATACCAGTTATCAAGGCTAAAGAGGGGAAGAAAACTTTCCAGTTTTTTACCTTAGGCAATGTAAATCATATCCAACTTTTCCAAGTACTTTTAGTTCAACCTTTTTATGATTCATTCACAAAGATCCTACAAATTGAATTTTGATCTTTTCCCAATTCTCACCACCACCAGCTTAGGATCTATTCTCCAGATTTCTCCAGTCTCATCTTGGGCTGGGTCATCATCATTTCTCAGACCCACCACCCATGACTCACTCCAGAGGATGCAGTCCTTTGGGGAGTGGCATAAAATGTGGGAGAATGGGAGAAGGAATGAGTCATGTACCACACGTTTGATTTTATTGCTTGTTTGATTAACTTTCTCTGAAGACCAGCAGAGTCACAGGCTTGGAAAATTAGCCAGAAAAAAGAAACAGTGAAAAAAAAAAAAAAGTAAGGCAGGACTCAAGTAATGATGCCTTTGAAATTCCACAGTAGAACTTGTAATTACAGAGAGTGAGGATTTCAAAGTCAGTCTCTCGACCATGTACAAATGCATATGCAGAGGCTTCTTTTCTCTCTCTGTCAAAAACAGAGGGGACCCTCAAGATGGAGGAAAAAAAGGGATCTGCTGATAGGAAGCAGCTGCCACCTAGTGTGACAATTTTGTGACATCTCATGTTTATCTTTGAAATTCATGCCAAAAATGCCCATTATATTACATGATGAATCGATGTTGGTTTAATTTTAAAATTATGTCTTCTCCAGATTTTCAAGGAAATCTGTGTTTGAAGAAATTTCCTGGCCGGGTGCGTGGCTCACATCTGTAATCCCAACACTTTGGGAGGCCGAGGCGGGTGGATTACCTGAGGTCAGGAGTTCGAGACCAGCCTGACCAACATGGTGAAACACTGTCTCTACTAAAAATACAAAAATTTGCTAGGTGTAGTGGCATGAGCCTGTAATCCCAGCTACTGGGGAGGCTGAGGAAGGAGAATTGCTTGAAACCAGAAGGAGGTTGCAGTGAGCTGAGATGGCACCATTGCACTCCAGCCTGGGCAATGAAAGCAAAACTGTCTCAAAAAAAAAAAAAAAGGAAAGAAAAAAAATTCCCATGTTCTGTAGCTTTATATGCACCTTCACCTTCAACACTCCACTGCACCCGTACTCTGTATACAATCGTATGAGAGGAATTAAGAAGATGAGTTTTCTATAGCTTCCAAAGTCAGAAAGAATGACTTTGCCAATAGAAACAGCCTTTCAGGGATGCCCTGAACAAATTATAAACAAAACCCATTAAACTTCGTCTACCTATTAAATTACCTAAAATAGAAAATCAATTGCCAAGCTTCTGATAAAATTCCAGATTTATGAAGCATAGCAATCGTCCCTGAAAGAGTTTTTTGTTGTTGTTGTTGTTTTTTCCTCTCTCTGCTTATCCTGCTTCTGCAGATAGCTCTACTATTTAATACCCTCTTGGCACTTGGTCTATTTTCCTCCCTTGGTTGCCTCTGAATGTACTGTAATCCTCTTTTCTGGTCACTGTCCCTTTTACTACAGGTAAATCAACTGTATCCAGTAGTGGGACAGATGCAGCATGAAAGAAGAAAGTTACAATTGCTTTATCTGATGCTGTCACTCATGCCTGGTGTTGAGAGGCGCACATTTTAAAAAGTCTAATAGCTCCGACATATCTAGGAAACAGATGGGAAACAAATGAAGCATTGATGGATTCGCAAATTCCAGTTCTTTGATATTTGTCTGCCCAGGAATGGGTGGGACAGAGAAATGTAAGGGAATAATGAGGATACGGGTGGGGAAAGGCTTGCAATTTTTCCCGTTCTTCTTTGGATATGGACTGAAGGAAGGATGTGGGGAGGAGGTGTTTATCTTTTGCTTGTACTCTGAACTTTTCCAAAGTTACTGCATTCCTTGGGATATAAAACTGTAATCAAGAGTCTCTAATGGATAACTGCAATTATGCATTGAGTCATTCAACAAATACACATTAATACTGACTAAATTAAGCTCGAATGGAACTTCAGGGCAAAAGAACAGAGAAAATAAAATACCACTAGAGAAGGGATCTGTGCTCTTTCCTGGACTTAAATCTCCCACAGCCAGCACGTTTGACAGTTAAACTAGTCAAGCAAATTAGCACAGGCCCAGAGGATGAAATCAAGGTGGGGGCAGGTAAGGTTCACATAATAAACACTCTCCCTAGACCCTGGACCTAGGGACAATACTTCAGGAAGAATTTTTTTTATTAATCTCATTTATTCATTCATGTATTCACCAAGTAGTTATTGAATACCTCCATGTGCCAGTCACCTTCATAGGCTCTGGGAACACAGAGACAAATGGGGTGCAGCTTTTGCCTTCGAGGACCGCCTGATAATGGAGGAGCATGCTTGTTGTACTGTCCCCACACTTCTTTTTTTTTTAATTTTACTTTATGTTCCCGGATACATGTGCAGAACTTGCAGGTTTGTTACACGGTATACGTGTGCCATGGTGGTTTGCTGCACCTTTTAACCTGTCATCTAAGTTCTCTCCCCTCGCCTCCCGCCCCCCAACAGGCCCCGGTGTGTTTTTGTTCTTCTCCCTGTGTCCATGTGTTCTCATTGTTCAAGCCCCAACTTATGAGTGAGAACATGTGGTGTTTGGTTTTCTGTTCCTGTATTAGTTTGCTGAGGATGACGACTTTCAGCTCCATCCATGTGCCTGCAAAGGACATGATCTTGTCCCTTTTTATGGCTGCATAGTACGCCCCCTGCACTTCTAATAAAGATGGCGCCAGGAAGGAAAGCCCAGTTTGCCTCATTCCAGAATGCCCCAACTTCTGCCAAAGAGGAGGTTTCCTCCATTCACCTGTCCATTTGGAACACAATGAAAATACAGAATATGCAGAATATGCAGAAAATACAGAATATACAGAAATAGATGTATATGAATATACATCTATTTAAGAAAAATTCACAAGGCCCCAAACTACTCTAGCTTTCCTAGGAAGTAGAGAAGACCCCCTCAAAAAAAAACACTGGCAAACTGAGCCTGCTATTGGGGAAGGAAATTCAAGACCAGGAAGGTCAGGACATGTATTCATTAAATGGCTATAACACCTCAATCCAAATGCAGAGAAATCTGATGTACACGCTCCAAGATAAGCATCTCTAAGGTACAGTCAGTGGTCAATTTTTCAACATTTATTTAATATCTTGCTATATTTATGGCATCGTGAAATAGATGCTGTATTCCTTCTCTGAAAATTTTCAATTGAGGTGGGGACATGAATAAATGTATTAACCCATTTATGCCGGAGGTTGCAATTTTTGTTTTCTGAAAAATCAGACCTTGGTGATGACCTTGAGCGGTAGGATATAAAAACTCCCAAAAGCCTAGCGTTTTAATAATGGAACACTAGGCATAAGTAGCTTAAAACAGCATAGAAAAGTCATGTAAACTATACAACAGTCATGTAGATATGGTGCATATGGAGACACAGGGTTCCTGGGAAGGGCAAACCATGGTACAGAGTTTACCAGGGAAGAGTTCCTAGGAGAAATGAGCTTGGAACTGGATGTTGGAAGATCATCACCATGTGTGGTGGGGCAAGTCTTCAGCCAAACTTCCCTGGGGCTTTTTTTACTCATCAAAAAATGAGTACAATGCACACAGATTACATGAATTTTGTAAGGATAAAATATGACAACATTAGTATGGCATCCATGCACATAGGAGGCACTAATGAATATCACATTCCTTTCCCTTTTCTATTTTATGCTTTCCATACTTGATATTATTTAATGATAGAAATGTTGATGAAAATAAGGAATAGTACACCTCTCACACTTTCTATATTGAGCATGCATTACTCTTAACACAGAAAAAATAAAGCACAAGATTAAAATAGTGTTTTATTTGTAGAGTTTTGGTCTGAAAGAAGTTAACAGGTCCTTAGTAGTCACTTCACAGCAGAAAATCAAATGAGGGCTTCCCAGCCACACAGAAATGTTATTTTAATCTGATGTTCAGTGCCCTTCAGTTGCTAGTTAGACCCGCTTAGACTGAAACAGATGCCACAAATGCAATGCTATGTTCACCACCCAGTCGCTTTCCAAACACAGGGTAAGGATTCAGGTCACTGTCCCCCATCGACAAAAGAGCTTGAGCATCACTGTCATTGCTTCATGCAGTCACAGCCCCGCTGGGAGGGACAGCCATGACCCAGGCAGGTCTTGCCGGTATCGGTGGTCAGAGACCAGGGACAGAAGATGCACTGCCTGGAGTTGTCTTCTCCCAGGCAGCGTGCATGGCTGCCTTGCAAGCACAGGCTTGCCCCATCCGAAGCTCCATCTTTGCTCAGGCTCAGAGAGGAAAAATTTGCCAGCTGCGAGTGAAAAATGTTCAGACCTCGAAATCTTTCTGCAGCCCATACTGGGTCACACTTGCAATGCCCAATACAATTTTTGGCTAAGAAATGCTTGTAATTCAGAGATAAACCTACGATTGCAGGTTATATCACGGCGAGGAAAAATTTGCTTTCCAGAGAAATATCACTTATCTCAGACTTTTTAATTCCTCTGAAAAAAATAGGGGTTTAAGAAATGGTGGCTCAGCTATGAGTTCCATCTCCGGTTACTAAGGCTTATGTTCTGTTACAGGCTCAATTTTCCTCCCTAAAAATGACATTGAAGTCCTAACCCGCAGTACTTCAGAATGATTACATTCTGGTGACATCTCTTCAGAAACAGGGTCTTCTTAGAGGTAATCAATCTGAAATGAGGTGACTAGGGTGGACCTTAATCTAAAATGACCAGTGTCCTTTTAAAGAGGGGAATTTTGGACACAGAGGCAGACATGCCGAGGAGGAAGACAACATGAAGAAGCACAGGAAGAAGACGGCCATCCACAAGCCAAGGAATGCTTTGGCCAGCAGTGCCCAACCTTTTTGGCACCAGGGACCAGTTTCACGGAAGACAATTTTTCCATGACTGTGGGTGGGGGAGGGGGAGTGAATAGTTTCAGGATGATTCAAGCACATTACATTTATTGTGCACTTTATTTCTATTACTACTACATTGTAATATGTAATGAAATAATTATATAACTCACCATAATGTAGAATCAGTGGGAGACCTGAGCTTGTTTTCCTGCAACTAGGCAGTCCCATCTGGGGGTGATGGGAGAAAGTGACAGATCATCCGGCCTTAGATTCTCATAAGGAGCATGCAACCTAGATCCCTAGAATGCGCGGTTCACAATAAAGTTGGCACTCCCGAGAGAACTGAATGCTGCCACTGATCTGACAGGAGGCAGAGCGGTGATGCGAGCGATGGAGAGTGGATGTAAATACAGATGAAGCTTTGCTTGCTCGCCCACTGCTGTGTGGCCTGGTACTGGTCTGTGGCCCAGGGTTTGGGGACCCCTGCTTTAGGCTACCAGAAGCCAGGAGTAAGGCCTGAAAAAGATGCTTCCCCAGTGCCTTCAGAGGAAGAATGGCTTTGCGAACACCTTGATTTCAGACTTCTGGCTTCTGTAGCTGTGAGACAATCCATTTCTGTCATTCTTTTTTTTTTGAAATGGAGTCTCACTCTATCGCCAAGGCTGGATTGCAGTGGCACGATCTCGGCTCACTGCAAGCTCTGCCTCCCGGATTCATGCCATTCTCCTGCCTCAGCCTCCCAAGTACCTGGGACTACAGGCGCCGGCCACCACGCCTGGCTAATTTTTTTTTTTTGTTTTGTATTTTTAGTAGAGATGGGGTTTCACCATGTTAGCCAGGATGGTCTCGATCTCCTGACCTCGTGATCCGCCCACCTCGGCCTCCCAAAATGCTGGGATTACAGGTGTGAACCACTGCACCCTGCCACATTTCTGTTCTTCTAAGCCACCCAGTTCATGGTACTTTGTTATGGCATCCCTAGGAAATGAACATGTGTGCAGTAGAGCATTTTCCCACTAAAAGGTAAAGACATCCAAGTTCCACCTAGACAATTACAGGGTTGCAAGACTCCTGGACAGGGGAAACAAACCAAAGAAATCGCTCATTGGAAATAGGTGTGACCAGATTTGGTGCTCTTCCCATAATGTGGGCTGGGGCACTTGGTTCTGTCCTCACCTTCATGTACCTTCTGTTTTCTATTTTAACAAATAAATCTCAATTGCTTAGGGTACTCAGTTCCATGATGTGTTTGTTTTTCTGCAACTCAGCTCACCCTCTCCTCCTCAGAGAGGCAGACCTAAAGTTCCTGAGAACAGGGCACCCATGTCAGAGACTTGTGGAAGAGGGACCAGGTCTCTGGGCTTCTCTGCTTCCTGCTGGATTTTGCTGTTTTCTCTAGGGCTCTGTTTAATGGTGCTGTGCCGGGAGAGTGATTTCTGCACTATCTTTCTGGAATTGGGAGGGGCACAGAAGCAGGAAAAGTGAATTCCAGGAAAGTTGTTGCATGTTGGAAGCTGTGTTGTGGGGAAGTGACAAGTTGCTTGCTATCTGAATGGGGATGGGATCCTTTGTGAAGGCAGCATGAATCACCAACAGGTAGGATTAGATGGATGATGGTTGTATTTGGAATTGTAGCCACACCCTTGGGACTGCAGCCCTGTGAAGACTGAGGTTCTGACGAAAGTCAAGAAAAATCTGCATTGCAACTCTTCGAAGAGAAGAATGTGACATCTTGGTAAGTACAGTCAATAGCTCTGTCATTTTTTAAAAAGTGTGTTCTTAAAATGATTTTTAATAAGAGTAACATTGAACCACACTGGAGAAAATAGGACAACGAAAACGAAATGGAAACAAAATCATTCATAATTCTAGAACCCTAATACAACTTCTCAAATACAAAAAAAAGGAATCATTAAATTGAATATTTTCATACAGTTGAATTTTATGCATTTAAATGGAAATTGTAAAGAATTTTCCATTTAGTTGTGATGAATTTCTGATGATATAATACATATTTATAATCTTTAAGCTGTACAACTTAAATACATAAAATTTTTAACTGTCAACTATAAAGCTGGGGGGACTCTTTATGTAAATATTTAGTAAACATGTTTTCCTAAAGAATCAGAATATTAGATTCTGTGTACTGTGTGACCTGGGAAAGTATGCTCAGAAGGAAATACACCAAAATACAGTGGGTGAATTTTACTTTCTTCTTGATAGTGTTTTAAAATTTTTAGAAATGTTTTGCAATGTCTTAAAAGTGACCTTCTACCCAGAATTTGGTTAATGTTCAGTTTTATTTCCTTCTTATTTTTCTGAGTATTTACTTTTTCAATTCAGCTGAAACTTTTCAAGAATACCATGACCTTTCTCTCCTTTTAAAAAAAAAGTTTCAAACAGACAATGTTAAAACAGAAGAAGTTTTGGAAATCAACTACTTAATCTATTATGATATGGAAACTGTAAACTAAAACTGTTCATATCCACTCCCCAAGATTACATCAAGAGTGGCAGGGCTGGGACACCAGAGTTTCCGGAATGGCTCCTCAGGGCTCCAGCTGCAACAAACTCGCTGTGCCAATGTGCATGCAGTTCCTGATTCTAATCAAATAAGTATCATAACCGAGTTCACCCGAAATAGAGTATACTGCACAGAAACTTAATAATGGGTGAGAAAGACACATTCGTGACATTAGCAATTATTACCATACGTGGTCAAATCCATTTTTATTTTCTGTTTTCTCATTTTGTGAGTCCTCTGGGATCTACACACAGGTACCAATTTTTTGCCTATTCCTGGCACCGCGCACTGCTTAATCATCCTCCCCACACTGACTTTGTTGACCATGCTCGATTGTCAATACCAATAGTTCTCCAGGGGTGGCTCAGATACCCACAGGGGTCCCTGAGATCCTTTAAGGGGTCTGCGAGATCAAAACAATTTTCATAATACTAAGATACTGTGTGCCTTTTTTATTCTCATTCTGTCATCAATTTACAGTGTCGTTTTCCAGAGGCAGCTGCATAAATCACAGGAGACTGAATACAGGAGAAGATGTAAGAATCCAGTCAGCTTCTATCAAACCAGACATAAAAGACATTTGCAGATATGTAAAACAATGCCACTCTTCACATTGCATTTTTAAAAAATATTATTTCCCAGAAAATATATCATCTATGTTAATATGGAATGGGGTTTGTTATTCTTATTTTAAGTAAGGTATTATATAAATATTTTTAATGTCTCAGTTTTAATTTCTAATGAAGTCAATATCAATAGATGTAATCTATATAAACCAAAGTTCTCCGGGGTCTTCAAGAGTGTAAAGGAGTCCTGAGATCAAAAGGGATGAAAACCTCTGCCCTACCCTGGCCACCTAAGGGGCTGAAGCCCTCCAGGAGCAGTGCTCCCGGCTCTTGCTGCTGCCCCAGAGCTGAGGGTTTTGGAGCACTGGTGCCCTACAAAACGGAGAGACTGGAAGGAGTTTTCTGGGTCATGAGGTTGGAACTGCTGGCAGAAGATCACAGCATAACTTTCTTCTGGGTTATAGGAAGAAATATATAAGTAGAAAAATATTTTAAAAATATATAAATATGTACAAAATATATGATATATAAATATATTATACGATATATAAAATATCTATTTTTATATATTATATAAATATTTAATATTTATATAATATAAAATATGTATAAAATTTGATAATATATAAAATAAATATAATACATAAAATATATTATATTTAAAATATATTATATATTTTATATATTATAATTTATGATACATAAAATATATTATATTTTATATATAATAGAAATTTATATATAATATATAATATTTTTATATAATATATAATATAATATATTTTATATATTATATTATATAATATAATATATTTTATATATTATATTATATATTACATTTTATATATAATATATAATATTATATATAATATATTATATATTAAATTATATATTATATTATATATTATATATATTATATATATATTAATTATATATTATTATATTAATTATATATAATATATATAATATATATAATAATTATATATTATATATTATATTATATTATATATTAATATATATATAATATATATATTAATTATATATTATTATATATATTATATTATATATTATTATATTATATATTATTATATTATATTATATATAAGATATAATATATTATATAATAATATATAATATAATATATAATATATAACATATAATATAATATATAATAGTTAATATATTATCTTATATATTATATATTATATTATATAATAATATGTAATATAAAATATATTATATATTTTTAAATCATATATAATATTAATATACTTTAATATATGCCATATATTTTATAAGTATATAAGGTATATAATACATTAAAATATAGAAAATATACATCAATATGTTATATATAATTATTTCCTATAAATTAGTATGTCTATATATAAATATATTTCCTATATTTTAATATTTAATATATGATACATATTATATATGATATATTATCTATGACATAAGTATATTGCATATAATTTATATCATATATGATATATGTATATTATATATAAATGTGTTTCCTATATTTAATCTACCATATATAATAACTTTAATATTTAGTATATTAAATATTTAATATGTAATATTAAATATATTAAATATTACATATTAAATATTTAATATATTAAATATTACATATTACATATGATAGTTTACATATTACAGATATGTAATATCTGTAAGGTAGATAATGTGATAGATTAAATATTACATATTATATATGATAGATTACATACTACAGAAGTAATTATTAAATATTACATATTATATGTGATAGATTAAATGTAGGAAAAACCTAGGAAGAAATATATAAGTAGGGAAACATTGAGGGAGTGAGAAGGTATTTGAGAGCCTTAGGGAAGAAGAATGGAAAGGGAAAACTGAAGAGAAAAAAAGCTAGAATAAAATTAGGCTGTTGTCTTCCCTTTACTCTGTTTTCAGGCCTAAAATAGACAAAATAGGCGATCACTGGTTTATCTTTAGCACTGATATCTGATGCAGTATGACTTTGGGGTATAGAAAAAGGCTTCACAACCCATGGAAATATCTTCCCAAAGCATGTAATTCTTTAATCTAGGACAGAGCATGTCATCAGACAATGAGAGATAAGCAACTATAACAAAAATAATTTCTATGGAGAGTTTACGTGTTGCAGAGGAGTTATGATCACAAGCTTGGTTGCATGTGAGAATCACCAGGGAGCTTGTAAAGATCTAGAAGCCTAGGCCCCGGAGGCAGAACCAGGCATGAGTATGTCTTAAATCTCCCCAGATGATTCCAATGTGTGGCCAAGATTTAGAACCACAAAACAAGGAGACAGGACTCAAGATCGGAAGTCACACCTGGAAACAGCCAGGGACCGTTATTGCCTGGAGACAAAGGAGATGTGAAAGGGATCCCAGCAGAGCAGAAGGCAGAATTCACACCTTGCCTTCTTCCCTGATGCTTCCCGTGGGAGCAGCTGGGCGTTCTCCAGATTCTGTTTCCTCCCAGCTGAGCCTTTACTTAGCAAGCCCACAGAGGGCACAGCCCCAGACGATGAAAGGAGAGAGAACTTCACGGTTTCCTTCCCAGCTCTTCAAATCAACAGTTTTGGTCACAGATCAGACTGCTAAGTCTTTACACATCCGAAAGTTAGACTTTGACGTGCTTGTTTTTCTTCCCCTGTCTGACTCACAGAATGAGTCATAAGGAACCTTGTTAATCTCCCCTGGACTCAGGAAAGCAAGGGCACAGGCAGAGGGCTTCCTTTCTTGGCAAGGGTTGGGTTGAGGCTGGATTCAGAGCTGCCTCCACCCTGGCACTGTGAGCTGCCTCCATAACTTATTTTTTATTTTTGTGGAGACAGCGTCTCTTATTCTATCACCCAGGCTGGAGCTGGAGTGCAGTGGCATGATCTTAGCTCACTGCAAACTCCACCTCCCAGGTTCAAGTGGTCTTCACACCTCAGCCTTCCAAGTAGCTGAGACTACAGGTGCATTCCACCAAACCCCAGTAATTTTTGTATTTTTTTTTGTAGAGACAGGGTTTCATCATGTTACCCAGGCTGGTCTCAAACTCCTGAGCTCAAGGGATCCCCCTGCCTTGGCCTCCCAAAGTGCTAGGATTACAAGCATGAGCCACTGCGCCTGGACAACATAACTTATCCTTAAACTTCTGCCCCACTCTCTGGCGGAAATGATGGCCGTGGATCTGTGGACACAAGACACCAGGGATCTGTGGCCGGGGGTATCCACTGATTTCTCTCTGGCATCTCTGTCTCCCAAGGGATCTGAGAACACTCAAAACTCTTAGGCTCCAGCAAGCTTTTGGCTGAAGGATCATGCCCGCTGGACCAGTATGATCCAATGAGCTAAGGGTCTTAGCAACACATAATTCTGGAGCAGGGATGCATCTTGAAGTCTTACAGAGAAATGCATCCTCTAGGCTGTTTCCCTAGGCAGAGCAACAGTGCAACATCTGGCAGTTATATTTATTTCTGCCCCCTGCATTTAAAGGAGAGAATGTGAAATTTCTGCTTGCCTCTCTTGGCGCAGCTATCAGAGGTTGCTTACGTCCTAATGACGTCCTCCAGGGACAAGTGTAGAATGGAGTCCAGAGGGGCCAGGTGACAAAGTCAAGGTCTCCAGCACCCCTTGCCATATGCCCAGACCTGACAAAGGGAAGGAGGAATTCACAAACCATCCACTCATTTTTTCCGTAACCATATACTGGATACGAAGACTCAGGATGGGATGTGCTTTTGTTCCAAGGAGCTCGGAGCCTATGGAGGAGCAAAACCTTCACGGTGCAGGGCAGAGAGGGCAAAGCTAGGGATGCCCCCAGGTGCTGTGGGCACAAAAAGGAGGGAGTTAACGTGATGCTGGGGAAGACTGAGCTCATAGACTGTGAGTCAAATAAAATAGCTTCAGGGAAGGTCAAATAGTTAAAAATGTCAATGATGTTGACCCTCTCAACCCAAGAAGAGGAAAAGCAGGGCAAAAATCTAAATGAGTGGTCCTGTCACCGTTTAACATTAAAGCTAAAATTGGTTGTTCCCAAGGGGCTGAGACAATTCTAGTGCCTTTTCTCATGCCCGCCCCTCCTGGCACCAGGGTGCCCACCATGGGAAGGCTGGACTCCTCCTCTCTGGGACTGGCTGCAGCTGCTTCTTTCCTGGGGCTGTTCTGTCTCCTCAGTCCAATCAGGATCGCCCATCCCGGCCAGCTCTATCCATTGGCTCCGAGGCCACTTAGCTCTCTGACAATCACTAAGAAACAAGACTACATCTTTTTTCACTTTTTGCTTAGCATTGAATGAGGAGCTCTTTGTGCATCCAGTAAATGCGTAGTAAGAAGATACTATGTACCAGGCACCGTGTCGTGCTGTTGGAGATACAAGGGTGAATTAGCCATGGCCCCTCTTGAGCTTAAAGGCAGGCACACCTACTACAGACTGCAGCACAATGACAGAAATGCTGTGAGGACACAGAGTGGGGAGCAACTGACTCAGTCCTGAGAGAACCAAGGAAGACTTCCTGGAGGAAGTGATTTACACCCCTGGGTTGAGAGAACAATAGAAGCTAGCCAAGTAGAAAGGGGAGAAGGGGCAACACTGGGCGGAGGGAATAGTGTGTGCAGAAGACATTGCATGCATGTTTGAAGAACATCTTGTTTGCAGAAAGTGCGTACAGCATGTGAAATAGCAAGAATTTTGATATACTCTGAAAGGAAGTGAGTTAGCATTTGGGCGTATTGTATAGGGCCTTGAGGAGATGTCATTGAGTTTTATTTCATTCTATTTTAGAATATTTCTATTTTACATCCAAGCAGTTCATGCCCATAGTTTAAAAAGTTTAAAAAGGTACTTTCCCTGCCCTTCCCACCTGACTAGCAACCAGGGCTCCCACCTGACTAGCAACCAGGGCACCCACCTGGATGAAAGGCAGCCACTTCAACTCTTCCCTGCCTCCCCATGGCATTCTCACATTGCTGTTCTTGACTTTTCACTTTTAGATAGTGCTACAGTCTGAGTGGTTATGTTCTCCTAAAATTCATATGTCAGAACTCTAATCCTTAAGAGATGGTATTAGGAGGTGGGGCCTTTGAGAGGTGGTTAGGTCATGGGTTTGGAGCCCTCACGAGTGGGATCAGCACCTTTAAAGAAAGCATCTTTGGGAGGCCAAGGTGGGCAGATCATTTGAGGTCAGGAGTTTGAGGCCAGCCTGGCCAACATGGTGAAACCCCATCTCTACTAAAAAAATACAAAAATTAGCTGGGTGTGGTGGCACATGCTTGTAATCCCAGCTACTCGGGAGGCTGAGGTAGGAGAATTGCTTGAACCTGGGAGGTGGAGGCTGCAGTGAGCCGAGATCGCACCATCCCACTCCAGCCTAGGCGACAGAGTGAGACTCTGTCTCAAAACAAACAAACAAACAAAAAAAAACCCAAGGGAGACCCCTCACTCCTTCTACCATGTGAGGTCACAGCAAGAAGGCGCCATCTACAAATCAGAAGGCAGGCTCTCACCAGACAACAAATCTGCCAGTGCTTTGATCTTACACTCCCCCCTCCAAGAACTGGGAGAAGGAGATTTCTGTTGCCTATAAGCCACACTGTGTACAGGATTTTGCTACAGTAGCCCAGGTGAACTAAGACAGATAGTATCTATTAACTCTATCCTATAGAAATTGAGGATTTCACTTCCTCATATACCTCCATACTGCCTGGCACAGACATACACATGGACACACACATGCACACACACGTGTGCACACATATGTGGACACACACATTCACGCGCTCTCATTTTCTCTAATGATGTGATAAACTAGGGCTGTATCAGCATCTAGAGGTTGCCTTACTATGCCTGTGTGACCATATTAACATTCTCAGCTGATTTATATAACATTTGTTTTCTTACTCAACTGTTTTTATTTGTCCTAGAGTTAATAATTATCTATATCTTTTTCTTGTTCACTTTCCTATGTACTTATCACAATTGTATCCTAAAACTCTGCCAGAAGTAGAAATCTCCTTTCGAGGCATTCAAACGTATCTACTATCAGTTTTATTTTTATCTTGGAGACATCGTTCTAGAACCCTAGCCTCGCTGCTGGCCTTGTTGCCTTCTAGAGTCGCTGCTTCCTTTTTGTCAATCTCAGGATGAGAACATGTTTGGGGGCCATTATTCTGCCTACCATGATGAAATTTATTCTGCTTTTAGCTAGACTGAAATGTTCAAATCAACCAACGACATTTTTCTCCCAGTTCCCCCTCTCTTTGCCAACCAGTAACTCTTTGGATATGTAGCTACAAGAATGCAGCCTTGTTTTCTGGGTCAGAAAGCACTTCCTCTCTCTTTTTAGGAGTCAGAAATTCATGTTCTCATTTTACAGACAGAAAAATAGAGGCCCAGAGAATATGAATATTTTGCTGAAAATCCTAGAGAGCAAAGTTCAGTCTCATTTCCAAGACTGATCTTTGTCTTCCACATGTGGCATCCATGACGTTGTTTTCCAGTTGTTCCTGGATAATGTGATAGGCGAGTTACTACATCAGCATAAAGCATTTCCACATGATTCCTTGTAGAAGTGCCACCAAAGCATGTTTCCAGTGCAGATGGTTATTCTTCATTTACCACTTTTACTTTCACAATTTACTTTGTAAAATGGGCATTTTACTCCTAAATAAGAGAGAATCATGTGGTCCTATTACTTTTATAGCCATAAATATTGGAAGCCTGAAACAAAATTTCCATGTCTTCCACCCACCGCCTCCCTGCCTAGCTTTAGGCTGTGTCGGTGACAGCCATGACATCTCAGAATGGAGCCTGTAGGGGCTGGGTCAGAGCCATTTATGGAACAATGCTCTTCCCTTTGTTTTCAGCGAGCTAGTTGTAAACACATTTCAGACCTCTTGCTTTCTCTCAATTCTTCTGCAGTTCACGTTTGAGATTGCGAGATGCTATTTCTTTTGACAACAATAAAAGCTTCTCCGTTCATGGTTGGGCCCCAGCTTTGACAGACTAGAAATGCCACCCATGTGGGCTCCACAGCTTCCTTACAAGGTACAGAATAAAACATAAGCATCGATGACCTCAAAGCCTATGTGTTGACGAGTAAAAGCACCAAGGGTGAGGGAGGTAGAAAGCTTGGCATGAAACTGCTTGGAAGGAGAAGACAGAGGTAACTGGGGGCATAATGGATACCAAAGAGGCAAGAAATTGACGTTGCTGTGGTATATCTCTGCATGGAACGTTCAGCCATATGTAGAACTTTGAACATGGAAACATCCAATAAATAGCTGTAAAGTAGATAGGAACACCTACTGCTCTGGGCTGTATATGTATGCATGTATGTGTGTGTGTGTATGTATGTATGTGTGTATGTGTATGTATGCATATATGTGTGTGCATGTGTATGTATGCATGTGTGTATGTGTATGTATGTGTGTGTATGGGTGTGTATGGGTGTGTGTGTATATGTGTGTATGTGTATGTATGTGTGTGAATAGGTGTGTATATGTGTGTGTATGTGTGTATGTATGTGTTTGTGTATGTATGTGTGTACATGTGTGTATGTGTGTGAGTGTGTGCACACGTGTGTATGGGTGTGTGTATGTGTATGGGGGTGTGTGTGTGTATGTGTATGTATGTGTGTATATGTATTTATGTGTATGTATTTGTATAAGTGTGTGCGTGTGTGTATGGGTGTGTGTTCGTGTGTGTGTGTGTGTGTGCGTGCACGTGCGTGTGCATGTTCTACTCAGCCTAACTCTAGGATACAAAGCAACAACATCAGATGGGGGCATGTGAGACCCTGAGTCCAGGCTCTGGTGGTTGTTCCGAGTAAAGTTTACTGTGATGATGTTTGTATATCTCGCATCAGGAGCAGCTGCTGTGGTCAGTATATTATCTTCTTTTTTTTTTTTGCCTGAGACGGAGTCTCACTCTGTCACCCAGGCTGGAGTGCAGTGGCATGATCTCGGCTCACCGCAAGCTCTGCCTCCCGGGTTCATGCCATTCTCCTGCCTCAGCCTCCCAAGTAGCTGGGACTGCAGGCCTCTGCCACCACGCCCAGCTAATTTTTTGTATTTTTAGTAGAGATGGGGTTTCACCATGTTAGCCACGATGGTCTTGGTCTCCTGATCTCGTGACCTGCCTGCCTTGGCCAGCATATTATCTTCTTAACCAAACTCTCAAGGGTCAAAAATAGCCAAAAGAGTTTACTGCAGGGAACTGTAACTTACTAAAGGATGCACTTCCAAGCATGGGGAAACTGGGTATCTTAGAAAAGATGGATCATCATCACTTAATGCTTTGCCTGACTTTCTTGTCCTTCTAAACATCAAGTTCTTAAGGAAATATTCTTCCCTGCCCTGGACAAGGTCAGATCCCCCATTGTAATTAGAGAAGTAAGTATAATTAGTTATTGAATGCTGCCTCCCTCCTCTCACCCCTTTGTGACTCTTGCATTAATATTATATTTATTTGTCAAATGAATGAGTGGTCACTTCACATCTAAACATCTCTATAATGCACAATAGCAAAAATCCAATGCAGAGAGTAAAATTTCCTTTTATTCTTAGGCCAGATTTCTTCCTTTGTATCTCTGTTTCTACATCCGAAAGCCCAGATGATGAGAGCAAGTGAGAGGCTATACACTTGACAGGGCAGCTGAGAGGTTTCTGGACACATAGGGGCACTTAATGTATGTGACGACATTTGGTGGCCATGATGACTAAGCCTGTCTTTAGGGCTCATTGAGATAGTTATAGATTTCTATTTAGAGTAAATTTCGCCATAATGACAGCAGCAGTCATCATCGTAATAGCTAACTCCAAGAGGCAGCAGCTTTCATCAGAGGACTGAGTGGTTCCCATTTAGCCTGCTATTCCTGCTGCCCTCAGACTGCCCAGGGAGATCCTAACACACCTTCCAGCACATTCCTGTCCTGCCTTCTATTGGAACTCTCCCTTATTTCTCCAGCAGACACTGTCATACCTTACTTGAACTGCCATAGCCTCTACATGCTTAACAACACGATCAAGCATTCATCCATGTATCCAACAGATATGCATTGTTCAGCACGTGAAAGGTGACAGCCACTGGGATGAGTACTTGCAAATATTCCAGAATCTGTCTTTCCCTATGATTTCATGGAAGCAAGTCATTTTGCCCTTCAGGTTCATGGAGGGGGTGAGGATGGAAGGGAGGGCTGAATCTTATGCACTTTAACCTCCAATGCACTCAGAAGAATGTTCAATAACAGAGTTATCAGATGATGCTACCTCCATTCCATGACCCCTCAATTCAGCACATAGAAAGTGGGACTGATTAAACCAAATTTAAAGGGAACTGGTATGAAATAAACCAAGGCAGGGAGCAATGACAAGGATGAGAGACTAGGCAGGAAATAATAAACAGAAATAGGCAGGGCTAAGACTAGAAAATACTCTTTGGGGTCCACACAGCACTTTTCCCAAAAACACCTCAAAGGGGAAGTTTTGGCTGTGGCTTTTGTGTGACAACACTCTGTGATGTGGTGACGTGCAAAGGAGGATGCATTCCAGAGAAAGCACCATGGATAGGAAGACAAAGGAAAAAGGGTAACTGTGAGGGAATAAAGAAGGAAGGTGCCACACATCCAGAGCAAGACTATAGAACGCAGATGGAACTAAGGCACCAGGAGCGCCTGTCACAACACTGCCCCTTCTAAGGGGTTGTTTCACATGGGTCACCTTGCTGTGTGCCACTTAACCAATTCCCAGCTGTTTGCACTGGGAAGGGCAAGGCTGGAAGGCTGCTGAGTGGCCTAATTGGCCTAAGTGACCTCTGCCCAAAAGGGACACTCATCCCAGATGCTGATAGGCCAAACTAATCAGACAGTCTCTGTGGGCTGACCTATACTCCAGTCATGCTGAGGAACAATTAACAGATGACACCTTCACCACCTGCAAAAGCAGAGATGTGCAGTAGTACTTAACGCCATTGCGACTTTCTAGCAGCAATCAGCAGCAGCTCCTGGGTGGATAGAGGAACTCAAAGTTGCTAGAAATGCATTGTATTTTCAACGAATGTTCAGTTTTCCATAAGGCCTGCTGAAATTGATCCTGTTCTCTCTCACTTCTCCATGTGAGAATGTATCCATTTCCTGCATCCCAGAAACAATCCCAGTGAACACAGACAGGTCCAAACTGGGACTGATCTCCCAGACAGAGCAACCTATCACCTCCGCTCAGGCTTCCAGCCCAAGAGTCCTCAGAGGGCAACCAGCTTACCCCACAAAGATGACACCATGATAACAGCGAGAATTTTAGTTCTTCCTACTGTTAGGCAGTTGAATTTATCATTGTTGTGCAGAGAGGACAGAGCATTTGAGGTTGACCCCTGAAAATATCATTGAATCTATCAGTTTTAGAGCCTTTCCTGGTTCCTATTCCACTTAAAATATGTTCTCTCTCAACCAGTGAAACCCTCTCTCTAGCCACAGCACAAGCCAGGTAGCACAGTGACCAAAACAGAGGAACAGAAAGGTCACGATGTACAAGACAGATGGATTCCCAAGATTTGCGGGGGGGTATAGGAGGATGGGAGAGTTTTGTTTTGTTTTTGTTTTTGTTTTTTGAGTTTCGCAGGCAGCAGAAACCTCTTTAAATTTCAAGTAATTAACAATTTAAAAGGCAGATATCTAGAGCTATAGGAGTACAATTAATGAGGACTCAGTCTTCAAAGTCCAAAGCGAGAGCAGATGGAGAAACAGTTCTCAGCATTTGGTGTTCTGCGAGCCCTCATGGGAGGAAGAATTTGTTCCAGCATAAAGAGACGTAAGAACGAGTACTAGGAGGCAAAGGAGACAGCATTGATAAACCAAGATAAAGACATCTAAATAGGGCTGAGCATGGAGACTCATGCTCGTAATGCTAGTGCTTTGGGATGCCAAGGCAGGAGAATCACTTGAGGCTGGGAGTTTGAGACTGACCTGGGCAACATAGTGAGACGCTGTCTCTACAAAAAATAAATATAATTAGCCAGGGATGATGGTATGTGTCTACAGTCCCAGCTACTTGGGAGGCCAAGGTGGGAGGATCACTTAAGCCCAGAAGAGTCCAAGGCTGCAGGGAGCTATGATTACATCACTGCACTCCAGCCTGGGTGACAGAGTGAGACCCTGTCTCTTAAAAAGAAAAAAATAATAAATCTAAATAGGACACACACAAAATTGGCCAGATTTACTGTAGTCCTGAAGAGCTAAGAATTTGCCACATTCTTAGTAAGGAGGAAATGGAGGTTAGTGTTAGGATCCTGTAAGAGTCATCTGTAACTTGCTGCGTGTGCAGTTATAACCGTGTAGCAAATTGTATGGCATCTCCACTTCCTTCTCTACTCCCCTTCTTGTCATTGTCAGGAAGTCCCAACTAAATCATTTTAGTCTCCACTACAATGACTTCATTTTCAAGCTACAATGACTTCATTTTCAACAGAATCCACCGATATGTTGATGTGGCAGCAAGTCCCCAGAATTATGTAATAACTTACTCTCTAGTTTGGTTTATCACTGAAATAATCATAGTTTCATAGGATTTTCCTCCATCATAGACAATAATCCTATCGGTGGAACATCATGCCTTGCCCTCTGGTTTCAAGGAGGAGGATGAGGCAGGCAGTGGCTGGAAAGATATTGTCCAGGGAGGGTCTAAAAGTGGCACACATGCTATTTGGTCCCCTCCTTGCCCAGAGCAGGCATTGCTCATCCACTAGGCACTTCTTCCTGCCAAGGCACCTCTTCCTGCCAAGTCAGTGTCTCACGATCCCTTTCAACACAGCCACGAGGAAGCCATGATACATCAACTGGCACTGGCAAATAAAATCAAACCTATTTGCCTATCCAGTCTTATCCCACTTTGTTGTTTTCTCTAAGTAGTTGGAAAACAACATGTCCAGAGAAAAATACCAGAACTTATTCTGAGTATGTTCTTCAGAGCAAACCTTTAGAATCTTAATGATGTTTAGACACTCAGGAATGAGTGAACCAGTTGCACTGATAGAATCAAAACAATACTGCAAATATTAGTCATGTTGCCTATTATGAAATATATCTGTGTGTGTGTATAGATATGAAAAAAAAACTCTAAAGTCTGAGTTAAAGAGCCCTGCCAGGTATAGTTAAATGCTCTCTAACCTATAAAGAATTCAATTCCATTTGGCACCTCCAAATCTGGTATCCAGAAGGAAGACCAGAGAAGCAGCCCCCGATGCAATTTGCAAGATGTGTTCCTGTCTGGGGGTGCCACACGTTACACAGCAGCTATGAGTCACAAGCCTTCAAGGAAAGAAGAAGGTGCTGGCAGGCTAGTGCGGAGGCCTCCCCCAGGGAGTCATGAGTTGGCAACCCCAGCAGAGGGGAAGCTGGCATGAAGCTCCTGTGTGGGGAGATGCCCCAGGGTAGGAAGGGAAAGGCCTTTGAGTACAGGTCAGAAGTACAGGACTAAAGTGCAGCGACGTCTTTCCACATTCCTCCACTACCTTGGCAAACCAGAATGGTAACTCCAACATGAATCTGAGCTCCCACTGCCATCATCAAAGTCTTTTAGAAAACAAAGACAGAAAAGCGTTCGAGAAACTCTCAAGAATAACTTAAAACCCTGATAGTCACCCCAAGGGGCATCATGAAATTCTGATGAATTTCATGAATGGCATCATGAAACTGTCTCCATTGATCATTCTTCCCTTGGGGACCACCACCCTGTTCTCACTGTTCTCCTGCCTCTTTTCAGCAGAAGAATGAGCTGGGGTGACCAGAGGTAGTGAAACCAGCACGTGGTCCTGATCTTCCAAGCTCATTCTTCCTGTCTCCAGCTCTGCGAATGTTTTGTCTTGTTTGTTTTTCAAGAGAGTAAGAGAAGACAGAATTTTGTGTTAGAGCATCTATCTTCCTTAACACCTGAAACATGTACGGCTGTTTGATTGCCAAAGCGTGACAACCATTTTGCCTCTGTTCTCAGCCAGTCTTCTCTTTGTACAGATGAGGAAATTAAAGCCCAGGGAAGTCAAGAAGTTTGGCAAAATTAGACCACAGAGCTGGGATGAGGACCCAAGAGACCTGAGCCCTGGTCTTAGGATTTTTCCTCTATTCCACCCTGCCTTTCCCTAGACAATAGCCTTGAAAATATAAGAGCAGAGGACCCCACAGCTCAAGAGACTTATGACCGAGTCACTGGGTCATTGAGTTGTCACCAACTTGAGAAATATCCTTTGTGCGTCGGTCATTCCAGGCAATGCCCTTTTAGAATTTCAGTTGACGTCCACCCTGAATCACCAAGGTCCGACAGCCTGGTGGCAGATTCCGCCAGAGTTTATGAAGAAACAAATGGGACAACGTGGAGAAAATGAATAACACGCTGACACTTCTGCTTCCTTCAGTGAGGCATTAGGCTTGAATTATTATAACAGGAAATGCTAAACTACTACGGAAAGAAAAGGTGTGATTACTCATGTCAACGTTAAAAATGCTGTTTTTCATGAAGGGATTAATCACGTTAATCAGCAGCCACAACACTTGCTGTGCCTGATACAAAATACTTTCCTCTTCCCCATGAATTTTCCTCCCGAAGCAGTAGGATTTCTTATATATAACCATGTGGTCCCTTCCAGTAATTAAAAACAGAAATTAAAAATATTTTTCTCTAGAGAGTGCATAAGTCTATTCCAGGTTGAGGAGGTCTCCTCACCAGGAGAGGATCAATGGAGGTGAGAGAGGGGGATGAACACTAAGCATGAGTGTCTCTAAGTTTCAGGCTCCAAATGCCTCACGTGTCTCACTCTAGCCCTGTTCTAGCTCTTCAGCTCCTGTTTGACTCCCAAGTATCCTGGCTGGGGGGCGATGCAGGATGGATTAGAGATGGCATGACAGAAGGGGACATTCCCGACAGGGGGCATAGTGGGGACCAAACTCTCAAATAGCTAGGGCCCTGCTGCCTTGGCTATTGGCTGTTAGGGGTGTAGGAATTTCTGTTGGTCTGAAACAGAGAAGCCAAACCCTAAGGAAATGCTCAGGCCAGGCTGTATGTGCCTTTAGCAGAATTCTGAAGTGTGAGATCTTGATGGAAGCTCTGACAAAACGAGGGGCAAAACAGGGCTGGGTGGGAAAACACCCAGTGCTCTGAAGGTTAGTCCAGAGTGAGAAGCAAAACCTGAATCCCCAAGGCAGGACTCCAGGCACTAGGAACTGAGCTGTGCAAGTCAGAGAAGGCTGGTCAGCCAGACTAACTCCCTGTTAAGCCAGGTAAGCTACAGACATAGGGCTTCTTGAATCCCCCTTAGCAAGGCAGGGCTGAGTGTGGGAGTGGATGTGGAAGGTGGTGAGCTGGCAGATCAGGGCACTCCGTATTCCTCCTACCCACTTTCTTCCCCACCAGTTGGTTTCCTTGCGTTGCTTTGAAACAAGATGCTGTCTTGTGCCTGCCTCCGTCAAAGACTGAAACCTTTGTTTAATGTTAGAAAATACCATGTTTAAAGGAGTCTCTGTTAGAGCAGCTGTACTATAGAATCAAGGAATGAATTTTGGGTAGGAAGACAGAGAACCACATTCTTGCCCAAGAATTTTTGACCTGGTATTCGTGAAATGACCTTCAGTGTGTTTACAAGTCTCCCAAACAAATCTGCAAAATTGTGTGGGTTTGCTTTAAATTCATGGAGAGAAGAATTCATTTAACTATGAATTGCCGTCATGCAGAACTATGCCCTCGAAAGTATTCATGCTTCTCATTTATAGATGAGAACTTGGCACACAGAGATGGCAGGACTTGGAGCTCCTCATCAGTAAGGCTTTTGTTTTACATCAATGTATCTCCAACATATATTAGTCAATCAAGGAACATATGTAGAGTGAATGGATGATGAGTAAATGGATGGATGATGGATGAATGAATGAATGAAGGCTTCCTGCTGTCAGTCCACTCATACTCTCACTGCATCCCCACCATGCCCCATTGACTGCTCCAACTCCAGCTTCATGTTGGGATGGTGAATGCCAAGCAGGGCAACTTCGGGATCCGGGGTAGATGCAGTGGTGCAGAAGAGCTGGGGCCTCAGGGTACAGAGGCCTCCACTGCACGAAAGCCCCACCTGGTACATTCTTCCCTTGGGGACCATCACCCTGTCCCCACTGTTCCACCACCTCTTCTCAGGAAAAGAGTGAGCTGGGGTGACCTGCGCTAGTGAAACCGGCCCTTGGTCCTGATATCCAAAGCTCACCTGTCCTGCCTCCGGCTCTGGAAATGTTTTGTCTTGTGTATTTTTCAAGACAGTGAAAGAAGACACAGTTTCATGTTCGAGGTGAGCATTTATCTTCTAGAACACCTGAAACATGGCTGTTTGATTGCCGAGTTAGACAAACATTTTGCATCTGGCATTTGGACCTCCATATCTCCACTTTCTACCTTGCAGAGCGGTGAGGGTGGGTAACAGTGACCAGCAGTGACAAGCTGCTTTGATGTGATCATTGGCTGATTAACCAATGAAGTCTTCCTCCTTTCCTCCTTCCTTCCTCTTTCTTCTCTTCCTCCCTCTTTCTTTTCCTTTTTTCGTTTCTTTCCTCCATTTCTTCCTTCCTTTCCTCTCACTCTTTCTTCCTAACTATGGGCCACTGGACCAGGTGCTAGAGATACCATAGAGTAAGATACAACCTCTGTAAGAGATTGTATCTCTGGGCCACGGGCAGGGTATAGAGGATTGTATCTCTGGACCACGGCAGGGTATAGAGGTCCCCCCAGGAGGGAGTCATCTATGCAAGCCAGAAGGTCAGGAAAGATCTCACAGGCCAAGATAAAGTGACAATTGAGATGAGGCTTAGAAGACTTTGCCAGGCAAACTCATGACTAAGGGCAGCTTGGGCAAAGAGGAGAAGCATAGCCTTTGGGAAGCATAAGTAACTTAGGGTGACAGGCATGGGCCCAGTGTATGTCTGCTATTAAAAAAAAGGTGGGGGGAGGTGTCAAGAAAACACATCAAGAGTTGATGCTAGACATTGAAATTATCCATATTATTAATCATCACAATATTCGGTACTTATGACCCATGTGGGTAATAATCTGAACTAACTAAGTAAACCACTAACTGGGAGTCTAGAAAAACTTCTAGTTTCATGCTTGAGAGGCAGGGTGAATGGTTTTCATTGAAGACAAGGTGTTTCTATTTCCAAAGACCTTCTGATATAGCCCATTGCTCCATGAAACCCCTCTCACTGTCAGTGCAGTCATCTTCACGGGGAAAATAGAAGGGGTTTAAGTTAATGGTTGTTAAGCTTTTAGAACAGAGCCTATTACAGAGTGTCATGGATGTGTCTATTAAGTAAATAAGAATGAAATTTGTTGAATACCATGTGCCATGTATGATCTTAGGTATTTATTTCATTTCCAACAACCCTGAAAGTTAGATCCAAATTCTTATTTTATATTTACAGAAACTGAAGTTCTCAGAGATTCAGTAACTTGCCTGAAGTTACTAATAAGTGGTCAAGCTGCAGTTTAAACCTAAACCCATCGAAGTGCATGTTGCTTCCAGCTGGGACACCCAGCCCACTTAGGGATGGCTGGAATCCTAAGTCCTTCTGTGTCATATCTGAGTGTCGACGGAAGTAGCAGATGCCCATCCTCATGGTGAGAACCTTTTCAGACACGGGGTTGGTGACCTGTCCCCAAAGGTCAGTGCAGTGGTCCTGTGTGGGGTGCAGTGTAGGGTAGGGCTCAGCAGGCAAGGTCTTCAAGCCTGCACAGCCAGCCCCAAGCTCTGGATCTCTGATTATTATGGAATTGGATGGGAACATGATTCTAACATAACCCAAGTGCCGAAAGAGAGCAAATACTCAAATGGGAAAGCACTGATGAATGAAGGTGGAGCTTACCCAAGTTCAAATAGCTTAACATTTGCAGGATTCTCATAGGATCTTTACCCTATGGCTTTTTCCCCCCAGAAATTTCAAGAAAGGACCATTATTAGTGATGGGAGGAAGGCACCTTGATACTACTTTCTAACATCCTTAAAGAAAAACCCCTGGATGTTCTGATATATTTAAGAAGAAATAAGAGATAGGAAGATAAATCAGAAGTCCAAAACCCTAGAGTTCTAAGGCCTGCTCTTTCATTAACTAACTATATGACTGGTGGCAACTCATGCTCCATGCCTCAGTTTACCCATATTTAAAATAAAAGATTTGGGCTGGATCATTTTTGGTAAATGCTCAAACTTTAAAATATTATAAGCCAATAATGGAACAAAACTAAGTTTCTTCTGATAAATGTGTTTCTTTCTCCTGGGCTCCTTCTTCTGTCCTGTAAAAACTGCCCTGACCACCTCCTTTCAAAAGAGTATTTCCTGTGCTGTGGTGAAACCTCTGTCTTCTTTTCCAAGGCCACATGCTTCTGCCCACACTAACTTCCCAAGCACTTTCAGGCATCAGTTCATTTTCCTCATATCACCTACCACAACTTGTCATTATATATTTATAGATTTGTTTGTTTTATAGAGACTGTTTCTCCTATGAGATTGCAAGTTCCATGAGAACAGCTACTATGCCTGCTTTGTTTACCAACGCATATTCACTGTCCAGCATTGTGTGTGGAACATAAAAGGCTCTTGGTTAATGCCTGCTGAATAAATGAATCTGTCATCTTCCCTTTTTTGATCATTATCATAGGTATCATTTGTTAAGGGCTTACTAGGGATCAGACATTGAGCTGATGCTTTGCATGTATTACCTCATGAACACATCACAACAACCTCACCTGGCAGGTTGCATCTGTTTTGCAGATGAAGTCACTGAGGATCCAAGAGGTCATGGAGCAAATGCACTCTAGAACCTGGATCCAAACCACAGCTGACTCACTCAGAGTCTAAGTACTGAGCCCTTGCAAAGTACTACCTTGGGTCCTCAGTGACTCTGAGCATTAGGTCGGACATGTAGTAGGTTCTCAGGATATGTGTACTGAATTGAGTCTCTGTGTGATGGAGCTAACAGATGGTAAATGGAGGTCAGTATTTATGACCCATGGGGCTGATAATCTGAAGCTTCAATGCCTGAGGTGGATTCTGAAATCTGGAGCAAGGATTGGTAGAGTAGAAAATCTCTTTCTAACAATGAGATTCATTCTTGTGTGCGTGGAGAGTTTAACAGAGCTCCTTTCTTCCACCGTATGAGGGTGTGACTTCAAATTTTTCTTGAAATGCACATTTTTAATTAGAAGATTTTATGTGGGTTGCCAAGCTTCTGAGAACTAAAAGGACACTTGTGCCTCGGGGACACTTACAGAGACTGGTCCCTCGGTAAGTGCATAATAAAAAATACACAGAGAGCAACTGAAATTAAACCCACAGGGAACCCATTGCACTTGGTTTCAAATACCTAAAGACTTGACAGCTACAGAATAAAGAGAAAGAACAGAAACAAAAGTCAATGCCAATTTGCTTAATTTGGGGTTCTTTTTCCTGAGAGTATCTTTCTGAGAATCTAGAGTTGGCAGAAATGTTGGAGACTGTCAGGTCTAAGACCCCCTCCTGCAGATGGGAGACTGAGGCCCGAAGAAGTTGTGGCAAGGTCAAAGCAAGGTCAAACCAAGTGAGCTATGGGTCAGAAAGAAGAGAAGGCATCACTGTGTGCTACAGCAGGGCCCTAGGAGAAATTTGCTGGTGGTGAGGAAGATGGGGATTGGTGGGGATTGCAAGAGTAGGGGGTGGGGCGGACAGCTCTCTAGCAATATGGCTTCTGCTCTGTTCAAAGCGAAATTAGAAATTGTTCAAACAGAAAATGAGTATGTCAAGAAAATCACATGTCAAGGAATATAGAGTCACTTATTAGTGTTTGTCTCCAGAACATAATCTAACGGACTGTAGGAGAAATCCCAGATTCTCTTGGGCTCCTTTGCTGCCTCAAGCTCTCTTATACTTGAATCCCCCACCCTTAGACACATTGCTGTCCCTTAAACTTGAGAGTAGCGCCAATAAATCTCCAAATAGCCTGGACTGAACTGGAATCAGAATAATATTAATGCACTTAAGGAAAGAATGGGTCATTGAAAAGGTGAGGGGTAGTATCTTAGAATATATAATTCAAAGGGGAGAATAGCCTGGTACATTCAGCACTGCCCAGGTGAAAGGAATACAGTATGTGAAGGACGCTAGTAGCTCTAATCACCAGAGGTATAGGGTAGGATGTAGAAGTATTTCACAGGGAATTTTAATAAAATGTTTCTCCAAGCTGGATCTGATTCCATGGTTGCAAGTAATCTTCATAAACTTCAATGACCAGGCCAGGTGTGGTGGCTCACACTGGTAATCCTAGTATTTTGGAAGGCCAAAGTGGGAGGATCACTTGAGGTAAGGAGTTGAAGACCAGCCTCGGCAACATAGAGAGAGCTCATCTCTACAAAAATTTTTTTTTAATTAGCCAGGTGTGATGGTACGTGCCCATAGTCCTAGCTACTAAAGAGACTGAGGCAGGAGGACCCCCTCAAGCCCAGAAGTGAGCTACAGTGAGTTATGATCGTGCCACTGCACTCCAGCCTGGGTGACAGAGCGAGACCTTGTCACTAAAACATTTAAAAAACAAAACACAACAAAACTTCAACAATTGATGACCTGGTGTGTGTTATTTTTAAAATCTTGATTTTAAAGCTTGATTCTAGGAATGGGGTATGAGCATGTACACAGGACTGCTGAGAGCTGGTTTGAGCACAGTGAAGAAATGAGACTTGGAGCCCCATCAAAGGCAGACAGCTAGAAATCTTCACAGGGGATTTATGCTCAAGTCCAAGTCTCCTTTCCACCCTGGCAGCTCCAGCAGCCTGTCCTTAGCTTCCACTTCCTGTGTAGTTCATCAGCTCTGGATGGACATGAGTGGTCCTGTCACTGGGGAAAGAGATCATTCTTGCTATAAATACATGGATGGTGTGGCTTCAGTGTCCACCTCTGTGAAGTGAGTTGTTGAAACGATATCTTAGGAAGTCTATGAACCTGTGATATGGTTTGGCTGTGCCCCCACCCAAACCCCATCTTGAATTCCCACGTGTGGTGGGAGGGACTCAGTGGGAGGTAATTGAATCATGGGGGCAAGTCTTTCCTGTGCCGTTTTCATGACAGCGAATAAGTCTCACAAGATCTGATGGTTTTAAAAAGAAGAATTCCCCTGCACAAGCTCCCTCTCGTTGCCTGCTGCCATCCATGTAAGATGTGACTTGCTCTTCCTTGCATCCACCATGATTGTGAGGCTTTCCCAGTCACGTGGAACTGTAAGTCCAGTTAAACCTCTTTCTTTTGTAAATTGCCCAGTCTCGGGTATGTCAGCAGTGTGAAAACAACGGACTAATACAACCCAATAGGGGAGGATCTGATCCCAAAGCCTGATCATGCTCTGAGGCAACAAGCCCCACTTTGGAGACACCTTAGCAGGCAGCCATTCTTCACCAGGTGGCCCCATTCTCCATCGCCCAAGCACCGTCTTCTCAATGCTGCCCCCTGCTGATAGGCGTCTCTCACTCTGCAGTGCTGGGGTCCATGGCTGGCCATGACAGCAGGGTTTACCTGCCCTTGCCACTTGTTTTCACCTGACTGTGGTTAAGCCTCTTTACGTCCCTGAGTTTCTGTTGTTTCATATACACAGGAAAAATGCTGCTTCAGAACCTTTCTCACAGCCCAAATGAGAGCATGTCTAGGAAAAGGTTTTAAAAGCATCCATCGTTTTACAGATGTGATAGGCTGGTAACAACTCCATCAACACACATTTCTAAAGATGCTCCATGTACACTCATCAGTGTAATGCAAATCCCATGAAGATCCCCCTCTCCAGCCATTTCCCTTGAAACAGACACCTTGGACACCTGTCCAAGACAGGTGGCCAGATGCCAAGAGATCTGAGGGTGACCTTATTTTGTCCACCTTAGTGTTTTATTACAAAAAAAGAAAAGTCTTGATTTACTTCCATTAAGAAACCAAGTCTTATCTCCTAAACATAAGTCCATTTCTTCCTTGTTCTTTTTGGAATACCGAAAATGACCATGAAGAATCTAATTCACAAAACATCATGCACTTGAAGACGATCCTAATGGTACCTTTCAGTTTGCTCATCAGTAGACAAATTAAAATTATCTCGATTCCTATATATCATTCCCTACATTTTACTGTGTCCCATGTATCATTGTTTTTACTTCATTAGCTAAAAATTCAAAGCATTAGAAACCATTTTTACCTTTCTTTCTCCCTTCCTTCCTTCCTTCCTTTCTTTCTTTCTTTTCTTCCTTTCTTCCTTTCTTTTTCTTTTTTTGAAGACGGGGTCTCACTATGTTGCCCAGACTAGTTTAGAACTCCACATCTCAAGTCATCCCTCCACCTCTATCTCCCAAGTCGTTGGGATTACAGGTGTGAACCACCATGCCCATGTCTGGACCAATTTTTCTTTAATACCAAACAGCACAATTTGGGAATCTCTGTTTTCTTACAACTCGTCTACTACCAGACCATTTAACAGCTGTTCTGAACTAAAGGTGGGTATATTCACTTGCTTAGAACTTCTGCTTAAAATTTATTTATAATGCAGTTGTCCTAATAATAGTGTAGCTGTCCCAGTTGTCATAGTAGTACGGTATTTATAACATGACTAAATAAATCCCAAATATGGCTAAGATTCTGGAGGAGGAAATGAAGAACACTGAACTCTCTCATCCTTCCCACTGACTTCTTTAGAAGGTTCTGATGATTAATCTCCATGCTGGATACCTTGTGGCCCCAGCCTCTAAGAGCCTTTGGTCTATGTCCTTAAGGCAGATGCACATACAGTGAAATAGTGTTCACAATAAAGCTGGTGCTGCAAAGGATAAAACATGCTTATGTGATAAATCTTGGCAGGAAAGCAACATAATTCCCACTCATAAAACATTTTTCTCAGTCCACTCTCTGTGCCATTCTGAAAAAATCCGGAAATCACACCAGCATTCTTTATTTTTAGCCCATCCAAAATTTCACTCACTTTAGGCGTGTGGGCAAGGAGCTATCTTTAGAATCATCAACCAAATGCATTGGAATCACAGATTATTAGGGCCTGGGTAACTCTCTATTTGATTTGTTTTTTCTTAGCCTGGGAACCCCAATATAGAAAACTCAGCTGGAATGGGGACCCAAAGAGAAGTCAAGTGAGTGAGTCACTTGACTTCTCTGGGACCCAAAGTCTTGTCAAGTTGGTTTCTCCCATTGTCTGCTGCTCAGACACTGTCATGTAATCTGAGGTTTTTAAGGAGCAACTGGACAACCACAGATCCTGCACAACCACGGATCCAGGCCAACCCTATCATTTTGCAGATGAAGCAACAGAAGCCCACAGGGACGAAGTGACCAGCTCAGAACCTCCAGCAGTCACTGGCCAGGCCAGGAAAAGAATTCAGGTCTCCTGACTTCCAAATAAGTGTCCTTTCCATGGCATATGCATAAGATATGGTTACAATGGAAACTACTTTTTTTCTTATCCCATTAGCCAGAAAAGTTCATCTAAGAAACAGGTGACTGATGGGAAAGTTTGCCTACTGGAGGCATGAGGAAATCAAGTTACTTTATTGTAATTAGACAGTAGTTCTTTTCTTTGACTGAGAGGAGAGTGAAAAGTGCAAGGAGAAACAAGACAAAGAACGACTGCCTAGAAGTTACTCCATTATGGTTTGCTGCACTGTCCTATCCACAAAGATACTTGCCTGCCATTCCTTGCCTGTGTGACTTCCAGTGAGTCACTTGACTTCTCTGGACCTTGGAAGCTCTTGTGCTCTCTGAGAGCACAGCAGAGGCCCTGTTCTGGCCATTGGACATCATGAAGATCTGTTGTCCTCCCCAGATGGACACACCCTAGATCAGCACCTTCTTTTCTTCCTTGTCTCAGTACTTCTTATAGAGCCAGGATATCCTTAATGTTTTGTGGGTTTTTTTTGGGGGGGGGGTGCGGGGGCGGGTGGGGAGGGTAGGTATTTTGTGCATTGAATAATTGTCTTCCCAGTTGGATATTTTTTGGGGGCTTTGACTGTGTCTTTTTGCTTCTTTTAACATGTTTCTTGCTGGGTCTTGTCTCGCTTATAAGGCAGGAACCCAGACCCCTGCAACGAGTCGCACTCTGGTATTTCCAGAAGCCCTGGATGGCTTTATATGTGCTCCCATACAATTAGTTCAGCCATCTTTGTCTCTTAACACTGTTCCAGAACTCTCTGCGCAGACCATGACATCTTCCTGGCATCACTGATACTTCCACTGGGCACTGCTATGCCCTCTTGTCACTGCCTTACCAGCTGCAGAAAATGACTATAGTTGCTCCCTTTATTTTCTTTCTTTTTCTGATGTGTGTGTATTTCCAATTTCCCCCCTCCCTTTCTGCTACTATTTATTTAGTCCCCAGGTGACTGGATAGCTAGATAGGATTTTGACTGCACTGGAAAAGGAATAAACACCACCCAGAGCTGGAAACACTGACCATGAGACATGGAGTCTTTCCTCCTGCGGGGAAGGGATGGACATTTTCATTTGTAGAAGGGCTAGTTGTATAAGGTAAGAGCATGCTGCTGCTGTTATCATTTAAAAGTTTAATTATGGAAAGAAGCATATATGTGGATGTTAAATAATAAAAAAGGTGGAATATTGCTCACTCAACACCTATCTCAAGCCTCTGAGCTTGCCTTTCTGAGCTACAGGATAGAAAACTAAAATTAGATTTCCTAATTCTTCTTCCAGCTAGGGAGCTTCCTTGAGAAATGGTGTAGTACAAGTCCTGAAATTAAGATTAAATAGCATGGGGAGGCCTCAAATGGCCTAATCTCAAGTCCCTTGCCCACTCTGCTGTGGCAGATAAGGTCCCCTAACCAAACAAGCCCTCCTTGTCAGGGAGACCAGGCCCAGTGTCTGCTTATCCCTGAGTGGTGGGCTTCAGGCCCCTGCCAGCACACAGAAATATTCAGACAAGCCACATGCATCCTCTCGTGGGAAGCAGGCCTCACCTCACCCTCTGTTATTGGAAAGACTGCCTCCCACAGACCCTGTTTGTTCATTGTGCTCCCAAATAGAATCCCCATATGGCCCTGTACAGTATGCACTGTCCTCCTCCCCTGGACAGTGAGTGTATATGACTAATAAACTGATGTTTATTTCATCTATCCGGTGCTGGGTGTCATATGTTTGACCATTCCTATAACCCTAGAGGGCTAGGGAAACCCTCCCTCAACAATTACCTGAAGAGGAAGTGATTGAAATACATGGCTCTAGCAAATAGGTGGTCTTGCATGAGATTTTGGGGCAGAAGTAAGAAACATGGGAGTAGCAATGTGGAGAGTACAGAGACAGAGGCATCTGTTCTTCCAGGGGAGCCGTGGAGAAAATGGTAGTTTTCACCATGGAATACTATGCAGCCATAAAAAGGAATGAGATTGTGTCCTCAGCAGGGACATGGATAAAGCTGGAAGCCATTATCCTCAGCAAACTAACACAGGAACAGAAAACCAAACACTGCATGTTCCTGCTTACAAGTGGGAGCTGAATGAAGAGAACACATGGACACAGGGAGGGGAAAAACACATAGTGGGGCCTGTTGAGGGGTGGGAGGGAGAGCATCAGGAAGAATAGCTAATGGATGCTGGGCTTGATACCTAGGTGATGGGTTGATCTGTGTAGCAAACCACCGTGGCACACATTTACCTGTGTAACAAACCTGCACATCCTGCACATGTACCCAGGAACTTAAAATAAAAGTTGAGGATAAAAAAGAAAATTTTGCTGTTCATTCCCTTAATAATATAATAATAATAATTTGGTTGCAATGGTAGGTGGCAACACTTCTATTTCTAGCACAACAGTCCTGCACTATGGTGGGGCTTTGCTCTTGGCTCTGCTATGTCTGGCTTCCCTTTCTCCTGGCTACGTAGAATCAAACAATCCACATGCATCCTCTCGTGGGAAGCAGGCCTCACCTCACCCTCTTTTATTGCAAAGACTACACTGGTTCTCTGGATCTTTAGAGGTTCCATAAGCTAAGTGACATATTTTCATAAACTGCTTTTTACTTAAACTACCTGAAGTGGATTCAGATGTCTGTAATTAAAAACTGGATGATACAAGTGGCTTAACAGCACAAGGTTTTATTTTTCTCACAAACCATAAAGTCTGGAGGCAGACACTTGTGGGATTGTGCAGCTATTGAGTCCATGGTAGCATCACTTTGCCAGGCCTCTTCCATCTTTCTGTAAAGCATTTGTCCTCATGGTTGCAAAGGTGGTTGTCCCACCTTCAGTATCACATCTGCATTCCAAGCAGGAAGAAGAAAGTGGCGTGGGAAAAAAGTATAGATCTGTTTGCTTTTGCTGGGTAACAAACAATCCCCCAAACCTGGTGGCATAAAACAACAATCATTGTGTCAGATGAGTGGTCTTCAGTTCTGCTTAGTTCAGCTGGTCTCTGTGGGTCTCACTCACACATCTGCAGACATCTGGTGGGTTGGCTGTAGGTTGGAAGATCTAGTATGAATCATTCATGTGTCTGGTTATTGACATGCTGTTGGCCAGAGAGACAGGAGTTCCCAGGCCACATGTCCCTTATCTTACAGTAGGCCAGCCCTGGTGTCTTCACGTGGCAGTTTCAGGTTTCCAAGAACAGCAAGAGAAGGGAATCTCCATCATGCAATCTGTTTTTGTTTGCATCTTGTTTGCTATTGTACCATTGGCCAAAGCAATTCACAAGACCAAGCCCAGAGTCAAAGGGTGAAAAAATAAACTGCTTTTCGATGAGAGAAGTTGCAAAGTCAATTCCAAAAGTGTGACAAGGGGAAGAACTTGTGGCCATTCTTGCAATCTAACACAGAGAGGCACCAAATTAGGAGAGCAAAACTTTCCCGGAAATCCCCGCCAGACCTCTCACTGTTTCTCTTTGATCAGAACTGCAGTTGGGCCTATGATCACCCTTGTCAGCAAGAGAGGCTGTGAATGCAGTGTTTATTTTTTTGTTTGTTTGTTTTTTAAATCTGGGCTGTTTCTCCTTTTGGAACAGAGTTGTAGTTCTGTGAGTAATCGGGGTGAGAGAATGGGAACTGGAATGAATATTTTTTTTTTTTTTTTGAGAGGAAGTTTCAGGTTTCACTCTTGTTGCCCCAGGTTGGAGTGCAGTGGCGCAATCTCAGCTCACTGAAGCCTCCACCTCCCGGGTTCAAGCGATTCTCCTGCCTCAGCCTCCCAAGTACCTGAGATTACAGGCTTCTGCCACCACGCCTGACTAATTTTTTGTGTTTTTAGTATAGACGAGGTTTCATCATGTTGGCCAGGCTGGTCTCGAACTCCTGACCTCAGGTGATCCACATGCCTCGGCCCCCCAAAGTGCTGGGAATACAGGTGTGAGCCACCATGCCTGACCGGGAACTGGAATGAATATTAGCAATGTCTGCCATGCATAACATGAGGAGCTACAGTGGAGCCACCTCTGTGCAACTGCACTCTCATTCTGTTTTCTACAGAAGATAGGGTGGGGGACTGATGCCACAGTCTCCACCATTCAATGGCAAAGGCTTTGTAACTGTGCAACTCTCTTTTGAGCATTTCATGATTGGTTCACCAGACTGACTCAGACATCATAGTGGGTCAAGCTTAGTGTCTCTGTCCCCTTAACACACAAAACACGTGTCTCACTGTTACCTCCTCCTCCCCTAAATAACACCCACCACACACACAGCACGCATGCTAGACCGTGGTAGAAGAATGAGCTGTCATTGCTGTGCAGTCCTTTTTGTGGCACAGGCCCTGGGGCTGATCATGGTTAGTCCAGCATGTCATTGTCAATCCTGCTGTTTCATAGTCATGAGACACAAAGCACAGACAACTAACAGCACACTGGCTCAGGCGCTTCTTATGGTCTAGAGAATCTGTGTGCTTTTGTACAGGAGTCCAGCCTCTTTCTTTGTGTGCCCTTTTGAAAAACTGAAATGTTCTTGAAGTCTGGAGACAAACTTCTGGGTGAACCGCATCTGAACTTTTAAAATTCTTTTTTTTCCCCTCTTGGTTAAATCTCAGTGGAGCCAGAGACGATCATCATTTTCATGAACACAAGCTAAAGGTTTTTGTTGCCTGTTGAGCAAAGTAGCTGCTTCCTATTGCAAAAGAGCTGATTCCTATTCGCACTGCGTTGGCGTTTTCATTAAAATTCCCATTATCCTCTTCCTTACAATGCAGTTATAGATGGAAATTGTCCTGACTGTGTTTCTCAAGCAAAATCGCTCCTGATTCAAAATATGAGAATGGAATAGAAGGGGGAGAGCCATACTTCTCCCAGTATAAATCATCTTGATAAGGAAAAGATATATTTTTTTGGTCCTGGTGTTCATAACCATTTTACATCAGTATTGTTAGCTTCATCAGCCACGCAGGAAAATAATGGATTAAAATAGAGTCATGGTGGTGGACATAGAGGTGGTAGTCCCTAAAGATGCTCTGATAATAATGGCAACCTGTTTGTTAAGGGTCTCCTCTAAGCCAGACCCCACCGCAGAGCCCATAACTTATCCATACAGCCTGGGGAAACTCCATACACTACCAACTGGCCTTTGATTGGTCTCATCGGGAAAGTGGGAGGACAGCCTTGTCACAGCATAGAGGTGCCAGTTCTGGCTCTGCCACGTGTTAGGTGACCTTGGCCAAGGAATTTATGCTCTCTGAGCCTCAGTTTTCTCACCTGGAAACCAAAGCTAATCCATTGCTAATGATGCCTTCCCTATCCTCCTTCTTCAGAAGAGTAGCAATGGAGTGAATGCGTTTGAAAGTGCTTTGTTGACTAGAAAGCTCTATCCCAACAAAGAAAGATGGATTGCCAAAGGTCGTAGAAAAAAAAAAGGTGGGTGAATCAGCTATCTCCAGTACAACCAAGTCAAATCATTCTCCTCAGAGAAGGGTGCCAAGCCTGTGCTCCCAGCCTCTACTGGGGAAGCATTAAGCCCTGTCTGAGTCCATTTTTTTGCATTGCTAGAAAGGATTGACTGAGGCTGGATAATTTGTAAAGAAAAGACATTTATTGGGCTCATTGTTCTGCAGGCTGTACAAGAAGCATGGTACTAGTATCTGCCTCTAGTGATGACCTCAGGCTGCTTCCATTCATGGCAGAAGGTGAAGTGGGAGCAGGGATCACATAATGAGAGAGGGAGAAAGAGAGGAAAAGGAAGTGGTGCCAGGCCTTTTACAACAGCGAGTTCTCAAGGGAACGAACAGAGCGAGAACTCACTCATTAAAGAGAGGAGGGGACCAAGCCATTCACGAAGGCTCCATCCCCATGAGCCAAACACCTCCCACCAGGCCCTACCTCCAATAGGGGGGATCACATTTCAACATGAGATTTGGAGGAGACAACATACAAACCACATCAAAGCCCTTTGCTTTATGCAATGGTGGCTACCATCGCCACCATTTTTTTAGTGCTGACTGAGCCAAGAAAAGTCAATCATGCATTATTTCATATAATCCTTGAAACAAAACTGCTGTGATTATACAGGTAAAGATATTGAGGCTCAGAAAAGTTACGTAATACAACATCACATATCACAACACTAGTAAGCAGGGAGGCTGGGTTTCTAGTGCATGCATGTCTGACCCCATAGACTATGTTCTTAACCATCATCAGTTACTTTTACTGGGGAAGAATAAGAAATTCAACCCCTTGAAAGGTAAATATCTGTGGAGAAAGAAACTCAGAATTGCCAAGAGTCCAACTCAGCCTGACCCAACAAACTAACCTCCTCTCTATCTCTCTTTGGAAACAAAGTCTTTAAAATTTTTTTTCTTTCAAAATCACCTTCAATTAAGTTCTATTTTTGCAAACATTCATTGAGTGCTTGTTAGGTATTAGGCATACAAACATTCTGTGTGTGTATGTGTATAAATCTATTTAATCCTTATGACAATCTATGAGGGAGATACTTTTTTTTTACTTTACTTTAAGTTCTGGGATACATGTGCAGAACGTGCAGGTTTGTTACACAGGTATACATGTACCATAGTGGTTTGCTGCACCTATCAACCCATCATCTAGGTTTTAAGCCCCGCATGCATTAGGTATTTGTCCTAATGCTCTCTCTCCCCTTGCCCCCGACCCCCCAATAGGCCCCAGTGTGTGATGTTCCCCTCCCTGTGTCCATTTGTTCTCATTGTTCAGCTCCCTCTTATGAGTGAGACCATGTGGAGATACTATTATTGTTGCCATTCTAAGGATGATAAAACTGATGCTGAGGAAGGGTATGACACTTGTCTAAGGTGACAAGGCTATTAAGTGACAGAGACAGATTCCAACCCGGGCAGTCTGATTTCAGAGCCTGTGCTGCTACATTCTATGCACAGTAAAAATGTTTGAAAGAATACACATCAAATTACTAGCAGTTATCTCTGCAGATCTGGATTTGGGTGGGAAACGCAGAAATGGAAGTTTTTACTTTATTTTTGTCTTTACTTAAATATCTGGACTTTTTTTTTTTCTTCTTTGAGACCGGGTCTTACTCTGTCATCCAGGCTGGAGTGCAATGGCATGATCATAGCTCACTGCGGCCTCAACCTCCCGGGCTTAGATCCTCCCACCTCAGTCTCCTGAGTAGCTGGGACTATAGACACGTGCCACCATGCCCAGCTAATTTATTTTTGTATTTTTTGTAGAGACTAGGTTTCGTCATGTTGCCCAGGCTGGTGTCTAACTCCTGCACTCAAGCAATCTGCCCATCTCAGACTCCCAAAGTGCTGGGAATACAGGTATGAACCACTGCACCTGGCCACTCTGGACATTTTTACAATGTGCAAATATTATTTGTATAATTAAAAAGTACCTATATATTTAAATATCTTTTGCAATCTAATTTATAAATGAATTTAAAATTATTTATAGTGATGGGACTGAGATTTTCTAGGGGATTCTGGAAATGTGGAAAAGATGTCAAGGGTGACATGGTTGTGATGAAGCTGGACTCAGTACTTACCAGGTACGTCTAGTGCCTCCAGGGCCAAGGCTTTCCTCCCCCAGCCTTGATCCGGGTGCGCGGCCAGTAGACAGGCAGAGCAGGGGGCTCTATGGCTGCATTATGTGGATTTATATCCACTGTGAACCAGAGGGCAAATGGGAAAATGTAAATTTTGGCAGCTGCTTTTGTGGGTACTGACCTCGAGGGAGTCATTCAGCTCCAGACCTCACCCTGGGAGTGATTTCCCACATCCGCTGTAATTTATTGACAAGAGTTGTTTCTCTTCCTGATACTGAAGGAATTGCCCAGCACAGTTTTGAACAAAGCACCACATGGGTCAAAGCGACGCACTGAATCATCATTTCCTCACACCACCAGCCCTGCCCAGGGTCATGTTTTTCCCTCCATCCTTTCTCATTCTCGAAGACACTGGCAGCACAAATCATCTGCAGTCATTTTCCATTGTCCTTCTGCCAGACTGAAAGGCAAATCCCCATCTCCCAGTCTTGACCCAGCCTGGCAGCTGTGACTTCGGGGCATTATTCCTTGCTGCCTCGTTGCAGGCAAATCTTTTTAAGATAAGCATTTCCCATATTACGTGATGTTAACTTAGAAATATGGAGATTTCAAATTGTCCTGTCCCAGATGTCATAAAATTAAACAGACTCTACCTTTCCATGTTTTGGACAGACTAATGAAACCATGGTATGTGTGTGTGTATGTATACATATATATATATATATATATATATATATATATATATATATATATTTTTTTTTTTTTTTTTTTTTTTTTTTTTTTTTGAGACGGAGTCTTGCTCTGTCCCCCAGGCTGGAGTGCAGTGGCGTGCTCTCGGCTCACTGCAAGCTCCGCCTCCCGGGTTCACGCCATTCTCCTGCCTTAGCCTCCCAAGTAGCTGAGACTACAGGCGCCCACCACCACGCCCAGCTAATTTTTTTGCATTTTTTAGTAGAGACGGGGTTTCACCATGTTAGCCATAATGGTCTCGATCTCCTGACCTCATGATCCGCCTGCCTCAGCCTCCCAAAATGCTGGGATTACAGGCATGAGCCACTGCGCCTGGTCCAGACTTTCTTGTTCATTGGTCATGAATAATAATGTAAGTCCCGTTTATTGCTGCTGGTTTCACACAGCTCAAATCCATACAAGAAAATGCTCTTTCTTCTGAGTCACATTTAAATTTTATTCATATTGAACTTTAAGACTTCTCCTTTCTTTGGACAAGATCTATGCTAAATCAATCTGTAGAGCCAATGGTTCTTTTCCCTAATTCTATCAAGTGGTCCCTTTAAAATGAATTTGTTGAGCATCACATTGTAACTGAGCTTGTGAAAGTTTAACCGCTCCTCATAACAAGATCTGCTGGTTCACTAACTGCAAAAACAAACAGAAAAAAAGAGTAAGAGAAAACTGAAAAGTCTCCATTTGATCTTGTATATTGAATTTACTTCCCATCTTCTAACAATGGAATGATATTCAATCTCCACTAGAACACCACTTTGACATCTATGACTTGGAGGATGTGTAATGCTAGGAAAATAGCCTTATAGGGCCGTAGGGACTGCTGATGTATCTGTGATCCTATAAAGCTGCTTGTGGGCAATGCATAACAGAGTCAGGGTTCAGTTTTATATAAGTTGGTGAAAATAAATAGGATATGCTATTACTTGGGACTTTTTATCCTCAGATCTCCATGGATCTGGAATACTAAGACTATACAAAGTTTCCATTTGGTCTCATGGTTGTCTATTTACAACACAACTAAAATGCCTGCAGCTGGGAAGAAGCGCCTGCACACTGGCGCTCCTTGTGGTCAGCTGTTGTTGTAATGGGATGCCCCAGGGAGCTGGCTCCCCCACAGGCCAGAAGAAGGTTTGAAATAAAGGGAGTGGCGCTTCCACTCACCCTGCACCAGAGCCTGAGCTCTCACTTGCTTGTGCTCACCAGGAGTGACCGAAGATCCGACGCTCTGGCTTCCCAAGATGGAACCCAGTACTTGACTCCAAGCATCACAGGTACCTTTGTATGAAAATGGAAGTGGTGACTACCTGGTGACCTCCCTACCCTGCCAACTCCCCTCCCCAGAATGTGTCCGATCACACCTCCCAAGCTTGAATTATCTTCAAGGAGTCCTTCACTCTAACAAATCAGTCTTAAAATTGAAATATGCCGGTAGAGGCAGCTCCTCACCTTTCCATCGCATTAAGATGCAAATGACTGACATCAAATGCTTTCCTGACAGCTGGTTTGCTGGGGCACACTCTGGGCTATGGGAGGGAAGGAAAACACAGAAATGGAAGCAGAGGTCTTGGTTTTAAACTTGAATCTTGTTCTCTTTGTTCAGAAATTCTTTGGGCTGTGAGGGCAGTGCTGGGAGAACAAGGAGTCCACTGGTTACATGTTCTTCCCTCTGTCAAGTGCTTTGCTTAGGCTCTCAATTTTATAGCCTCCTTTTCAATCTCTGCTATCCTTTGCCTTCCCAGAGAGGTCACTTGCGAATGACCAGATCTAATGTGCACAACCTGACATGTTTTCCCCTTGGATGGCATCTTCCTCCCTCACTGTTTTCTTTCTTCCTCTGGGATATCACTTGTTTGGGTGATTTACAGTAGAAATTTTTCCTTTGTTTATACAGAGGATGCCACGACTTCTCGGGAAGTGAGTTAGGCCCCTGTCATCCCTGTTCTAACAGTGTAGTGACGGAAATAAATGAGGGAGGGTGACTCCCCCACCTGCTGTTCCAAACAGGGAAGAGGGCTCTGTGGTATTCTCTGAGCTGAGCCTGTAGTTGCACTTCTCAAGTGCAGGAAAGGTCACGGAAGTGGACACCAGCTCTCTGCCAGTTTGTTCTGAGAACTGAGAACGGTGGTTTCATAACCGATTGCATGAAGCTGAAGAAATCAGCCTCTGCTAGGGCTGGCACCAGAAGCATCGGTTCCCCAGATCTTCATGTATTTTTCCCTACTTTGTGCCATTCTCTCTCTCCTTCTGGACCATTTCTTCCTCCCCCTTCTCACATACGCATTGCCCTACCCTCTCTTGTCAAATCATCCTCACAGAATATGACCTTAAACGTGCTCTTGGTAAATTATAAATCACTGGAAAGAGCTTTGGCTCTCCCCTTTCCCGGGGTATTACACTTTAACAAGGATCAAAGGCTTAAATTAAAAGAATTAGTCTCTCATTGGGGGTTCTAAGCCACCAATATAGGAGAATAATTATTAAAGGAGAGGTACCATGAGGCATCCCAATATCCTTGAAATTATATACTTAGAAGGTGACTTGAAAAGGTAGAATTGAAGTCGTGGATGATTCTTCATCATGCCCTGTCTCTGCTGCGATGTTTCTAACACAGAACAACTTATATCCCTCAGTCTTCTAAAGAATTCATTTAATCCAATCTCCAAGATAGTGTCTGAGGCCCTACTGGGACATTCCTGATTTGTGTTCAATCAATAGTTCAAAAATCAGAGAATTCACTGTCTTCCTAGGCAAGGCAACTCATTGACAGACATTCCCAAATATTAGTAAGTTCGCCTGTTCCATTTACTCACTGGTCTTTAGCTCATTCTTAAAGCCTTGTGGGTTACATCTACTCTCTCTTGCATATGATAGTCTTCCAAAGAGCTGAAGACAATGGTCACATCCTCAATGCCTGGTTTATTCTTCTGCAAATTGAGAGTTACTCTGGCAGAGTGAATTGAGCAAAAAATCCACAGGAGGGATATACCCCTGTGGATGTGATGGCTTTAAAATGTGGCCATAAATTAGGTGTATTCTGAGATAGTGATATAGTTAGGCTCTGTGTACAAATCTCATGCTGAATTATGATCTTCAGTGTTGGAGCAGGGGCTTGGTGGGAGGTGATTGGATCATGGGGGCAGATTTCCCCCTTGCTGTTCTCCTGATAGTGAGTGAGTTCTCACGAGATCTAGTTGTTCAAAGTGTGTAGCACTTGCCCCTTCTCTCTCTCTCTCTCTCTCTCTCTCCTGATCTGCCATGGTAGGAAATGCTTGCTTCCCCTTTGCTTTCTGCCATGATTGTAAGTTTCCTGAGGCCTCCCAGCCATACTTCCTGTACAGCCTGCAGAACTATGAGTCAATTAAGTCTCTTTTATCCATAAATTACCCAGTCTTAGGTAGTTCTTTATAGCAGTGTGAGAATGGACTAATATAGATAGACTCTGTTGTTTTCCCCCTTTGAAGCTGAATGGCTTGTGAGTGCTTTAGCCAACAGAATATGGTGAAGTGAAGCCATATATCTGTCACCTTGTTTGCTAGAACACTTGCTCTCAGAGCTGCAAGCTGACATTTGAGAAATCCAACTATCCTGGTCTGCCATTATGTAAGGAAGCCCAAGCCACAGAAAGAGGCTCCAGTAGGCAGTACCAGCTGAGCCTAGTCTTTGGTCATCCCAGCCAAGGCACTTGACATGTGAGTAAGGAAGTCCCCAGATGATTCCAGCCCTTAGATATCTGAGTCATCTCCAGCCATTCTAGTCCACCATATGAAACTCCAGATATTATAAAGACAAATCATCCCTGTTGTGCCTTGCCCAAATTCCTGAGTCACAGAATCCATGAATGTAACAAAATGATTGTCATTTTACACCGTTAAGTTTGGGGTTGGTTTATTACACAGCAAGAGATTACTGGAACAGAGATCAACCACTAAATCACCTTGACCTTGACCACTTCCGCCCAAGAGTGACATTAACACTGAATTCCCTTATTCCTTCAACTTGGTTATTAAATTTATTAATCTTACATTTAAATGGCAACTTCCTCCAGAGTACCAAAGAAAGGCGGAGATGTCATAAACTGCAGGAAGTAATCACAGGAACAGATAATGCATCAAAAACAGCACCAAGAGAATTCAAGTCTCTAAATGTTGTATCTAACTCCTTGCTGCTTTATGTTACACTCCTGATGCAAAGTCTTCATTTGAGCTCATTTATTTGGATAATAAAGACTTCCGAATCCTCAGTCCATCATCCAGTATTAATTATGCCACTTTTTTTTTTTGAAACGGAGTCTCACTCTGTCATCCAAGCTAGAGTGCAGTGGTGTGATCTTGGCTCACTGAAACTTCCACCTCCTGGGTTCAAGCAATTCTCCTGCCTCAGCCTCCTGAGTAGCTGGGATTACAGGTGCATGCCACCATGTCCGGCTCATTTTTATATTTTTACTACAGACAGGGTTTCACCATGTTGGTCAGGCTGGTCTCAAATTCCTAACTTCATAATCCACTCTCCTTGGCCTCCCAAAGTGCTCGGATTACAGGCATGAGCCACCACACTTGGCCTTTTTAAACTTCTAATTGCATTTATTTTAATGCTGAATTTACTCCCCTGCCATAAGTTTTTGTTTCTTCAATTTCTTCTGGGATATCTTTTTCCTCTGGGCAACTTCCTTTTCTGGTTTAGGAACAATCCGTTCCTTTTCAGTAAGGATCATCTCAATGTGGCAGGGAGAGCTCATGTATGGATTAATCCGACCATGAGCTCTGTAGGTCCAACGGTGCATCTTAGGTGCTTTGTTCACTAGGATATGCTCAATGACCAGAGAATCTACATCTAAACCCTTAAGTTCAGCATTACTCTCTGCATTTTTAAGAATGTGCAGCAAAAATTCAGCACTTTTTTGGGCCACCGACCTTGTGTCCAGCCCCACTGCTTGGCCTAGGCACATCTGCCAGCTCCACCATTGTAACGTCGAAATGGTACACACTGCTTCTGTAAAGTGACATTTTTCAGATACTTTGTGGCTTTTCGTATATGCATACCCTTGATGGCCTGGGCAGTTTCACGAGTGTTCTTAAAGAGAACACGAAGATTTGAACCTCTTGATTTGCATGATTTTGTGCGGTTGTCAGGGTCAAGTGAATAGTGAACCATTTTCACAGATTGCCTCAGGCTGCTTAGGGAAACAGCTAATTATGCCATCTTTAGCCTTGCATCTTCAGAGAGAGAGAATCCAACTTGGATGCAAAACCTGGGTACGTCCTTCAGTCTCCTGAGCTCTCAAACATAAGTGATGATAATATCTGCCTTGCAAGACTGTGGTAAGGATGAGAAATCAAGTAAGAAAACTGCACCAGGTACGCACTACTGCTTTCTGCAACTTTAATCAACAAATCCCCAAACAACAGTCAGTCTTCTTCTGAGTTGTTCAAAGAAGCACTGGATGGGTCAGGGCACAGGACAGGCCCATTAGTGGTGACCGCCCCTGAGCCAGTTATCAACTCATCAAATTTAATAACTGAACTGCCGTCAAATATAAGCTACGCAGAAGCAGAGATCTTAGTCTGTTTTGTTTACTGAAATCTCACATACATAGACCAGTGCTTGGCACATAGTAAGTACTCAACAAAGATTTGTTAAGTTAATGAGTGTGATTCTGTGAGTGGCTCTGTCCTCACCCACATGTTCTGGAGCCTTCATCATATACCTGAGAAATCCATGCTGTCCATGCCGTGCTGTCTTCTGGCCCAAAGCTGGTCCTGCCTCCCTCGGCCTCTCAGCTCCCAGAGGTATAGAGTGCAGGTGGCCACACCAGCAGGAAACTGACAACTCCCTCTACGCTACCCATTTTCCACTTCCTAATTACCAAGATGTTTAAACTATAACATGAATAGCCACATTAAGGCCACTTGTTATATGTAAAGCAGGGGCATAGCACATTGATAATTAAGGCCTCCCTCTGTGACAACCTACATGCTGGAGGTGTAATTACGTGTAAATAGCCCTTCGTTTGGTAGCCTTTATTACTGGGCTTAAACATACATTCAGCTAGTTATTAGTGAAATTCTATAGTGTCCTAACGAACTGTTGTTTCAATAAATGGAGTAGGAGTTTTCCAGCCTGTATTATGTTTTCTCTGCTGATCCAGGGCAGTGATTCCGTGGTGTAATTTTTTTGGTGTCTGCATATTCTCCATTTTCATTATGGAAAACTTAAATCTCAGACACTCTTAGGGCTGGAAAAACAGCCTCTTGACATTCTTTTCTGGTTCACATTGGCCATAGAAGAGATTTTTCCTTCTTTTAAGATTTGCTGCTCAGAGGGTCTCTACTCCATGCAAAAATAAGAAAACCCCACAGATTCCAGTTCTCTTCACATTTGGTTTCAAGGAAGCAAGAACTCACAATCAAGCCAACAACACGCATTTATTATGGCCTTGCTGTCCATAGCCCTGAACTAGGACTATATTGAAATAGTATGTTTTTGAGTTGGACTAGCATTATATACAAGCCTATTTAAACATGTAGATCTCCATCTTATTCAAATGAGACAGAAAAGCAAAGATGGTGGTAGAATGGGGTGTTTAATCCCTTCATGCCTTATTCTGGCTTCTGATGGTGTATAAAAGAGTGAGTCCCAGAAAGGAGTAGAGACCTCCTCAGTCCTCTTCTGAGACTGGCTTTACTTGCTTTCTCTTCCCAGATCCTAAAGCAGCAGCTCCAGAGTGTCCCTGTAGGAGGGACTTCACAGTGGCTGTCAGGAGGCTGAAGTGCTTCAAGCTGCTGTTGCAAAGCTAGTACATGGGGTGTACTTGACTCATCTGTTTGGGATGAATTGGGGCAGAGAATCAAAAGAGAATATGAAGGAATTAAAGGGGATAAGACCACCTCTTAGAACAGCTACTTCAGATCTCCTGCTGGCTGAGGGGTAAAGGGTCAAGTCACCCATCCTCAGAGACCTCTATTCTCAGTGCATTGCACTCCGTGGGGCTCAATCCACATGTGGGGAAGAAACGACAGTTCCTATGGTTAAAGAGGTACCATTTCTCCTGTCCACCATGTAGCAATTTCAGAGATGTGGGTGCAGATGACCTCTGTGCTTCCCAAAACTCTGTTGCTTTTAGAACCACAGGGGAGAGAAGATGATTTTAGACACAATATACCATGTTATTGGCCAAAAGGAAGGCCCGGAGAGACGTGGTTTAGAGAATTGCATTCAACAGGCACTGGAGCAGAGAAATATCTTAGTTTTGGAACCACAAGATGAAAAAGATGCACAGAGGAACTCATGGCCTCCAGGAAATGCCCATCAGACATTTCTCCAATGCTGAACCCGAAGTTTAATGTGTTTGTTGAATAAGTGGGTATTCCTGAATATTGTACACATTTAGCCAAACTTCCAGGAGGCTGAGAAGTCCTCTAATGGCTGCCTCATGAAAATCAGAGTAGTGGCCTGGAAAGATGGAGTTGGGGGCTGCTTGCTGGCCCCAGGACTGGTCTCTTCCCACCAGCTCACCTTCCATCATCCCTCTCCAAGGCTATTTTCCAAACTCTTAATTCCTTTAAATGTTTCCACTGCACTCCACCTCTGCAAGAAGCCCTCCTTAATCACTGTACTTGCTATGCCTCTGGCTTTCCCTATATTTGTATCTTTTCTTCCTAGAGACAAACTGTGCACTGATTCTAAGAGGAATTTTCTTGAGAGTGAATTATGTGCTCAGAAATTAATCACTTGCAAGGAGTGGGGTTGAAGGGACGCCTTAATATATGGCAGGCTCTATACTAGGAACTTTATATGAATCATTCCCTTTGAGCCTCCCAACAATCCTGCATAATAACTAGTGTCTTTTAGACATATCAGAAAACCGAGGATCCTAAAAATAACTTCTCTCATACAGATAACAAAAGTTTGTTGCGTGTCTTATATGTGCCAGGCAAACTGCTAGGTCCTAAAGAGGTGACTTTGAAGAAGACGGATATAGACTCAATCCTCCAAAGTGTAGGAACTAGCAGGGATACAGACAAGTAAACAAAATAGTCCATTCTACAGGAAATAAGAGTGTGTAGTCAGGAGAGAGATCTATGGTAAAGGGACACGTGAAGGAGCCTCTAATTCACTAGAGAAAGGGATTGCTAAACTGAGAAAGAAGGGAAAGAGTGGAAAAGTCAAAAGGGGAAAGGGGAAAGGAAAGAAAGTGCTTTCCAGGCAAAAGAAGCCTCATGTGCAAAGATCTGCAGGCTTGAAGGCAATGAAAGGACAAGGTGGCTCAGCTACATCTGCTTCCAGACAAGTCCAGTATTAGCTTACAAGGATACGAAAGCTGGGACAAGAAGGCACAAATCAAAGAGAGGAGCTTAAGACAAAATAAAAACAGAGATCGAGGTTTCAAATGGGCCAGGAATGAGACTTCAAAACTGTGTACCATCATGGTATGTATGCTTGTTAGCAGAGAGCCACCAATTTGACTCTGAGCTTTCTAGAAACCAGTCCTGGGGGGAAAAGCTGGTGGTTTCTCCAGATGAGACTTCCTTAGGAAAATAGCAACCATTGGTCCAGAGAGGCCTAGAGGACCTTACTAAGCAGGCTGGGATACTCTCCCCCGGGAAAGCATCCTGATGGCGTCCACATGATGGGATGTCCTGGCTGTCATCCCAAAGCACCTTTCATAACAACAGTTGAACTAGGGGCCCTGAAACATGATGCAGGGGTCTCACTCTGGATCCACAAAGGTCGATTCCAGGGAAGACCTTAAAACAGCAAAAGAACAGAAGAATAATTTATCCTTCAAATAAGTGTCCCTAGGACAGCCTCTTTCTGCCAAGTTTAGAGCACATTAATTAGAAGTAAGTTACAAACTATTTCCTTACAAATACTTGGAATTCAGCTCTTCTATGCTGCCAGTTCACTGTAGACCTTAACATACTATCAAGACTGTATACTGACAGTAGAGTATGCCTCAGTGAAAAAGCATCTCCTTTCTCTCCTCTCCCTCTCCTCTCTCTCCTCTCCCTCTCCTCTCTTCCTTCAAGACCTACCCCAATGCCATCCTCTCTACAGAAGCTTTGTACTTTTCCAAAACCAGAATTACTTCTCCATGCTTCAATCTCTCAGCATGTGTTACCCTTTTAAAGACACGTAGCACATTCAGTTTGGTGCCGGGCATCTGCAGATCTTACCTCCCCTAACGTGCCCATCACAATGCCATCCTCATAACCAAACTCAATAAAACCTGATCCAATGAAAGCAACATTCTCCAAATACAACACTGAAAAGTCCTCATTCTTCAAATCACTACTTTTTTTGGAGGGGGGAGGGGGTCACTCTGTCATCCAGGCTGGAGTTCAGTGTTGCAATCATGGCTACTGTAACCTCAAACTCCTGGGTTCAAGTGATCCTCTTGCCTCAGCCTCCCAAAATGCTGGGATGACAGGCATGAGCCACTGCACCCAGCCAATCACTACGCTTTTAGCAAGCATGTGGATTCATTCATTCATTCATTCATTCAGAAGATGTACTCAGTGGTCTGTGATTTTTTTGTGTGCAATGGTTTGTCTGGCACATTGAGCTTCCTTAGTCTGCATGAGACCTTTTGTGACCTCCCCATCTACAATGGGAGGTCATGGGTAAGGGTCATATCCTTTGAGGAAATGTAAGAGCAGATGGGATGAGGAACTGGAAAAAAATGTAATGCAGGAAACAGCCTTGACCTCTGACCCTGACACACAGACTGAGTGGATTAGAGATCCTTATAGGCAACTGGGCCTTATGTTGTCATAAAATACAAAGGCTAACATTCACTGGACCCTTGATAGGTAATAGAAATTGTGCTAGGCTTCTTAAAACATTTTAGTAGTCAATGTGACAATAATTTATTCAACCGTGACAATAACTTATGCATTATTGTGAGAATTTACAGATATAGGGCACTAAGTAGTTAGTAAAATACTAGAGGTATCAGCGTTAGTAATTTTCAGAACAAGAATTTGACCTCAAATGCATTTGACTTCAAAGCCCAGTTGGGAGACTCAAGATATGTCACTTAACTCCTTAGTCACATAAGCCTCGGTTTCGTCATCTAAAAAGACAGGCAAAAAATAGTATTTGAAGGATTCTTTTGAAGGCAAAATGAGGAAATACACATAAAGCATTCAGTACAGTACAAGGCAAAAAGTAGGTACACAATGAAATTTTGTTATGGATATTAGGAAGCTCTGCTGTTTAATTTCAAAAAGGAAATTTGTATGCATTAAAAGTGAGCTGTTTTAGCCAAAAATGGATCCAGATTCACCAATATTTTAGAGGGTATATTAGTTTGCTAGAGGGTACATTAGAGGGTGTATTAGTTTGCTAGGGCTGTCATAACAAAGTACCACAGACTCAGTGGCTTAAACAAAAGACATTTATTGTCTCACAATTCTGCAGGCTTGAAGTCCAAGATCAAGGTGTTGGCAGGGCCAGTTTCTTCTGAGGCCTCTCTCGTTGGCTTGTAGACAGCCACCTTCTCCTTGTGTCTTCACGTGGCCTTCCCTTTGTGCTGTGTCTGTGTCCAAATTTCCTCTTATAAAAACATCAGTCGTACTGGACTGCAATCTACCTAATAACCTCATTTAACTTGATTACCTCTTAAAAGACCTTATCTCAAAATACCGTCACATTCTGAGGTACTAGAAGTTAGGATTAAACATATGAATTTTAGGGGGATGCAACTCCCATCAGACATTTCTCCAGTGCTGAACCCCAAGTTCAATGTGTTCATCGAATAACTGGGTATTCCAGTTTTGGGGGGATACAACTCATTCCGTAACAGAGGGTCTCAATCAAACCTTTCTAGAAATATTTTAGTGCTTTAAATTTTTTTTTGGTAGAAGGCATGTTAGAGCATCCTCACTTGGCTTTGAGAGGAAAGCCCATTTTAGAGCCTTCAGTAGACAAATTATTCAAATTATTGCTTATTTAAAAATGACATTAGTCAATAGGAACTACGGTGGCTTTGGTGCGTTTATTTTTATTTTGGAATCTCCGAAGTTCCACACTTCCCTAGGGCTGCAGGCTATTCACTTTATGCACATCATGACTGAAAAGCATCTTGGCCAGGATCCTTCTTTGCCAAAGTCTAGGACTAGAATGGAGAAAAGTATAAGCAACAGAGAGAGGCTCAATGGAGGTGAGTATATTTTTTCCTCAGGACACTTCCTCCTTTTAATTTTGAAAATAAGAGCAAGGTCACAGGTACACTGGTAGACACATAGTAGGTGTATTAAATTACAAACTATGCCGGAGCTGGGTGCAGTGGTCATGCCTGTAATCCCAGTACTTTGGGAGACCAAGGCAGGTGGATCACCTGAGGTCAGGAGTTCAAGGCCAGTCTGGCCAACATAGTGAAACCCTGTCTCTATTAAAAATGCAAAAAAAGAAAAAAAAAGCCAGGTGTGGTGGTGCATGCCTGTAATCACAGCTACTCAGGAGGCTGAGGCAGGAGAATCGTTTGAACCCGGGAGGCCGAGGTTGCAGTGAGCCTCGATTTCGCCACTGCACTCCAGCCTGGGAGACAGAGCAAGACTCCATCTCAAAAAAATAAAATAAAATAAAGTAAATTACAAACTATGCTCCTGTAACAAAGCACAATGGTAAAATAGATTCTTTTTCTGGGTTTGAGTGACTACATTGATGACCCCAATTAATAGCACCCTGTATCTGTCCCCTTGCCTTGTAACTATAGTTTTACCCACTCTGAACAGGTCAGCCTGTGACTTGTCCTATTCAGTATAACATGGCAGAAGTGGTAGAATTCCTGTTGCGAGCCCAGGAATTCCTGTTTCAAGCACAAGGGCCCTTAGAGACAGACCACTTGGGCCACTTCTGGTTCTATCAGTTTCTAATTTCATGGCCTTAGGCAAGTGTGTAACCTCTCTGCATCTTAGTTTCTTCTTTGCCAGGAAAATGGGCGATAGTAATTCCAAGCCCAAAATCATTGTGAAAATTAAATAAAATCATACTAGCAAAGTTTCTTGTAGGTTGTAGGGACACAGTAAGGATTGTGTCTCTCAGCCTGGGCAACAGAGCAAGACCCTGTCTCTCTCTATATATATATTTTTTAATTAGCTGGACATGGTGGTGCACTCCTGTACTCAGGGGGCTGAGGCAGGAAGATCTTTTCAGCCCAGGAGTTTGAGGCTATAGTGAGCTATGATTGCACCACTGCACTCCGGCCTGGGCAAGAGAGCAAGATCCTGTCTCTTAAAAAAAAGAGCTGTCTCCTCCTTCTTTGTTCCTCAGTTGCCACTGACTTTGGTTGTCCTGTGAATGCTATTTCTAAGGAGAAGGGTGAACCAGCTGAGATGAATTAATTAGTTAAGTGGCTTGCCTTCAGGTGTGCAGTGCAGAGGACAGTCACCCCCTTGGAGATGAGATACTGCCACTGCCACAGTTATGTACCCAGGCTACCATCTTGACATATGCTGCCTGTCTCTCTTCCAAGGGTGGAGGCTCTCCCATGATCACATTTAGGTTTGCCCTGGGAAGCTCCTTGTTGCTTAAACAATCCAATCTTCTGACCCCCAACACCCCGGAGCAGAACCTCCCTATGAAATGCCATGAGGCCTGCAGATTCCATGGATCCTGGGCTGAAGTCATGTGGGAGGGCAACCCCTCAAGCCCCAATGTGCATGAATGATTTTCATGGGAGGGGATGAAACTTTCAAGAAAGTGTTTCTTACATAAATGTCCAGAGCCCAGAAAGAGGAAGAAAGGGAATATGTGGTCCCTGGTCCTCTTCCCAGCCCCACAGACAAGGTATGGGGACTCATTTCTGGTTTGAACACATGTGGCCTATTAAGAAGCAGCCTCTGATTGATGGAAAAGTGGAGAGGGAAAACAAGAGGGCCAAAGAATAAGCCCCAGAGCACTCCCATAGAGAAGGCAGAAAGAGGAGGATTCCCCGTGGGCACTGAAGAGGCATAGCCAGAGAGTTGGCAGGAAAGCCAGGAGGGCCTGGTACCCCCAGAGTCCAATCTATCAGAAGAGATGCCCCTGAGCCATCCTTGGGAGTGGTATCTACCCACTGGCAAGTCAGTGGCCAGGCAGGATTGTCTGGACTAGAGAGTGGCAGTGTCCCAGGGGCCTGGCTTTATTCATAGGTTCATATGACACTCCCTGGGGATGCCCAGATGTACTTCCTGGTACAGGGCAAAGGGGAGCATGAGTGTCGTTAAAGGGCAAGAAATGGCAGAATGAAGACACTAATGCTAATGGCAGCTGATTTGTCCGGTGAGGCCAAGAGAGGTGATTGTTTGCACAGTCACTCTGGCAGTCTGGTGTGTTTCCACCTTAGCTTTGGCCTGCAGGAGGCTTTGGGCCAAATTAACAGCCTACCTTTAGCAGCTGCAGAGGACTGCATAATACACATTGCCAGATGTAATCTCACCCCTGGATTTATTGTTACATTTTCCTAATTTTTCCTTCAACGAAATTTCTTCAATGAATTTTATTCTTTTGTAGTGTGTCTGTGTTTTATAAACTGCTTCAAATCCTTTTTCATATGGGAAAGATATTAGATAGATAGATAGATAGATAGATAGATAGATAGATAGATCTTTTATATATGTATACACACACATACATACATACATATACATGGGGGTCTCCAACCCCCGGGCCACAGACCAGTACCAGTCCGTGGCCTGTTAGGAACCAGGCTGAACAGCAGGAGGTGAGCGGTGGGCTAGTGGGTGAAGCTTCATCTGTATTTACAGCATTTCCCCATTGCTCACAATACCGCCTAAGCTCTACCTCCTGTCAGATCAGCAGAGGCATTATTAATAGATTCTTATAGGAGTGTGAACCCTATTGTGAACTGCACATTCAAGGGATCTAGGTTGCATGCTCCTTATGTGAATCTAATGCCTGATGATCTGTTACTGTCTCCCATCACCCCCAGATAGAACCATCTGGTTACAGGAAAACAAACTCAGGGCTCCCAGTGATTCTACATTATGGTGAGTTTTGTCATTATTTCATGATATATTACAATGTAATAATAATAGAAATAAAGGGCACTATAAATGTAATGCACTTGAATTGCCCCAAAACCATCCTCCCCCTGCCCCATTCCCTGGAAAAATTGCCTTCCACGAAACTGTTCCCTGGTGCCAAAAAGGTTGGGGACCATTGGACGGGTGCAGTGGCTCACGCATGTAATCCCAGCACTTTGGGAGGCCGAGGCGGGCAGATCACAAGGTCAGGAAATTGAGAACATCCTAGCGAACACTGTGAAACCCTGTCTCTACTAAAAAATACAAAAAACTAGCTGGGTGTGGTGGCAGGCGCCTGTAGGCCCAGCTACTTCGGAGGCTGATGCAGGAGAATGGTGTGAACCCGGGAGGGGGAGCTCGCAGTGAGCTGAGATAGTGCCACTGTGCTCCAGCCCGGGCAACAGAGTGAGACTCCGTCTCAAAAAAAAAAAAAAAAAAGGTGGGGGACCACTACATATAAGTACACATATAATTACACAACAGATATATGTACATATATATATATACACACACACACACACACACACACACACAGTATATACATACACACATACAGGTAATAATTATTTGCAAGCTCCCATCATCCCAAGCTACTTCTGTGGTTTTCCTGATCTTAGTTCATAAATCACTGCTTAGCCAGCCTCCCAAGCTAGATTTTTCAAACTCATATTTGACTCCCCTCTCCCCATACCTACCACATTAACTCAGTCATCAACCCTATCATTTCTACCCAGAAATGGCTCTCCTTTCCCATTTGTCTCCTTCACCCTATTCCTATCTCACACCATCCTCATGACTAATGCTATTATCTATTTTTCTTTATAAAATATACGTAGTACATTTAAGCTCCTAAAAATAAATGAAAAAAATGATCAAGAACTAAATAGAAAAATGGGCAGATAATTTTTTAAATCATAAGATGGATACAAAATAATAAACTTAAGAGACACACAATTTCGCTTCATAAAGTAATTGAAAGTAAAACCTCACTGTGGGCCGGGTGCAGTGGCTCATGCCTGTAATCCCAGCACTTTGGGAGGCTGAAGCGGGTGGATCACCTGAGGTCACGAGTTCAAAAGCAGCCTGGCCAACATGGTGAAACCTCATCTCTACGAAAAATATAAAAGTGAGCCAGGCGTGGTGGCACACGCCTGTAATCCCAGCTACTCAGGAGGCTGAGACAGGAGAATCGCTTGAACCGGGGAGGCGGAGGTTGCAGTGAGCCGAGATGGCGCCATGGCACGCACTCCAGCCTGGGAGACAAAATGAGACTCCGCCTCAAAAAAATAAATAAATAAAAATTAAAACTTCACTGAAATAGCATTTGTCACCCAAACATTGGCAAAAATCCGAAGTTTTCTAGCCCACTGTGTGAGCAACGATGTTGACTGAGAAAGAGGCGCCTTCAGACACTAGCGGTAGTAGAAATTGCAACCTCCGTGGAGGGCAGTTTGGCAAATTACAAATGCTGCCTCTGCCCAGTGCCCCAGCATTTCCACTTCTGGGAATGTCCCTTATGGATATGAGTGAAATGACACAAACGTTTATGCAGCATTTTTATAACGGAAATAACTCAAATGCCTACCATTATGGATCTTTTAAAAACAAATGACAGCAAATACAATCAATGGAACACTATGCAGCTGTTAAAAAAATAGGGAAGCATTTTATAAACAGTTATAAAAACAACCTCAAAAATAAGTTCTTATGTCACAAAATATCAGGGTGTGATTATCTTTTTAGCACCCCCATATATCTGCTTCTGTATGCACTGACCATTCCGAAAAGGTAAGTAAGGAATGGGTGATGCATATCTCCTCTGGAGATGGCTGGGGGTCAGGGACAGGAGGGAAATTACACCTTCAGCACCTTTTTGTGCCTTTTGCATTTTGAATCATATATGTGAATCAACAACGGAAAAAAATTAAAACGCGATTATGGTGTTTCTCTGTTAAGCACATGCACATGTGTGTGCTCTCTCTCTCACACACACACACACACACACACACACACAAACACACACTTCTGTTAGATACCCCACAGCCTGCCAGATACATGACAAATTATTTAGAGTGCCTCACCAGGCCCTTCCCAGTACAACCCCAGCTGATCTCCCAGCCAATCTCAATTTCCCAACCTCTCTCCCTCCACCCTGAATTTCTCACCCTCTTTCCAACCCAGGCAGAGGGAGGGTGATGAGGTGTCATGAAAAAAATGAAGACATTGAATCAGAAAAACTTAGTTATTTCTTCATAACTGACAGGCTCTGTGACCGTAACCACTCTGAACTTCAGTTTCTTCATCTATCAAACGGGAAGAATGATGTCCACTTTCCTGAGGTTCTTGGAAACATGAAACGAGATAACGCTTGCAAAGCATTTGATACATACGGCGCATTCAACCAATGCTCCCTCCCTTCCACCTCCCTTTCCTATTTGTGCCTCTATCTTTGCTCAGTACTCTCCACCTGCCTGGAATCCCTTTCTCCTACTCCTCTTGGCAAACCCCACTCAGACTTTTTTTTTTTTTTTTGAGACGGAGTCTTGCTCTATTGCCCAGGCTGGAGTGCAGTGGCACTATCTCGGCTCACTGCAAGCTCTGCCTCCTGGGTTCACGTCATTCTCCTGCCTCAGCCTCCCGAGTAGCTGGGACTACAGGCGCCTGCCACCACGCCTGGCTAATTTTTTGTATTTTTAGTAGAGACAGGGTTTCACCGTGTTAGCCAGGATAGTCTCGATCTCCTGACCTCATGATCCTCCCGCCTCAGCCTCCCAAAGTGCTGGGATTACAGGCATGAGCCACCGTGCCCGGCCTCAGACTTTTAAGGTGAAATTCAATGTCATCACTGGTCCCTTGCTCTGCACTGTATCTCCTTTCTTATAGGATGTATCAAGCTAGATGTCATTTTCTGCTTCCATTTCTGTCTCTACTACCAGACTAGGAGCTCCACAAAAGCAAAAACTATTTTGCCTTTTTTTTTTTTTTTTTTTTTTTACCCCCAGAGCTTCGCAGAGCATCTAAGTTTAAAGAGCTGGTTCAAGTTCAGAAAACCACTAAAACAGAGAGTCCAGTTAGGGACTTCCTGCTTTCTTATCCATGCTCACCTGGCCCATTACTTTTGGCTGTTAACACTCTCATGGCATCTTGCTCCCTTGTATATTTTTCTACAAAAGGGAAATGGACTTTTAAACAGAAGGAAAGATTCATAAGATGAACACTTTCTTCATGACCATCCACCAGCTACCCATGCTGTGGAGAAAAGTTGCAGGTGGTAGAGTAATGGGAAGGTGAACATTTCTTTAGTGCATTTAACACCTGCTTGAAAAGCAAGAAGCCCTTGCCCAAGCTATTTCTTCATATCAAACCCTCATATAGCATGCTTGCATTTGTTAGCCATATAGCATTTTGTAATTTACTGTGGGGTTTAGCCTAAGCTTTTCTCAATTGATGAGAAAGCAAATGAAAGCAGAATTCTGAAGCCAAGAGGGGTCTAAAGTCAAGTCACCAGCATAGTGTTAAAGAATTCTTGGCCAAAGAGTGCAAGTGGTGTCAGAACATCTGACTCTGTCAAAATATGTGTCAAAATTCATGGCCCATTGCATCCCAAGGCAATCTGCACAGATGAGTTCCTGCTTTCCTTGATCTGAAATTCTTGTAGGAAGCTAACATATCATCCTGTAATAAATGCAATGAGAGGAGTGCTTATGGGAGCCTGACTCAGACTTGAGGGATCAAAGAGACTATGGCAGCTGTGATCTGAGGGTCTAGCAGGGTTGACCTAGGAGTGTGGACAGATGTGTGTGTGTGTGTGTTAGTGTTGGCAGGAGATAAGAATGGGCCTCACCATAAAGGGCCTTGGGAACCATGTCAGTTTATCCATTCAACAAATATTTATTGTGCTTTCATAATGCACTGTGATTGAAATATAACATAGGCTGGGTGCAGGCACCTTGGATGGGCCTGACTTAATCACATGAGCCCTTTAATTCTGGATAGAGAAGCCAGAGACAAAAGTTACCCGTGAAAGGGATTTGATGCAAGGGAGAGTCTGCATGGCTGGTTTTGAAGATGAATGATCTAGAAACAGCATGTAGGAGTTGAGAACGGTCCCCTAGTGGCAGCCAACAAGGAAACAAGCACCTCCGTCCTATACCCGCAAGGAATTCAACTCTGTCAACAACTTCCTTGAGCTTGGAATAGAACTCCAAGCTTCAGATAAGAACACAGTCTGGGCTACATGCTGATTTTTTCTTGTGATATCCTGAGCAGAGAATCCAGGCACACCATGTCCATATTTCTCACCTATAGAACTATGAGCTAATAAATGGGTTTTGTGGGAAGCTGCTAGGTTTGTGATAAATTGTTATACAGCAATCAAAAGCCTATATATGATATTTCACCACAAATTCAGATTTGACCAATATTTGGACATGTCCTCATAGGTTAGGGATGTTCATATGTGCCATATTTTTAAATGTTCCCTTTAATCCTTCATGAACAATGGTACTCTTAGTTGACATCGCCAACATACCCCTTCTCCACCATGAAGCAGTTGTGCTCTTTAGATGGTATGCTCAAAATCCCCAGCTGAAATCCATTAGCAATTCCATCCCACCTGCTATGGTGGTTGGTATAGAGAATGTGTGACTGAGGCCTAAGATGAACAGTGCCTGGTATCCGGGCCAAGCCAAAAAATTGGTTTAGGCGTGAGTACATGATGTAAGTCAGTCCAGTCAGGATGATGTACAATAATTTTGGCCAGTGATTGGAGAAGAGAAGTTCTCTATGCGATATGCCTCTGGGAGGCCTGGAACAGCTGCCACCATCTTTCTTCCAGGAGAAAAGCAAAAGAAGAAGGGCAGAAACCAGAGACTCAGAGAGAAATGCATCTGGAACCCTGATCAAACCATGCCTGAAGCTTATGCCACTTACAAAGTTTTTAGTAGCCACGAGCTAATCATTTCCTTCAGTATTTAAACCATTTTGAATTGGGTTTTCAGTTATTTGCAAATAAAGCCATCCTAACTGATACATTATTATTTTTATTAGGCAGATGAGAAACTGAAACTTAGGAATTATTTGCTAGAAGTTACAAAGCTAGTAAGTGGCAGAGTTGAGATCTAAAATCTAATCCTTTAGCCACAAGTTTATTGCTTGTTCTATTACACAAGTTGCTGCACCTAATTTACCTTTGTCCCTTCCTACTAGTAGATATGCTTTGCTCCCCCAGGAAAAGAAAATCACTCTAGCCTTAGGGATCCCCCCTTCTAGTCACTGCTAGAAAGGGACTCCCAGCTTTACAATCTACATGTTTTCACACCTCAACTTCTGGCACCATGCTATTTTCCCGACCACAATAATTTTACCAGAAAGGGGCCCCAATCCAGACCCCAAGTGATGTTCCTTGGATCTTGCACAAGAAAGAATTTGGGGCTAGTCCATAAGATGAAAGCAAGTTTATTAGGAAACTAAGGGAGTAAAGAATGAGTAGTCCATAGGCAGAGCAGCCCCAAGGGCTGCTAACTGGCTGTTTTTATGGGTATTTCTTGATCACATGCAAAACAAGGGGTGGATTATTCACGAGTTTTCTGGGAAAGGGGCGGGCAATTACCGGAACTGAGGGTTCCTCCCCTTTTGGACCATATAGGGTAACTTCCGGATGTTTCCATGGCATTTTTAAAGTGTCATGGCACTGGTGAAATTGTCTTGTAACCTGCTAATGCATTATAGTTAGTGTATAATGAGCAGCGAGGATGACCAGAGATAACTTTTCATTGCTATCTTTGTTTTGGCCGGCTTCTTTACCTCATCCTGTTTTATCAGCAGGGTCTTTATGACCTGTATCTTGTGATCTCCTATCTCATCCTGTGACTAAGAATATCTGATTTCCTGAGAATGCAGCCTAGTAGGCCTTCGCCTTATTTTACCCAGTCCCTATTCAAGATGGAGTTGCTCTGGTTCGAACATCTCTGACAATGTCAGCATATCTCTAAAGAGAAATTTCTGTTTTTACTCACTGCTTTTTCTCCAAAGGGTCATAACACGAAGTCCTGTGGGAATAGCACAGATCTTTCCAGTTAGGGGGAGAATGGGGGCTCAGGCCAGCACAGCCAGTGAGGAAGAGCTCCCCAAACACCCCGGGAGCCAGTCTCCGGAGAAAGCTTCAGGAGGTGGGCAGTGGGTAAACAAAAGAGAAAACTCAGAGATAAATGAGAAGGTGCCCCCGTCTTTAGCAAGAAAATATCCAATTCATCAATGTCCAGACACCCCCACCTCCTACAGGGCTGACATCTGAAACAAAATTAAGTAACCAAATACAAGTTCCTTCCTGTCAGTAGAAGGCAATATTATTAGCAAATTAGCAAACACATCCATCAGTGGTAAAAGAAAATCAATGGGTTTTGGAGTTTTAAAAAAACAGGAAAAAGGCTAGAACTAACAGCAGAAAGGTAATACACCCCTTAGAGAGCTTGACGTTTCTTCCATGGAGATTATGGTCCCAGCCAGCTTCACACCCCCACTCCCACTTCCTTACCCAGAAAAGAGGGGACCTCGCCCTCTTTCCAGACACTGCAATGGCTTCCCTCTGCTCCCTGCTTTCAGGAGCTAAGCTTTGGAGTTATTTCTTTGCTTGCACAATGGCTGGCCAAAGCCACAAGCCCCCCGGCCCTAAAGGAAGTCTGTTGGAGACATCTCCTTTGAAGACAGGGAGCAAGGGTCGACCTGGTGATTTTTTCTTCTGGTATTCCCCCTCCATGGCAATGAATGGATATGCAGTCAAGAAAGAGCCTTCAGATGGCTAAGCCGGCAGGAGGGATTGTACAGTTCCCTGCTTTTAGAAAAGTATGTAGGATAAGAAAAGTGACAGCAGAGACCTAACAAGGAATGGCTCCACCCTGCCCCTGAGCTGTGAAGCAGCTGGTGGACCTGGGAAAGCGGCTTGATCTCCCCTCCCCTCTTCTCCTCTCCTCTCTCCTCCCCTCCCATGTCTTTTTCTTTCTTCTTCCCTTCCCTTGCCTTTCCCTCCCTTCCCTTCCCCTTTCCCTTCCCCTTCCCTCCTTCCCTCCTTCCCTCTCCTTCCTTTCTTTCTTTCTTTTTCTTTCTCTCTCCTTCCTTCCTTTCTTCCTTCTCCTTTTCTTTTTTACTTTCTCTTTCTTTCTTTCTTTCTCTTTCTTTCTTTCTGTCTTTCTTTCTTTCTTTCTTTTCCTTCCTTCCTTCCTTTTCTTCTTTCTTTCTTTCTTTAAATCTGGTAAAAGCTACAAACACTATCCTCAAAAAAAAAAAAACACACACACACATTTTCTGAGGATTCACACACACAATGGGGGCTCAAGTACCCTTTGCTTTAAGAAAATTCACCATGCCCTGGAGTCAGACCCACCTGGCACCCTTCTGCACTGAAGTGCAGCTGAGGGCATGAACCTGGCACTTTCCATGAGGGCAGCAGAGGTTGCTTTGAACTAACCAAGGGGGGCTTAAGTCATGGGATGGAGCACAGCCTCCTTCCGACATCTGGAATTTTAATGAGCTTGGATCAGGCCGGCAGACCCAGAGAGCATGCTTTAGGGCCCACAGAAAAGTTTTTTTATAAGCATCTTTGTCCATTGTCCAAGCATTCAGTAGGCACTCAATAAAGATGTTTAAGAATGACCTTATTTTGTTGAAGAGCAGATTCCTTTAGCAATGGACATTGCTAAATGCCTTCGCCTCTAGGGATTTGGGCAATGTACTAAAACCCCCTCCCTCGTTCTACTCAATCATCTTATTTTTGCCTCATGTAAAGCCCAGCTTAACTTTCAGAGGAGCACATGACTATCAGAGGCTGAATGGCCCCCTCCACTTCCGGGGGTGCTGGCATAGGTAGAGTACAGCCAGGCACGCACACATCTCCAGCTGGGTTCACTTGTCTTTCTGGAATCCCATTAGGTCCCAGGGGACAAGTAGAGCGCCTGATACCACTTGCCCTAATCCAACCCTGATCCACCATGTGAGGAGAGAAGAAGGCAAAGACTCACAAGACCCCATCTTCCCCCACCTTCAATACAAGCATTCCCGAGTAATACCCATTTCCAAAGTCAGCCCTCCTTTCCACTTCTCTGCTGTGTTCCAGACACTGACTGCCCCTTTTCTTGGAGCCATGAACAGCACCCAGAAGGAGGCTATTTTTGGTTCCCCTTTAATTAACCTCCTCTCTGCTCAGAACAGGCTTCTCCCTCCCCTGTTACCCAACTCAATCCCCCCTCCAGGAGTTTCTCTTCCTTACAGGGATTAGGAGAGTGTGTGGGGAGCCCATTTTCTAATGGTGTCCTTGGGCATCCAGGAGTAGGGAGAACGTCTAAGGGACAGGTGCAGAAAAAGCTCAAGCACCTTCCCCACTTCTGTCCCCTGTACAGGATGGGCCCCTCATCCCTGGTTCAAGATGTGTCCTCCAGGGTGCAGTGTGCATGACTCATTTCCGGAGTCTCAGTCAAGAGAGCTCTTTTCCCTGCCTCCTTGACAAGCTGGGGACTCTGGGGGATTTTCAGTTTCTTCCCTGGTATAGGTATTGCCACAGCAAGAATTGCACCTGTTCCAACAGGAAGTACTGTTTATGATGATACAAAGCTTAGAGAGATTCGAGAACATCAGAATCTGAAAATAACTCTAGAAGATTCCTCCCTCAATATCTGCATTTGACACATAAGAACACTGAGGTCCAAGGGAGTGAGGAAGGAAAATGCATTTTCTCCATTTGACATCACCATCTACCTGACATTCAAGTGCTTTTCAACTCTAGGCCAAGTCGCTGCACCTAGGTCTTTCCATTTTAAAATATTATATTTTTTATTTTTTGTAGAGACAGGGTCTCACTACATTGCCCACGCTGGGCTCAAGCGATACACCTGCCTTGGCCTCCCAAAGTGCTGGGATTAACAGGTTTGAGCCACCACGCCCAGCCAGTAGCTATTTCCATTTAAGAAATGTCCATACCGAACAAGTTTGCTGGAATGACTGAGGGCATAGATATTGTGTCCAGAGTTGTTTCCTTCCAGTGGGTTCGCGGTCTCGCTGACTTCAGGAATGGAGCCACAGACCTTCAGGGTGAGTGTTACAGCTCTTAAAGGTGGTACGGGCCCAAAAAGTGAGCAGCAGCAAGATTTATTGTGAAGAGCAAAAGAACAAAGCTTCCACACAGTGGAAGGGGACCCAAGCGGGTAGCCGCTGCTGGCTGGGTGTGGCCAGCTTTTATTCCGTTATTTGTCTCCGCCCATGTCCTGCTGATTAGTACATTTTACAGAGTGCTGATTGGTCCATTTTACAAACCTCTAGCTAGACACAGAGCGCTGATTGGTGCATTTTTACAGAGCACTGATTGGCGCATTTTACAAACCTCTAGCTAGCCACAAAGTGCTGATTGGTGCGTTTTACAATCCTAACTACAGAGTGCTGATTGGTGCATTTTATAATCCTCTTGTAAGACAGAAAAGTTCTCCAAGTCCCCACTGGACCCTGGAAGTCCAACTGGCTTCACTTCTCAATAGAATAGTGCAAAAAGTTACCTAGCACAGACAGAAGCCAGGCTCAGAAAGAAGTGAGACTTCTGTCTCCATATCACAGATAATATGTGGTAGACAAAAGCTTATGACAACTGGGGCAATGTTAACAAGGACAGCCAGTTAAGCTAATTCCTCTTCCACATGCTGCGTCTCCAGTGGAGTTTGCCAATCCTGGGCAGTTACTGTGGACGTAGATACTTTTCAAATGGAAAGGACAACTCTTAACATGTGAGTAGGAAATGAATAAACAGGGAAACTAATCCATTCCAACAAGGACGATGCAGCTGGCTGTGGCCTTTGGGCCTTTTAAAATCTCTAGATAAATAAAACTAGTTCTAATGTACCAGTTAAGTATTAAAAACAAGCTTTAAAAAAATTCTTATGATTTAGCTAATAGAACAGTGCAATCAAGAACACAGAAGGCTCTGAGCAGCAGTCTCTTCTTTCAAAGATGGCCCCACCATCACCACGACCACCCAATCAGGAAGCAGGGCACATTTCTCTTTGCTCCGCACAGACAGTTCATCTTTTTCTTCTCACGCTACCCACAAATGTTTGCCTGGCTTCAGAATTTTCAAATAATTTTTGATTTTGGTCCACAGGTTCCCTGGTGAAGACTCTAGTCCAATATAAATCACCAGAAGTGCAAGGGAAGTTGGATCTCACTCGTCTGTCCCGTCAGGACTCAGCTTGGGGGTAGTCAAGGCTTCTCCACAGGATGATGTGGGCACTGGGATTCGCTGGGGGCAGTCCGCAGCCTCCGTTCTTCTCTAGCTTGGGAGAGAAGAAAGGCACAGCCATGGCCCTGGCCCTGGCCCTGCATGAGGCAGCCACATGCCTACCCTGGTGGTGACTGTCTACTCTTCTGACAGATTTTCTTTCTCATTCTCTTGATGAGGCAACCCTAAGGTTTTTACTAATAGTGACTCTTACAAATGAGGGGCTTCAAATGTAATCCGGAGGAGAAAAGGTGGTTTAGAGACAGCGTGAGGAGAGCTGTAGGGTACCCCAATGCCAGTCACTGCATTCAGCAAATATCAACATTGATTTAATGCCTGCCCTGTACCTGGTACTATGTCCACAAGTACATGAGTAGGACAAAGTCCCTGTTTTCTAAGAGCTTGAAAGCTACTGGAGAAGACAGGGAGGCAAGCATGTATTTTTAGCATATGATAATGGTTATAATAAAGGATGAACAAAACTTGATAGGGACCCAGAGTAAAGACCTCTTGTCTGTTCTGGATGAAAGGGAGTTTCTGAAGGGGTGACACTTGCCCCCAGAAGGAAAAGATGACCAAGAGATCAACGGGGAGAGGAGATGAGAATGTGGATACAGCAAGGTGTTGGGGGCTTTCCGAGCCCAGGAAACAGCACACAGAAACCAACAGGAAATCAACCTGGCATGCCAACAAGTGTGATCCCTAAATCCTCTCACCTTCAGGTTTTCCTCTAGACAACAGTTCTTCCTCCAAGCTGCCCTCTATGATTATCCCCACCCAACCTCTCAGGGATCCCTTCCTAATCACAGTCCCCCTTTCCTGCCTTTTTGCTGATCTGCATTTTCCACTTAGTGTGAGCTCCATGAAGCGAAATCAATGTTGGTTTTGTTCACAGTTTTAGCTCAAGGCACATTGGATGTAGGAAGTGGTATGTAATAATCTCTCAAGAAATAGTTTCTGTAGGATTAAGTCAAAATTTCTACCAAAATTATATTGCATACATTTTCTGTATATTGCATATTGCGGTGTTTTCTTGTGTACATATGTATATAAGCAGGAAAAAAATCTACAATGTGCTCAAGGAGTTAGTTAATTTTAACTAACATTGTTAGGAGTTAGTAATTGCAAATGAAATTATCCAGCATTTGCAATTCCCGTTATGTGAGATCTAGTTGGAAAAACAGGAGGCCTCGAGACTCAAGGTCTATCTCCGTCACTAAGAAGTTCTGTGACCTCGGATAAGGTACCTCACTTCTCTGGGACTAATTTTCCTTCTCTGCAAAATAAGGGGATTTCAGAATTGTGTTTAACACTTATTCTCATCCTTATCTATGACTCTTATTTCCAGAAGCCTAAAGCAAAACCTGCCTCCAGAATTTAATGCAGCTGAAATTACGTTCAACCACTAACACTCTTGAAATCTTCTCATTGAAACACCTCCTGAAACATAAGCTTTCTTTTTGCCTTTCAAATAAAAGCTTCCTATTGAGCCCGATTCTCTATGAGAACATAGGACTCTGGCTCAAGGAATGACAATGACGTGGCGTGGGTGAGGATGTGGAGAGAACAGAGCTGGTAGAGCTTACTTACTTAATTAGCTGAGAACAGAGGGACGTCTGTGACTGTGTCCTTCTGTTCCCGGGACCTTTAGGAACCACAAAAGTGTGGCACATGCTGAGTTGGAGGATGTAACCTACCAGCAAGCTCTGGACTGAAAGCACATTCTCTTAATTTCACTGTTGTTCAAGGAGTTCAGGTATATTTAAAATAAAACAAACAAAAACAAAACACTTTTATGTAACCACACAGTATCTCCTCCAACTTACTGGGGAAATTGCAGTTGTGTGTTCTAAAACTATAGAAATGACTTCTTTAGCTATAGAGCCTACTGATATTTTAAATTAGAACCAGATTCAACAGATGAAAATTACTAGCTGAATAGAAGGCATTGGCCTTCCAGTGAAACTAAGGTGCCAGCTATATTCACGGTTTTTGAAACTGTGAGATTCAAATGGGTAGTCTCTTGAGTATGGGGATGAAGGTTAGAATCTGTCACCATCACAACTTGAAACTAACAGGCATCCAGGAAAAACTGGGTATTTCCTATCTTCCACTCCCTAAAAAATTACACACCAAAGACAGATGTAAATGTGTTGCTAACGAGGCTAGAGCCTTTTCTAAACATTAGTCAAAGATTTAGAATACCTCTCCAAAAGGAAGACCTTCGTTTAGACAGCAAAATGAAAGATGTTATAATCTTGGAAACTGAAGCATATCTGTTTTGACAAGTAGTATCATTATAGAAGTTTTAATAACTTGGCAGGGTGCAGTGGCTCACGCCTGTAATCCCAGCACTTTGGGAGGCCGAAGCGGGCAGATCACGAGGTCAGGAGATCGAGACCATCCTGGCTAACACGGTGAAACCCCGTCTCTACTAAAAATACAAAAAAAAATCGGGCATGGTGGGGGGCGCCTGCAGTCCCAGCTACTTGGGAGGCTGAGGCAGAATGGCGTGAACCCGGGAGGCGGAGCTTGCAGTGAGCCAAGATTGCGCCACTGCACTCCAGCCTGGGCAACAGAGAGAGATTCTGTCTCAAAACAACAAAAACAAAAACAAAAAACAAAACAACAACAATAACAACAAAAACTGGCCAGGAATACTGGAAATGGAGAGAGAAATTATCAGAATGTGTTGGTGTCTCCAGTGCTGATGAGAGCAGAGCATCTGCCCCTTCTGGACTGCATTCCCTCTAGGGAGAATGGATATATCAAGCAATGATAGCTTGAAGGCCTAATTTCTTTATTAAACTCTATACCCACTAGGCAGCTTTCTCACATTGATTTGGCTTCTTAAGTACATTTCCATATGGAAAGAGAATGTGCAAACCTGCCAACAAGAGCCTTTCAGGACCTCCTTTGGAAATCTAGTTTTCACTAAAAATTGATGATTTGCTATTTTTGTTTCTGTAACTGGTTATAGGGAGAAGGCCTGGAAATTATCGCCAGGCCAATGCAAAATTACAATGGTTATCTGGAATGGTATATTTCCAGAGGTTATATATCTTCTAAGCTATATGTCTATGTGTAAATGTGCATTCTTCTAAAACCATAAGCGATTAACTTCTTTTAATCTATAACTAAGGTCTGAGTCCTGAAGACCTTCCTCTGGAGCCTCAGTAAATTTACTTAATCTAAATGGGTCCAGGCGCTGGGGTGATTACCCTTATCTTGTCTCCTGCTAAACCACGGACCTTTGAGGAGTTTCTTGTTTGTGGAGGCCTGGGGAGTTTCTTCGGACCCCCCATAAAACTTGTTTAATCCTAAATGGATCCTGTTAAGAGTTCCTCCATTATTTTGTCATGCTTTAAGGCACAGGAAAGGCCTAGGCAAAACTCTTGATGGGCTTTTGTTATATCCCAGCCTTTGCATGAGGGCACTGGCTTTCAATATTTAACATAACCACACAGTACTGAAACCGTTGTTAGTGAGACCTGGCCTGCCACACCTGAAGAAACTGACAATAGTTTCTGAACCTTGCAGCAATGCCACTAGGAAGCAGGCATCCTGGGAAGCTGACATTGAAGCTGACATTGACATATTTCCTTACTTCAATTTCGAGCTTTCTGTGCCCATGATATGAACTAGTTTTGGCAGGATGCACATCCCAATGTGTTTCCTCTGAAAGATTTTCTAGAACATTATCCAAAGGAATGATTGGAAATAAACAAATATTTATGGATAGGGAAGACAATACACATGATGCCCTTTTGAGTTATAGATTTGGTAACTTGCAATGAGAGGATCAAGCCAAAACAATTACCATGGAAAGCACTCAGTGGATATTTATTGCTCACGCCTGTAATCCCAGCACTTTGGGAGGCCAAGGCGGGCAGGTCACAAGGTCAGGAGATTGAGACCATCCTGGCTAATATGGTGAAACCCCATCTCTACTAAAAATACAAAAAATTGGCCAGGCCTGGTGGCATGCGCCTGCAGTCCCAGCCACTCCAGAGGCTGAGGAGGAAAATCTCTTGAACCCAGGAGGCTGAGGTTGCAGTGAGCCAAGATCGCGCCACTGCACTCCAGCCTGGGTGACAGAGTGAGACTCCATCTCAAAAAAAAAAAAAAAAAAAGAGATATTTATCTATGCAGTGTCTACCATGTGCGAGGTACTGTGAGGGATGTGAAAGGAAAATAAATCTTGAGGCCCCCAAATCACTAAGCTAAAGGGAAAAGCCAAGCTGGGAACTGCTTAGGGCAAACCTACCTCCGGTTTTATTCAAAGCCACCCCTCTGCTCACTGAGATAGAGGCATATCTGATTGCCTTTCTTGGAAAGGCTAATCAGAAACTCAGAAGAATGCAACTGTTTGCATCTCACCTGTGACCTGGAAGCTCACTCTGGCTTTGAGTCTTCCTGCCTTTGCTTCAAGTTGTCCCGTCTTTCCAGACCAAACTCGTGTACTTCTTACATATATTGATTGATGTCTCATGTCTCCCTAAAATGTGTAAAACTAAGCTCTGCCCTGATCTCCTTGGGCACATGTCCTCAGGACTTCCTGTGACTGTGTCACGGGCACATCCTCAACCTTGGCAAAATAAACTCTCTAAATTAACTGAGACCTTTCTCAAATTTTGAGGATTCACAAGGATATGGAGCTGAAACAAACACAGGTTTCCTTCCAGGAACTTTCAGGCTAGAAAAGGAGAGAAGATAATTTGTGTAATAGAAAGCAGACATTGATAAGCACTATAAAAGATAGGATTGAGACCGAGTGTGGTGGCTCATGCCTATAATCCCAGCACTTTGGGAGGCCAAGGCCAGTGGATCATGAGGTCAGGAGTTTGAGACCAGCCTGGCCAACATGGTGAAACCCCATCTCTACTTAAAATACAAAAATTAGCTAGGCATGGTGGTGGGCACCTGTAAACCCAGCTACTTGGGAGGCTCAGGCAGGAGAATCACCTGAACCCGGGAGGCGGAGTTTGCAGTGAGCAGAGATCACACCACTGCCCTCTAGCCTGGGCAACCAAGCAAGACTCTATCTCAAAAAAAAAAAAAAAAAAAGATATAATTGAAATGCTAACAGTTCAGAAAAGAAAATATGATTTATTTTAACAAACATTATGTATCCAGTATGGTTCTAAGCACTTACTATATATTAGCTCACTTAATCCTCCTAACAACCTATGAGATAAGTACTATTATTGTCCTCTTTTTACAGATGGGGAAACTATGGCACAGATACAGTAAGAAACATAGCCAAAGTCCCATGGCTAGGAGGTGGCAGAGCTGGGATGTGAATCGCATTGGTCTGGTTTCAGAATCCTTGCTCTCTGCTACTACCCACTGTCTTGCAACTGGCAGCTGGAGGGACCCAGGGAAGCTTTCAGGAAGGTAGGAATATTTACACAGAACCTCGAAGAGGGTGGGTGGCATTTGGATATGCAGACATGGAAGGAAGTACATTCCGGGCAAAGTAAACAGTGTGAAGGAAGGCAGGGAGTCTAGCATGCTTGGAATTATTGTTTCCTAGTAAGCCAACAATAGTCCTAAAGCCTTAGCACAAGTTCAAGTTCAGAAAGAATAACTTGTCAAAATAAAGAATCTGAATAAAAGGTCAAGCATGAGGGCCAAACAATGGATGAGAATCTAGCCTTTTGAACTTCAATTTCCACAATTTCCATTAATTCTCTCTATCCCAATCTTTAGCTGAGTAATTGACTCAAAAAGAAGGCATGACTTTGATAGGAGCAAACTATATTAGAGCCATTCAAATCATATCCTGACATGGCATGGAGCCAAAGGCAGGGCTAACCATTGCCCCAGAACCTTAGAGTTTGGTATTTCCTGATCTATGGGGAGGGGTAAACAGACCACATTTATTTTTATATATCCTACAGCAGAGGAGAAGGCAATACTAGGCAACCAGGGGTCGTGTTCTCTTTCTTAAGAAAAAGTCAACCCTATTTCAAAAGTAAGGTCTCTTCCAGTGTTACAAGGTCATCTCATGAGGCTTTAAAATCAACTGAATCACAATGGTTGCACTCTTCGTGAGCAACGAGATTACTTACTGAGTATTAGCATTGAGTACTGAGATTGAAGAAACAGTTAAAGGAAAATGCATATTATTACCTTTAACTGAATGCTGGGTTGCTTCATTTCTATCTCCTGAATTGGGATCACAATTAAAAACCAGGAAGACTGAATAACAGGTACGTGATCCCTCAAAAGTGGACTCGGGACAAATGAGTAAGAATGCTAAGCCTCTGGACCCAGACTGTTCCCTTCCAGGGCAATGTGTGTATGGTTTTAGCTGCTTCTTCTTTCTTTTTTTATTTTTTATTTTTCTTGAGATGGAGTCTCTCTCTGTCACCCAGACTGGAGTGCAGTGGCACGATCTCGGCTCACCACAACCTCCGCCTCCCGGGTTCCAGCAATCCTTCTGCCAGAGCCTCCCAAGTAGCTGGAACTATAGGTGCATACGACCACGCCCGGCTAATTTTTGTATTTTTAATACAGACGTGGTTTTGCCATGTTGGCCAGGCTGGTCTCGAACTTCTGACCTCAAGTGATCCACCCTCCTCCGCCTCCCAAAGTGCTGGGATTACAGGTGTGAGCCACTGCGCCCTGCCTGCTGTAGCTTCCTTTGACGCATGCACCAGCCTCTGGCTCATGGCTTCAGATTCTTGCAGAAGACACGGAAGGTGCATGAGGATGATGCCAGTAGATCACATTTGACTGAATGTGGTCCAGATGTCAGGCCCTCAGGTTTGCCATCCACGTCCCTAGAGCCTGCCTGATGTGAGGAGAAGCCTGTGAGCTTTGGCTCCAAATTGACCTTGGTGCAAATCCCAGCTCTGCCACATACTTGCTGTGCAGCCTACAGGAGGTGACTGATTGACTTCGCTTGGGTGAATCTCAATTTGCTCACATGGAAAGTGGGGATTAGAACATTTTATTTAAGAGGTGATTTGAAAAAATCAAATGAGGCAATCTGATACGTAACAGATGTTCAAACTCTTCACTCCCTTGCCTTTCTTCTCTGACTCGATAAAGTCACCACATCCTCACAGCACCATGCATTCAGGGCATACAACATTATAATCACTTCTCGTGTCATTCAACAAGAGCCAAAACCTTGAAAATCAGAGACTCAACCCTTGCAAAGTAGAAAAGAAGCAGAGCTAAGCCCTAAAAGTAGAAGTGAAATTGGAGAGTGCATGGGAAATACCAGTAAGAGAAAGCCACCAAGATGTAGTTGTTAGCATCTTACTCATTATTTTCTGCATCTATTCACATAGATGTATTTACATAATTTAGATTAAATTATGCATAAAATATTATCACTTGAAATTTTCAGTTAATTTATCATTAATTTTTCATGATGTTGATTATTATAATATGTATTCAAATGGAAAATAACTGCTTTTCCTCCCAAAGTGCTGGGATTACAGGCATGAGCCACTGCGTCCAGCCTGCTGTAGCTTATAACAGTGCATTCAAAAATAAAAACATGTATAATAAATTCAAGTAAAAATCATGCCATCAATTCATACTTGACAAAGGTGATAGTCCAAATGAGAAAATAGAAAATATTTTCACTTAATGGTGTTAGAGCAATTGGTTATTGACTTGGGAATGTTTTTCAGTTAAATTTTTATTTCACAACATAAACACAAAGAAATAATAGATGTATTATAGTGCTAAATATGAAAAGCAAAACTAACAACCATTAGAAGAACACATAGATACATATTTTCCGGATCTTGAGAAAGAGGAGGTTTTAAATATGTAAGATAATATCAATAATCGAAGTATTTGTTGTTAAAAATCTTGTAAACCATTAATCAAAAGATAAACAACCAAAGAAGAAAATGGACGAAGCTTATGAACATGAATTTTCCAGAAGAAATGTCTTAAAAGCGTAGGTAAAAGTGATCAACTTTGTTAGTGATCGGAGAAATGCAGACTAAAACAACATAAAGAGAAACTCCTTGAGCTCAGGAGTTTGAGACCAGCCTCGTTGGTATAAAAATTTTTTTTAATTTAAAAAAATTATAACAAAAAACATAAAGATATAGTCCTTCCCTGTCAAACCAGCAAAACATTAGAAGATTTGTGATATGATTCTATGTTGACAAGAGGGTAGAGAAATGGCTTTCTCACCTAAGATGAGGGGAGAGGTAAGTTAGTGTCACGTTTGTGAAAGACAGTTCGGCAGAAACTATCAATACTTAAAATGAATGCATTATTTTACCTGGCGATTCCACTTCAAAACATGTATTCAGAGAATACACACAACGTTTACAAAGGGAACCAAACAAGGTGTTCACTGGTGCACCATGGCTTGCGATTGCAAAAGACTGGATGCTGACTAAATGCACATAAAACAAACCAGAATGCATCTATATTTGGTAATACATGCATATTAATGGTGACCATGCAGCAGCTAAAAAGGACAGGAGGCCAGGCGCGGTGGCTCACGCCTGTAATCCCAGCAGTTTGGGAGACCAAGATGGGTGGATCACAAGGTCAGGAGGTCGAGACCAGCCTGGCCAACATGGGAAACCCCATCTCTACTAAAAATACAAAAATTAGCTGGGCATGGTGGCAGGCGCCTGTAAATCCCAGCTACTTGGGAGGCTGAGGCAGTGGAATCGTTTGAACCAGGGAAGCGGAGGTTGCTGTGAGCTGAGATCGTGCCATTGCATTCCAGCCTGGGTGACAGGGCGAGACTCTGTCTCAAACAAACAAAAAAAAAAAGGACAGGAAAGTTATATGTACTGGCACAGAAAGAATTTCAATATTGCCAAATGAAAAAAGCAAATTGCAGAATAATATACATGGACTAGTCTCACTTAATTTAAAGAATACATACAACTAAAACTGTCAGTCTAGATGTGTCTTTAAAGTCTGGAAGGACACAAACAAAACTGAAAATGATAGTTATCTCTGGGGAGGAAGATAGGATTTGGTGGGGTGGGCAGAAGAGAGAAATAAAAAGAACTTCTGTGTTTTCATCTATGCAGTTTATTCCATATTGCTGGGAGTTAAAAGATTGAGAATCTATTCAGGCTGAGTGAGGTGGCTCACACCTGTAACCTCAGATCTTTGGGAGGCCAAGGCAGATGAATCACTTGAGGCCAGGAGTTCGAGATCAGCCCGGCCAACATGGCGAAACCCCATTTATACCAAAAAGTACAAAAATTAGCCAAGTGCGGTGGCTCACACCTGTAGTTCCAGCTATTCAGGAGGCTGAGGCACCAGAATTGCTTGAACCCAGGAGGTAGAGTGCCAAGATTGTGCCACTGTACTCCAGCTTAGGCAAGAGAGCGAGGTCATCTCAAAAAAAAAAAAAAAAGAATGAGGAGAATACATTCCTGTATTATTTTTGTATTTATGGGTATGTAGACAGAGCCAGGATTGAGGGGTGAGGGAGACAGAGAATTCCAACACATAGAGCCAACCAATGCCAGCCTTTGGGTGAATTATCTTTTCAGACATCCCTCTATATCATGTATATATAGAGAAATTGAGATACATAATGTGCAGAAGTGGAATTTATTCATAATTTATGCAACAAATACTCATGATGTTCAAGGTTCTGGTGTGCAACAGTAAACTTACATTCCCTCACTTTAGGTTAGTGAGAATGAAAGATAATAAAAAACAAAAAATATATATAATTCAAGTGGATGTAAGTGTTGTGAAGAAAATACACCAGTGATCATAATAGAAATGCAATCTATTCTCGGCTTGTCATTATATTTTAATCTTTTTATGGCCTTTTGTTCTGATATTGGTACATAAAAGTTTAAATCCTAATGTATTAAAAAAGTTTAATATCACTATAATTTCAGAACTTTATATCATGCTTATCATACCATCCCATAGTATGGGAATCTTTCCATTTCAGTAAATGTAGATCCACAGTAATATTTTTAAGGGCTATGCATTCCATTGTCTAGATGAACCACAGTTCATTGAAACAACTGTCCGATGATGAACGCTGAAGTTGATTTTACGACTGTATCTTTGTGCACTTATTATTTTCTCAGATGATTTCTAAAAGTGGAATTTCTGGATGTTTCAGTGGTGATCATTTGTGTCTAAAGACATTAATTTTGCATTTAAAAAAATCTGTCAACCTTACGGAATTCAGTATTTCCAATAATTTTATTTTCTTGCACATTTCAATGATGTGATCAGATCCCTTACAAACAATGAGTTTCCTTCCTTTTTAAAATGTTGAAATTATATTTCTTCACTCTTTTGTCTAATATATATATTAGACAAAATATATTTGTATTTCTATTAGACAAAAATATATATATTTATATTAGACAAAATATATATATTTACATTAGACAAAATGTATATAATATATACTTATATTAGACAAAATATATATTTATATTAGACTATATATATATACATATTTTTATATTAGACAAACTGGAGTCTCACTCGGTCACCGAGGCTGGAGTGCAGTGGCGTGATCTTGGCTCACTGCAACCTCCGCCTCCCAGGTTCAAGCGATTCTCCTGCCTCAGCCTCCCGAGTAGCTGAGATTACAGGTTTCTGCCACCATGCCCAGCTAATTGTTGTATTTTTAGTAGAGACAGGGTTTCACCATGTTGCCCAGGCTGGTCTTGAACTGCTGACCTCAGGAGATCTGCCTGTCTCAGCCTCCCAAAGTGCTGGGATTACAGGCATGAGCCACTGCACCTGGCCTTGTGTAAATATATTGACTAGCACTTTCAGAGCAATGTTTAAGAAAGTAGTGGTGCCTGGGACATTGTTTTACTCCCAATTTGGGAGGGCATGTGCCTCATGCTTCACCAGTCCTATGCCTTGATTTCTCATGGCCGCACTGAACATACGGGGTGTGACGGCAGATACAATGCTGTGGCACTGTGCACATGATACTGAAGAGCCTCCTTCCATGCAGTAAATCATCCTTTGGGTCGGGAGGGGAGCTGTTCTAAATGCCTCAAACTTCAGCAGAGAACTGGGATTTTTCAGTCTCAGAACTAGAGCCCCATATCCAACGTGCTCCAGGTAGTTTCTTTTTGCCTTCTGGGGAAGTGCTGGGAACGCAACTTAAGGTGTTTGTAGACACTGCCCCTCTTAGAGCCTGAAATGCCACAATTTAAGCTCTAAGCCTTTTTGTTCTCTGAGTGTCCTCTAGAAAAGATAACATCTTCAACCCTTTTGGTTTTCAGGGATTCTCTGCCAGTAGCCCTGGGGGTGAAAGGAGGTCAGCAAAGGGACTTGCCGGATGTCCGAGTAGGAAGAAGATTGCTATAAGGAGTCCAATCCAAACCTCACTCATTTCACAATTTTACCGGAGGCTCCTCTTGCTCTCCCCAGGGCCCTAGAACATTATCAAACCTTGGTGAAGAAAGCTGACACCTTTGATTGTCTGCTGGGTAACTTGATGAAAGAGGGCAGTCCTTGGTGCCAGAAAAGTCTGGCCAATTTGTCACAGGTGTGAGCCTGGAGGTCTTCAGCTCTATAGTGGAGATCGTAAAATCCATTTCACAAGAAAGGCATGTTCTTTCTTACACGCCTTCTCACAGTTCAATAACACACAGAAGACTCCTAACCCAGTGCTAGAGAAATGTTTATTGACTTGTCCTCCCCTTGTTGTATCCTCATTTTGTGGCAGTGGAGATTCTTGGGTGAATCAGGGCTACTGTGGTCCTGTGTATATGTGTAATTTGCTCCCTTGGAGGTCCCAGAATTTCATACTGCATTGGAGTAGGCTGGAAACAGCAGAAAGTAATTTTATTATTATTATTATTATTATTATTATTATTATTATTATTATACTTTAAGTTTTAGGGTACATGTGCACATTGTGCAGGTTAGTTACATATGTATACATGTGCCATGCTGGTGTGCTGCACCCACTAACTCGTCATCTAGCATTAGGTATATCCCCCAATGCTATCCCTCCCCCCTCCCCCCACCCCACAACAGTCCCCAGAGTGTGATGTTCCCCTTCCTGTGTCCATGTGATCTCATTGTTCAATTCCCACCTATGAGTGAGAATATGCGGTGTTTGGTTTTTTGTTCTTGCGATAGTTTACTGAGAATGATGGTTTCCAATTTCATCCATGTCCCTACAAAGGACATGAACTCATCATTTTTTATGGCTGCATAGTATTCCATGGTGTATATGTGCCACGTTTTCTTAATCCAGTCTATCATTGTTGGACATTTGGGTTGGTTCCAAGTCTTTGCTATTGTGAATAATGCCACAATAAACATACGTGTGCATGTGTCTTTACAGCAGCATGATTTATAGTTCTTTGGGTATATACCCAGTAATGGGATGACTGGGTCAAATGGTATTTCTAGTTCTAGATCCCTGAGGAATCGCCACACTGACTTCCACAATGGTTGAACTAGTTTACAGTCCCACCAACAGTGTAAAAGTGTTCCTATTTCTCCACATCCTCTCCAGCACCTGTTGTTTCCTGACTTTTTAATGATTGCCATTCTAACTGGTGTGAGATGATATCTCATTGTGGTTTTGATTTGCATTTCTCTGATGGCCAGTGATGGTGAGCATTTTTTCATGTGTTTTTTGGCTGCATAAATGTCTTCTTTTGAGAAGTGTCTGTTAGGTATTGATGGGACATATTTCAAAATAATAAGAGCTATCTATGACAAACCCACAGCCAATATCATACTGAATGGGCAAAAACTGGAAGCATTCCCTTTGAAAACTGGCACAAGACAGGGATGCCCTCTCTCACCACTCCTATTCAACATAGTGTTGGAAGTTCTGGCCAGGGCAATTAGGCAGGAGAAGGAAATAAAGGGTATTCAATTAGGAAAAGAGGAAGTCAAATTGTCCCTGTTTGCAGATGACATGATTGTATATCTAGAAAACCCCATTGTCTCAGCCCAAAATCTCCTTAAGCTGATAAGCAACTTCAGCAAAGTCTCAGGATACAAAATCGATGTGCAAAAATCACAAGCATTCCTATACACCAACAACAGACAAACAGAGAGCCAAATCATGAGTGAACTCCCATTCACAATTGCTTCAAAGAGAATAAAATACCTAGGAATCCAACTTACAAGGGATATGAAGGACCTCTTCAAGGAGAACTACAAACCGCTGCTCAAGGAAATAAAAGAGGATACAAACAAATGGAAGAACATTCCATGCTCATGGGTAGGAAGAATCAATATCGTGAAAATGGCCATACTGCCCAAGGTAATTTACAGATTCAATGCCATCCCCATCAAGCTACCAACGCCTTTCTTCACAGAATTGGAAAAAGCTACTTTAAAGTTCATATGGAACCAAAAAAGAGCCCACATCACCAAGTCAATCCTAAGCCAAAAGAACAAAGCTGGAGGCATAATGCTACCTGACTTCAAACTATACTACAAGCCTACAGTAACCAAAACAGCATGGTACTGGTACCAAAACAGAGATATAGATCAATGGAACAGAACAGAGCCCTCAGAAATAACGCCGCATATCTACAACTATCTGATCTTTGACAAACCTGACAAAAACAAGCAATGGGGAAAGGATTCCCTATTTAATAAATGGTGCTGGGAAAACTGGCTAGCCATATGTAGAAAGCTGAGACTGGATCCCTTCCTTACACCTTATACAAAAATCAATTCAAGACAGATTAAAGACTTAAACGTTAGACCTAAAACCATAAAAACCCTAGAAGAAAACCTAGGCATTACCATTCAGGACATAGGCATGGGCAAGGACTTCATGTCTAAAACACCAAAAGCAATGGCAACAAAAGACAAAATTGACAAATGGGATCTAATTAAACTAAAGAGCTTCTGCACAGCAAAAGAAACTACCATCAGAGTGAACAGGCAACCTACAAAATGGGAGAAAATTTTCACAACCTACTCATCTGACAAAGGGCTAATATCCAGAATCTACAATGAACTCAAACAAATTTACAAGAAAAAAACAAACAACCCCATCAAAAAGTGGGCGAAGGACATGAACAGACACTTCTCAAAAGAAAGTAATTTCTATAATAATAAAGGAGTACTAGGAAACACCTGCTGTTTTTGGCCTCTTTCATTGTTACCTAATGCAACAGAGACTGTGACCAGGACACTGTGGGCAAATCAAGTCAGTGAGGCAGTGGGAGGACACTGAATCCCACCTTCATGTTTCCCTCTTAATTTACCATGCTACCCAGAAGGTTTCTGGGGCAGATTCTCTTTCTCTACCCTATTGACATCAGAGATGAAGGGCCGAATGGGAAAATATGCATATTGTGAGTCAAGCAATTGCTGTGTCAGGCCTTGGCCACTGCTTGTTTATGATGATGGCACTCAAATGTCCTAGGAAAGAACAGTCACAGTTGCTGCCCCCCGGGTGATGACATGGGGTCTAGAACAGGGTAGTAAACATCACTCCCATCTTCTGTCTAAGGAACTTTTTCTTATGAGGGAAGCTATTATTAACTCAAAGACTGAGATCACTCAAACGGGAGAATCACTAGGAGTACTGAATCAAATGGTAGGGATGGCCGTCCCATTTTGGGTCCTAATAATAGAATTGTAGCCCCATGAGGGAAAATGTTCCCTTTGGTCATCTCCTTGTACTGTGGCTGATGCAGCAGAGAAAGGGCTGGAACGAGGTCAGAAGGATGGCCTCAGTGCAGAGGCTCTCATGAGTGCTGACCAGGAGAGGAGACCTCAGTCTAGTAACTGGAGTGCAAAGGAGCGGAGATGGTGAGGTTGCAAAGAAGAGCATCGTGCTGTGCTCTCAGGAGGAGCCTTGAGCCATCCTAGGAGCCCAGATGTCCCAGGAGGGGACAACTTGTAGGGTTAGGGTCTGGTGTTTCAGCTCACAGGGGAAGAGCCAAAGACATCATCACTGAACATCCCTCGAGGTCAATCACACTCAAGAAATGCCTGCCTTACACCCCTTCCAGGAAAAGACAACTTAAGCTTCCCAATGGCATCCATAAATTATCAGTTTCAGAACTTCCCAGTGAAATGAGCCCCCTTGGAAGTCACTGTTACTGTTTGTTCTTCCCTGAGTTAAATGTCGGGTGGGCTATGTTTGAAGGGACACAAACCTTCAAATTTTGCTTTCATACCAGAAATCATGAACACAAGGAAAGTAAAATCCCCAACCGGCCAAGATATCCTGTGACACTGGGACACACTTTCCTAATTTGGTTTCTTCAGTAGTTGATTTCCAGAGTGGGAATCTGTGGGGTCAGTAGGTGTCCCCTCCACCAAGTAACAAAAATGGTGGTGAAAGGAGACCAAGCATATAAATCACAGTGTTCTAAACGTGTCTTGAGGCAGAGGGACCCTGCCACTCGCTGTCCTTATCTCTATTCCTGCGGCAAAGCCTCCCTTAACAGATACCAGGGAATGGCTGTTCTAACACATGGAGAAAATCGATCACTTTGGAGCACTAGGTAGGTGTTCCATCGGGAAAGATGACTTTTCCTTTTTACAGAAAGCAGCCACCTCTATTCTATGCCTGGGGTGAGAGCTGCCCTCAGGGTGGATTGTAAAAACAAGGCTGGAATGGAAGGAAAAACTTACTCCTTTTGAAACAATAAATAGAACACAGAATAAGCTAGCCCTCCTCCACATGCAAACCGTTTTCCCCTATAGTTTAGCCAAAAGGCCTTTCTTGCATTTGATCACTTTTCTGCTTCGTCTGAAGGGCAGGCCCCGTGAAGGCCCCCATGAGCACTTCAGAAGAACAGGGAAAGCCAATCTAGCCACAGTGAGTGTGGAGGTTTCTGATTAGGCCAAGTTCTTTCTGCTGCAAATTCCGAATTACAAACCAGAGAAGTTAACCTTGGCCTCCGCTTTTATTTGAAACTGGGGTGAAGCAGATTCTGGAGGTGCAGGCAACCAGGAGGCCAGAGAAGGAGGCCAGCCAGCCCACAAAGAGTGAGAGAGAGGGCAAGTGGGCAGCAGGAGGCAGAAGACCACACCTGTCCGAGTCAACATCCCAGGGGTTTCCAGTCCCTGGTTCCAGGTCATTCTTTGACCTGGATTCTGGGAGACACCCCGAACCCTTATAACAAATTGGCCCTGTTTAGTGCTGAAGTGAATTTGAACTGGGCTTCCGTTGTTTACCACCAAGAGGGTTTTTGCTAAGACAGAGGCCAAGGCCATTCTTTACCTGGGCTGCTTGCCCACACCTGCATCTACAGTGCTGACCTCATTGCCCTCATTCTTGGTGCTGGCCACATCCCCCGGCCACTTCTACCTTACAGTGGTTGGGGTTCCTCGTATCTGAGTCACCTCTGAGTCTCTGTGACCTGGGAAGGCCTTCTGGCCTCTCTCTTGCCATAAGATTGCAGGTGGCTCATTGTCATGCAAGGATGGTGGGAATACTTAAGACCTCAGGATCCTTGAAACGCATCTCACCTGGACAGGATTGTTGTATGAATGAACCCAGCACTTGCTCAGCAGTCCATGGAAGCTGTTCTTTCACTAACATGTGTTTGGGACCCTCTGCCACCGGGGCCCTTTCTCAGCACTTCAGCCCAGCTAAACAAAAGCCTCCCTGTAGGAGGGAAGTCTCATGACTGGAGATGTAGGTGAAGGGTCCAGTATCTTCTGGCAGAATCAGGCAATTTACAGGGGTGATGGGGCTGAAAAAGAAGGAGTCTTGGAATGAGGAGTCCTGGATTTCAGAGCTGGCTTCATCATTTGCTAGAAGCATGGCTGTGGTCCAGCCATCAAACTCACTGAACTTCAGTTTCTAGATCTGTGAATGAAGGGTAGACATGATCTCCCCTCTCCCACATTGTTGAGAGAATTCAAGGGCACAATTTTTAAAAGTGCTTTGTAAGCCACAAATCCCTACTCAAATAGTGTCGCTATTAAGTAATATGGTATCAAAATGTTTTCACACTGCACTCAGATGTGCAATATCAATGTAACCTCTTATTTTTCATATCTGACCTAGTCTTCCCAGGTGTCCCCCACCCATCTGGGAGAGAAGACCAACAGCAGCTACAGCATTGATTTCAACTGGTCAGGTGAGACTCTAAATGCTTTATATATTTATTTCTCCTGCACAGCAACCTACAAAGTAGGTGCAAATATCATCTCCAATTTAAAGAGCAGAAAGGAAACTCAAACATGGGAGCGAGAAATGTGTGAGTCTCTCCCTGCTCCTATAGTTTCTTTTCAGTTTAAGATTGTCTTTTTCACAAAAACACCCGGAGTTCTGCCCTGCTCCGTCCTCCTCTCCCAGATGGCCTCTGGGTAGTAGTGGGAGAGCTTGCTGTGCCCTTGTGGTTGCAGAGGTGGCCTCCCCTCATCATGTGCCCCTGAGCCCCTCTCTGTTCTTGGGGGGCACTGTAGGGCATGGTACTCACTGTCTGGCAGACTCCGCAGATCTTAGGCAGAAGGTTCGCCGAGCACTCCTAAGGCTGACTCAGCCCCCGCTGTCTCTAACTGATGTTGAATGTCTGCCTGTGACTGTCCCAGAGCACTGCTGCCCTCCAGCCCAAAAGGTCCTCCTTGAAGCTTCCACTGTGGCAACACCCAGCGTTAGCTCACCCAACCAGTCCCCTCTGGTCATCCAGCTCTCCACACGCAGGGACTCCTGGAATCCTTTGAAACCACGTGGGGGAACTCTGCACAAAGGCAGATCCCATCCATTTTACTCTGATGTAGTCAACCCAGAACTATATATTGAGCCCCTAGTATGTCCCAGGCACTGTTCTGGATGCTCATGATCAGGGAACAAAACTAAGATCCCTGCCTTGGTGAAGCTGATGTGCCAGCAGCTCCATGACAATGAAGGGGGCACCCTTTGAGGTGGTCTCCCCACCCCAGGGTCCCAACAAGGAGTGCACCAAAAGCCTCCCTCTCAACCTGGCACCTCTCTTCTCCTGGAGAAGGAATTCTGGGTATACTGATATTAGACCCACAGTGCTTCCCACGTTGCAGAGAGCCAGAAGGTGCTGGCATTTCACCTTATTATGCTCTTTGGCAAGGACTGCCTCTGCCCCAAATCCTCCCTCTTCCAGACTGTCTGTTCTCTCCACTGCTCTTTGATAGAGGCACAGCAGGGCTTGGTTCCTAACATGCTCAAGGGAAATATTTGAGATTTGGAAAAATTTCCTCTCTGCACAAAGCCTGACTTTCAGGATGATTGTCCTGATAGACAAAGAAAGTCAACTTTGAGACTTAAAGTCAAGTGAGACAGTGGGAACTCTTTGCTCCAGAGGTCCTGTCCTGTACTTCCCTGGGTATGTTCAGTCTCAGAGCCCAGTGTTGAAAGTTGAATGTTGACAGAGAACAAAATATGTCAAGAGGAAGTGAAAATGTCAAGGCTACATCAGCAGCCTCATCAACTAGCCAAGACAGGAACAAATCAAGTAATAGCGTCTCCTATTCCAACATCTGTGCTGAAGGTGCATTACTTTGTACTGTGTTCCCTGCAGCTTTCACTGTTGCTTTTTATAACAATGACATCCAGTGAATCAATCTCCTGTTGAATGAAAAAATTATCTATTAGAGAACATACTTCATGTTATTCATGTCAAGGAATAGAATCTGGGGGCCATAGACTGTACTCAGCACACACAAACACACACACACACACACACACACACACACACACACACACACACACTATATCTATCTATCTATCTATCTATCTATCTATCTCCTGCTTTATACCAAGCATTGAGGAATATACACAAAGACGGTTCTTGCCCTTGAGAAGGAAGAGAAAACAAGCACAAATGAAACAATTACTGATCTATGAATTCAGTGAAGAGAGAGAGGTGTGTGGGGCAGAATTATCTGAGAATCTTCCTGGAAGGGTTAGAGATTGAGATCAGCAAAGGAAAGAGGTAGAGGGCAGGAGAACCAGGAAGCTTGAGCAGGAAGTCAAGAGTGAGCCTTCTCAGGGCTGGGAGAGAGGCAAGGATGACCAGGATGGAGAGAAGAGAGCAGTGGAAAATGAAACCAGACAGGGGAAGGGATAACTTATAGAAGACCTTAAAGATCAGATCGAGGAGTTTGGATTTGAAATGGGTTTTCTTAGGCTAGGCTAGGCTGTGGTAATAAAGAGACCCAGATATTTTCAAACACAATGCAGGTTAATTTCTTGCTGATGTAGCTCAACGTCTGATGTCATTGGTGGGTTGCTTTCTTCCTCTCAGGAATTCAGGGACCCCGGGGCCTTCATTTCCAAAGCTGTCATCTCCTAAGCTGCACTGTTGTCTGCTTATAGCTGGTGTTTTTCTTTAAGTGTTGCTCATTTCACTCACATTCCACTTCCTGGAACTCAATTAACTGTTACATCTGAATACCTAGGAGACCAGGAAATGTAGGAGAGCCATGAACCCAAGACGAGGAAATGGATCTTTGGTGCCCATGCCCTAAGGAGCTGTGATAGCTGTTCTTGGCACTCAGCTCATCACTTCATCATTTTAGCAGGACTCGGGAAGGTTTAGAGAAGAGAAATACCCATTGCACATCGACAACTAGGAGACCATGCATGATGTTCGGAGACCTGAAGCTGTCCGATGGCAAAAGAATACAGAAGAAAAGAGGGTTCAGAAAAGAACCATGGAACTGGGGCAGGGGAGATTGACTTGGGGGAGTGAGTAAAGGGATGTTTAGTGAATTTACTAAATCCAAAGTGACTGCAGGGTCTGTGACATCAGAGCCTGGAGAGGGGTGAGAGCTATGACAGAGGTGTTGGTGGTCAACACTAGACTGGGGCAGTCAGTCTGGGGAGAAAGAACAATCAGGAAGGTGATTGTTCTCACAAAAGTCTCACAAAAGCAGTAAGAGGGAACTTCAACAAAACGGGTCAATGCCAAAGCATCTCAACTTTCTTTTCTTTTCTTTTTTTTTTTTTTTTGAGATGGAGTCTTGCTCTGTTGCCCAGGCCGGAGTGTAGTGCAGTGACATGATCTCAGCCCCCTGCAGCCTCTGCCTTCTGAGTTCAAGCAATTCTTGTGCCTCAGTCTCCCAAGTAGCTGGGATTACAGACATGCATCACCACACCTGGCCAATTTTTGTATTTTTAGTAGAGATGGGGCTTCACCATGTTGGCCAGGCTGGTCTCGAACTCCTGACCTCAAGTGATCTGCACACCTTAGCCTCCCAAAGTGCTAGGATTACAGGCATGAGCCACTGCACCTGGCCCATCTCAACTTTCTTACAGGAACTATGACCTCAACTCCTCAGGACTATGTCTCCCTGTCCTCAGATGATGAATTGAGAGACCACAGATCCACAGATCCTCAAGGGTTTTACCAGATAAACTAGTGCTATCCTAACCTTCAGATTGGCCCTTGACCATTTTAGACCTGGAGGAACCCATGCTCTGTTTGAAAAAGACTCCAGAAAAAGAGATGCTCCTACCACCATGAAGTCTATACCACTGCCCCCAGCTGCAAATTTTAGCCACTTTCCATTAATCGTTTCCAAAGGCAATGGTTCTATAAACCAGCCACGGGGTAAGGTGCGCAGGATCTCCCACACAATAGGCCCTCAGTGATGCATATTTATGACGTCCCATGAATCTAAGTGACCCACAGTTGACTCTTGAACTATACCTAATAAACGACCCTATTAGGTGGCAAGTCCTGTGGCTCTCTCAGATCTGTTGTTCCTAACAAAATCCCTACCACCACCCTTATACACACACGGCCTCTCTCAGAGAGGGCATCCTTTTCCCGGGGTTCTGTGACTAATGTTTGATTCAGCTGCATGCTTAGCTTCAAAGTCATTTATTCCTAAAAGCACATCCACCCGTTCTTTTCTCCCCACATCAGCCTGGGGGAATGACTCACCTGATGTTTGCTGTACCCCAACTCTTCCAACCTCCTCAACCTCCGGAGGCTGAATGGACGGTAGTGAGGAGCAGAGACGAACTCCCTAGGGGTAACAGAGCCCACAGCCACACCCTGGATGGAGAGCTGCATGATCCGAGGCACAATGGCAGACCTGAGGGGAGGGTCTGGGAGCAGGAGTGGGCTGCAAGGAGAGGGGGAGCTGGAGGGGAGTGAGGCGAGGTGGGGGACCATAGCCTGCCTAAACCCTGAGTACACGGAGATGGCACGACGTCCTTCTATCCCTGCCAGGGCCTCTCCATGACACCCAGAACACCCTGGTGGGCTCAGTCCATGATTCATGGTGTGCAGTCCCACGGTGGCATCCAAGATGTACTGGAACAAAGGAAAAACCAAAGGGAGAATGTTTTTTGTTTGTTTGTTTGTTTTTTGGTGTTTGTTTGTTTGTTTTTGAGACAGAGTCTTGCTCTGTTGCCCAGGCTGGAGTGCAGTGGTGAGATCTCGGCTCACCACAACCTCTGCCTCCTGGGTTCAAGCAATTCTCCCACCTCAGCCTCCCGAGTAACTGGGATCACAGGCATGTGCCACTATGCCCAGCTAATTTCTTTTTTTGTATTTTTAGTAGAGACAGGGTTTCACCATGTTGGCCAGGCTGGTCTGGAGCTCCTGACCTCAGGTGATTCGTCCACCCCAGCCTCCCAGACGGCTGGGATTATAGGTGTGAGCCACCATGCCCCGCCCAAAGGGAGAATGTTCTAATGCAGCCCTGTGGGATGACTTGGCTGCAGGAAGTTACATAAAGGTGACTTAGGTGTTACAGTGACATGAGAGACCTAAAGGCTGTCAAAGACTGTGACCTCTACCCCATGGAGGATGCCCATCGCCTGAGGATGAACCCCCACTCCAGATCAAAATATAAAGGAGCAGGGTTGCAGCTCACCTGGGCTGGGGATTACCCGGACTCTTCAGAAAACAAAACTTACACTTTGTCATGGAGCAGCTAGAAATTCACCTCAACATACTCAATAATTCAGCATGTTTGAGCACATATTCCATGCCAGGCACAGTGCTGGAACAGGGACAGCTGGAACAAAGTGGGAGACCCTCTAGCCACCAGGATCCCAGAGAAGAAGCGAAGTGACTTGCCTAGAACACCAACCAAAAATGACGGAGCCAAAAGGTGAGCTCCTATTTCCTGTTTCTCGTTACCATCCACTGTATCCCACCTTCTCCCAGGGAATTATTTTACAACATAGGAAACATGTTTGCTTAGGAAATCTCAAAATTAAAGGCAGGAGCAAGAAAATGTCCAGCCACTGTGCTATGATTTCTGAGCCAGTGAGGGCTGACCATCACTGTGGGGAGAGCCCAGTGTTCTTGGTCCAGACCCTTTCTTTTGTCACTGGACGCAAGTGGACCTGTTTCCCCATTTTCTCTGCAAAACCATCTCCTACTCAAATTCATTCATAGCCCTAGAATCAGGCAGCCTCCTCTACCTGCTCGTCTCTTAAATGTGAACAACCATTAAGAAATGCAGGAAGGAAATCTGGTGGATCCATTTCCATAGCCCTTAATCCCTCTGTTCGTCCTTCCTTGTATCAATATCACTTCCCCATTCTCCATTGCCTCCCCCCAGCTAAAGGAAATCTGACAAAGCAATGAGTCTATAGTGGAAGAAATTATTAGCCTCAGGTGGACATCATTTGGATCCAACCTACATCACCTACTGGCTGTAGGACCATGAGCAAGTTATTTAAGCTCTCTGTCCCAGTGTCTTCATTCACAAATTGAAATGGACCATGCCCACCCCTCGGGGGGTTTGTGACAGTTAAGCGAAATAACACATAAATGGCGCTCAATACATACGTGTAGCATGTAAGTAGAACTCAATAAAGACTCATTCCTTTAGTTGACAGCTTATTCAAATCTATCATAGTTTTTGTTGTTGTTGTTGTTGTTGCTCTTGCTTTGTTTTGTTTTTTAAACCACAGGGCCAGAGCTGGGTCAAGGAGGAAGGAGGAGAAGGAAGAGCATCCTTTAGCCGCCCTCTGACTCTGCCTTTTCGGGTCTCGCTCCTGGCCTCACTGTAGACATCATCCCCAGGCACACCTCCTCCGCACCTCCTTCCTGCTATAGAGTACAGTCCCACAGGCGAGCCAACCCGGTCACAAATGCCCTGAGACTTGCACCTTTCTCCTGAAACGGAGTGCTCTGGCCGGCTTTCGTATCCCCCTTAGCCCTGCTCCTCATCTCTGGGGCTGCTTTACCTGCAAAGTCTAATCAAGAAAGGGATGGGGACGCTGAGAAGGAGGAGTCTTTACCCGAATCCTGTTCCCATTTCTACCACCAGCAGCACCCCTTAGGCGAGTTAAGCTTTGGGACCAAAGGGGTCCACTCGGTTTCTCTGAGAAACTGGCAGATCCTATTTTTCAGAGTCATCTGCAACAATGTCTCCTTGCAAGGTGGCTTTGACTCCCCCACGGGGAGGTGGGGCCTAGGTTCCCTCCCTCTGAACCTGGCAGTCACAGAAAGAACACTCTCGTGACCGCCAAGGCCAGGTCATAAAAGGTGCTACCACTTCTGCCTGGATGCCTTCTATAATTGTCATCCTCACTGACCTGACACAGAGAAGTTCAACGTCCAAAGGTCCAAGAAAGGTGGAGGCGAGACAGGGACTAGGACTTGGCCGCACTGTGCCCTGAGTCGGGATGCAGGGCTGGTTGTGGCTGATTCCCATGCCCCACAGCTGAGCCCTTTTCCCCACTGGCACTTTGATCCACCTCCAGGCACGTGACCTAAGTCCCTATGGGGCACAATGCTAAACAGGTGACATGCACCCAGAGGCAAAAGGGGAAATGGACCATCTCCCTGGGACAAGGCAGCTGGTATAGCTACTGTTGGGTGACAGTCGCCCTGCAGGAAGGAGGGCTTGGTCCTGGGGCTAGGTCCTCCCACCTCCACTTTCACTTCCATGACTCCTACTGGCTTCAGAGCATGAAGGATCCTCTGACCCTGGAATCTTACCTCGAGCACCTCTGCCAAGGAAAGGGGAGAGAAGTTGCCTTTCCACTGTAGGCCACCTTTTATGTCTTAGTAGAGTGCTGGGGCATTTTGATCCAGGGAGGCAGAAGGAGGCACAAGAGGAGACAGACACAGACAAAGGGAGGCAGAGACTGCTGAGAGCTCAGGAGATGAGTCTGGCTCAGCAGGGCCTGTGGTTTGCCCACTCTGTGCTCTGCACCAAGGGTTAAAAGGTGCCCTGTCCTCAGGATACTTGAAATCTAGTGGGGATTTGGACACCGACATAAACAAAGTCATGTACTAAGGAAGCTGAGCTTGGTAAAGAAAGCAGAAGTAAAGAGCTGGGCCCCACAAACTCTGAGCTCCAGAGAAGGCTGCAAAGAGAAGGCTGAGTTCTGAAGGCTCTGTCCAGTGCCTTTCACCCCAAGGCCTTCGTAGTGTTAACACAGCATTTACGTGTTTAAGTCCTCCCTACGTGTCAGGCATGATTTTACGCCCTTGACTTGTTTGACTTCATTTAATCATCGACAAGTCTAGGTGGCTGATACTCTTACCTGTTTGTTTGTTTATTTATTTATTTTTGAGACAGTGTCGCTTGCCCCAGGCTAGAGTGCAGCAGTGTGATCATAGCTCACTGCCATCTTGAATTCCTCTGCTCAAGTCATCCTCCCACATCAGCCTCCCAAGCAGCTGGGACTACAGGTGTGCACCATCATGGCCAGCTAACTTTGTACTGTCTGTAGAGACGGAATTTTGCTATGTTACCCAGGCTGGTCTCAAACCCGAGGGCTCAAGCAATCCTCCTGCCTCAGCCTCCCAAAGTCCTGGGATTAAAGGCATGAGTCACCATGCCCAGCCAGTGGTTGAAACTCTTATTATGGCCATTCTGCGGATGAGAAGACTGAGTCATCAGGAGGCAGGGCTTGCCAAGGTCACTGTGTTGGGGAAACACAGTCAGGATATGAACTCAGGCTCTTGGGGTCCCTGCTGGTCACTGTCACCCCGTGGCCCTTCTGAAGAATGTCACAGGAAAGCAAAGCTGAGAGGGCCTCGTGAACTCATCCATGCCTGTCTCCCACACTGACCTGCACCTTTGGTCCCAGAGGTGCTTATGAAAGACAGATGCTCAGATCCCTCCTTAGAGAGTCAGATTCAGGAGGTCTGATGTGAATCCCAGAGACCTGGAATTTTACTGATGGCCCAGATAATTTTTATGGTCAGATACTGACCTAATTCCACCCAGTTTCCCACTAAATTTTGTAAGTGAGGAAAGCAATGCAGAAGAGTTACAGGAAGGCCCAGTGTTACATGCCCAGGTCATGGCCCAGGGCCAAGCCAGCCCCAAAGGTGGGACCCTGGTTCTCTTAGCCTTCCCTGACACCTGTCACCCTGGCTGCTGCTCCAGGGAACCCTCTCTCGGGAGAAGCTTGAGCAAATGTTGATCTTCCCAGAACAGGGGTCTACAGAATCCAGAGGTGTGGAAACAGTGGGATGCTAATAGCTGTTAGAATTTTGGTTCATCCATAGATCCAAACTTTGAAGCATTGAGACAAAAGATAGCTGTGCTTTGATAGAGAAAATAGATAAGAAAAGGGTGTGAAATCTGAGTGTCACAACAGAGGCAGAAGCAGATGGAAACTAGGTTTCTGGAGTAGGGGAGGTGGGGACCAACTTTGTTTCTCCTGCTTTTACCTTGTCCTAGTTGGAATCATCTCTCCTCATCCCAGTTACAAAGCCAGAGAGGATTTACAGTCAAAGCATCTACACCAGCAGTCCCTCTTACTGACACTGATCAGACAGGGAGGTAGAACTGATGGAAAACACAGCACAGCATCAGAAGCATAGCTTGGGAGCTTATTAGCAGCAAAGTGCTGTTCTCTGCGGCATTTTCTGGTGCTCCAGAAATACATCCCCTTGGATGGAGATACTACCGGGCCATCTAATGTGAAATTTTCTGCTGGAGTGGTTAACGCTGGAGATTTCCTTGAAAAACATCGCCACTGAGAGAGGCTGGCTTCAAGTTTCATATATATGTATATGTATCTGTGTGTGTGTGTGTGTATGTGTGTGTCCATGTGTGTGTATATATATTTTTATATATAAATACATGTGTATTTATATATATAAATAAATTTATAATGTAATATATAAATATTTATATATAAATAAGTATATATATTTTATTTTTTTCAAAGTCAGGGTCTTGCCTGTCACCTAAGCTGAAGTGCAGTGGTGTGATCACAACTCACTGCAGCCTCAAACTTCTGGGCTCAAGCCACCCTCCTGCCTTAGTCTCCTGAGTAGCCAGGACTACAGCCCGGCTAATTATTTTATTTTTTATAGAGATGGGATCTAACCCTGTTATCCCGGCTGATTTCAGACTCCTTGCCTCAAGTAATCATCCCACCTCAGCCTCCCAAAGTGCTGGAATTACAGGCATGAGCCGCTGCACCAGGCTGATGTATTTTTCCAGTGCAGAACTTGGGGGCAATTCCAAACAACCACACCTGCCTCCCACATGGGTAATAGTGACCCGTAGCTATGACACCCCCACTGCAGGCCTGTGTTTATTTCTTCTGTTATGTAGGAAAGGGCCTTCTCACCCACAGTCACCAGACACTAATTTTCCAAACTCACAGCCTCCCACCTTCTGGAAGGAATGACAGAAACCCAGCCATGAGACAATAATTTTTTTTATTAAAAATCACTAGAGTGGCTGGTTCTGAAAAAGGCATCACACTACATCTCAAGAAGAAATTTCTTTCTTCCTCAATGGTAAATCAGCCAAGCTATTCAAAGGATGGTAGACTACATCATCCCCAAACATTGCTCCAAAGATTTGAGGTAATCCACCTTCCCCACCCCCCTTGCTGGAATAATAAGATGTCAAAGGTGGAGAAGACTGGAGAGGTGAAGTTACCCAGAGGATACAAAGCTAAGATGCTCATAGGAGGCAGATAGCTAAAGTAATGAGGGACTCAAGCCACGTGGGGACTGCTGTGACTCAGAGTTCACATCCCACCCTAGGGAGTAACATTCAAAAAGTTCAAGACACCAGTCTGTCTGTCTTCAAATCCCATGCCTCTTCCCTTAAGCCAGGTATATTAATTTCCTAGAGCTGCTATAATAAATCACCACAAATTTGGTGGCTTAAAGCAATAGTAATTTATTTTCTTTCATTTCTGGAGGTCAGAAGTCCAAAAATCAAGGTGTTAGCAGGGCCATGCCTCCTCTGAAGGCTCTGCGGGACAATCCCGCCTTACCTCTTCCCACTGCTGGTGACTACAGGCATTCCCTTTATGTCTACATGTTTATGGATGTGTCACTCCAATTCCTGCCTCCATCTTCCCATCACCTTCTCCTCTGCATATCTCTCTTTTCCTCCTCTTTCATCTCTTATAAATTTGGATGTCATTGGATTTAAGACCCACTCAGATAATCCAGGATGATCTCATCTGGATATCCTTCATTTTTTGGAGATGGAAGGGGTCTCTTGCTATGTTGCCTAGGCCGGTCTCGAACCTCTGGCCTCAAGAAATCCTCCCCCTTCAGCTTCCAGAGTAGCTTGGATTACAGGCCTGCTGCCACAATAAGATCACGTTCACAGATTCTAGGGGTTAGGATATCTATGGGGGCGGGGGGCTACCATTCAACCCACTACTCCAGAGAACAAATGAGCCATGCTGGGACCTGCAGGTGAATCTCAGCAATGCAACTTCCCTTTGTCTGACTTCTAAGAGCCATTTGCATCCACATTTGTTCTTCACTGTTGTTAGCAGAGGCGGTCCTTCCAGCTTCAGCGTGACACCAGTGGCGGGTGTGTGCTTATCAAGAATCCAGGCTACCTTGAGCTGCAGCCGTTGTGACTAGTAGTTTTTTATTGTAGCTCTCATCACCTTTTTTTCTTATGGAGAAGAACTTCTTTCTACTTTTCAGTTCACTCTCCTTGTCCCCCTGTGCTTTCAGGGCCATCTCCTCCTCATTCTAGAAGTTTCCCTAATCCTGCCGTCTTTTTTTTTTTTTTTTTTGAGATGGGGTCTTGCTCTATCACCCAGGCTGTAGCCCAGAGGTGTGATCTCAGCTCACTGCAACCTCCATCTCCCAGGCTCAAGTGATCCTCCCGAGTAGTTAGGACTGCAGGTGGCTACCACCATGCCTGGCCAATTTTGTGTTCTTTGTAGAGTCAGGGTTTCACTATGTTGCCCAGGCTAGTCTTGAACTCCTGGGCTCAAGCCATTCTCCTGCCTCAGCCTCTCAAAGTGCTGGGATTACAGGTGTGAGCCACCGCGCCTGGCCCCTGGCCCAGCCCCTAATTCCTCTCTTGCAGTTCCTTAGCAATTGCCTCCCTTGGGGTTCCCTGACTCAGTGGTTCTTAAACTTTAGTGTCCATCAGACTCACTGGAGGACTTATTCAAGTACCGCTGGTTGGGCTTCACCACCTGAGTTTCTGATTCAGTGGGTTTCCGAGTGGAGTTAAGAGTTGACATCTACATCGTGGGTGCTGCTGCCGCCGCTAGTCCAGAAACCACAATGAGAACCACTGCTCTTGCTTGGCCCTTCTTCCTGCTCCTCTAGTGGTGTTCATTTCTGACTGGGACCCCATTTCCACATCCGCCTCCCATCTGCCACCCTCTGCAACCTGTGGTCGCTTACTCAATCCCATCTGCTGGCATCATCTCCAAACAGCTGGGGCTACAACTGATTTAGTTTCTCTCCTATACCTTTAGACTCCCACCTAACCATTTCAGACCTCTGAGGCCCATCCAAAAACCTTTCCTCTGATTCTTGACCTTGTTTCTTCATTAAGTCAAAGTTGTGGAAACCCAAGGAACTTCCAACTTACTTGGAAGCCCTCAGAAAACAGGAAAATCTGGTCCCAAGCAGGGGAAATGGCAGCTGTGCTGAGAAGCCTGACTTTAGATATTCTCAATGGACTAATAAAGTGGGTAGTCTGGTTCGGGCTCCAGCCTGGCCGGAGACGATTACAGAGAAAACATCCACCCTCATCTCCACCCACCCATCCACCCATGCTTCTCTGTCCTCACCAGACCCATGTGCCCTGGAGTACAACCACTCTTCTCTAGGGTGAGCCCTCAGATGCCAGCAGACCGTCTTCCCAGGACATTGAGTAACTCTTGGTGAAGCATTTCCAGCATTCACGCACTCCCCAGCAGCCTGCAAGACATTTTCTTTAAGGAATTTCAACACACATAACTAGCGCTTTGTTCTGATGTGAATGAGGGTTTGTCTGGGTGCCAGTGTTTCACCATACAGGAGATTAGCAAACATGAGCTGAAGCCTCTTAGCAGACACATTTCAGCCTTGATGATCTTTCTTCATACTATGCACAAATGTCAAACCACTCTAGAAAAAAGAAAGAGAGACGATGTCAGTCCGATTTGAAGATCTAATTAATCTGGACAATCTGCTGTTACAAACCCTTTTAATGTCAAGTATCTGCTGTCAGTTTCGCTAAAGATGGTATGAGCTAAGCATGGCCAGGTACTGTCGTCAGAGTTCTGCTAATAGTGTGTCAACACTCAAGAGCTTCTCATACTTTCTGCTTATGCCCTCATAAATTTCAGTTTAAAAAAAAAAAAAGAGGTCGAGTGCTAATGGTGATAGTTCACATGTAGCTGTTATGTCCCAAGTGAATGGTGGACTTCTCCACAAATGGCCCAGGGACCTAAGTGGAAGGGAAGGTCTAACTTGGTGCTGGAATTGGATACAAGGTACGGCTGGGGTTGGGTTGGCAGGTCTCTTGTTAAGGCATGATGGTCCCTTATCTCAATTCCTTGCTCTGTGGTTTTTGAAAGTTTTAGTAAGAGGTCTATATAAGTTTTCTAGAGCTGACATAACAAAGAACAACAGACAACATGGCTTAGGCAACAGAAATTTATTTCTTCACAGTTCTGGAAGCTAGAAGTCTGAGATGAAGGTGCAGGCAAGGTTGGTTTCTTCTGAGGCCTCTCTCCCTGGCTTGCAGATGGCCACCTTCATCTCCCAGTGTCTTCACATGGCCTTCCCTCTGTGTCTGGGTCTGGGTCTAAATTTTATCTTCTTCTAAGGATGTCAGTCATATTGGATTAAGGTCTACCCATATGACCTCATTTAACCTTAGTTACCTTCCTAAAGATCCTGTCTGCAAATGTAATTACATTCTGAGGTACTGGGGGTTAGGACTTCAACATATAAATTAGGGGAAGAGACACAATTCTGCCTGTACTGCTATGATCATTCATTTAAAATAATACTACCCATGCAAAGGGTTTCATTATGTCTAAGATGCATGTTATTCCCCATTCTAACATCTGGGAAGTCAGGCTTTATCTAACAATCTATGATGTGGTGTTCATCAGTGGTATGTAAAGTAGTGATGCGCCTTTCAAGGGGTGGCATCTTGGATTTAATAAATTATGGTAGTCCTTGCAATACCCCACTGAATTAGGTACTATTTTTATCATCATTTTACATGTTAGAAAACTGAAGTATACAGGATAAGCACCTTGCCCAAGGACACCATCCAGTAAGCAATGGCGGTGGGTTTCAGGCCCACTCAGCTCACCACTGTGCGCTGGGTTCACGGTGTTGATCTGAGGCTAAATGAGTTAGCATCTACAAGGCACTTAGAACAGTGCCCAGAACAGAGTGTGTGTGCAACAAATGTCAGAAATTATTATTCCTTCTTTGGAGAAATCTAAATGGCATGGCTTTACCTTATCATCACAGCACACTGAGCGTGTGCTCCTGAGAGCAGGGCCCCTCCACAGTCATGTGTCACCCTAATGCCTTCTTTCTTCATGAGTGAAAATATTTGGTCTAACAAAATATAATGGAAGTTTATTTATTTGTTCCTTCCACCGGAATGTGTGTTTTCCAATTATCTTCCGTACACAAGATTTGATGAGCTTTGAAGGATTAAAGACAATGAAGAAGGAAGGTCCCTATTTTTGAAGGACTTAGTATCAAGTAGGGGAAGAAGGCAGGTAGCAAGTCAGTACATGCCAAGGCAATGACAATTGCCATGCAGACGATAAAAGGGAGGCATTGTAGGAGTGGAGAGGAGGGACTTTACTTCTGGCTGGGTGACCGGGTAAATGGCATCTAAGAAGTGAAAGCATTATTTCAAAAGGTTAAGAATGGGTCAGGAAGGTAGTTGTGCTAAACAATAACAGGGACAAAGGCCCAGAAGTGACCAGGTCCTATGGGAAGAGCTAGCTCAGTTTGAAAAAGGCAATGTGCAGGGGAATCATGGAAGATGCACCCAGTAAGGCAGTGGTATCGAGTGAATGTTTGTATCCCCAAAAATTCCTAAGTGGAGGCCCTCACGTGATGGTATTTGGAGGTGGGACATTCGGGAGGTGAGTAGATTTAGCTGAGACTATGAGATAGTTCCCCTTGGTGGGATGAGTGCCTTTATAAGATGAGGAAGAGAGACCAGAGCTCTCACTGCCATATGAGAATGAGAAGGCAGCCATCTGCAAGCCAGGAAGAGAGCCCTCACTGGGAACCAAATCTGCTGGCACCTTGATTTTTGCCTTGCATCCTCCTGAACTGTGAGAAGTAAATGCTTGTTATCTAAGCCACCTAGTCTGTGATATTTTTTTAGGGTAGCCTGAGCTGACTCAGGCAGTTTAAGGCCAGATTGTTGGGGGGCCTTGGATGCTGCAGAAATTAATTTAAACTAAGGAGAAAGCAAATTAAGTTCTTGAAGCATGAAAGTTTTGGAGGCAGGAGCAATGACTTCTTCAAAATTATGAATGGTGAAATTCAGTGAGAGACAGTGTGGGAAGGGATGGCTTGTGGAGAGAGGAGATTACAAGCCGGGAGGCCAAGGAGGAACTCACTGCAGTGGTCTAGGATAGACAACCAACTCGTTCTGGTTTGCCTAGGGCCTTTCTAGTTTTAGCATGGAAAGTCCTGCTTCTCTCAGTCCTAGGCAACCAGGATGGTTGGAGTCCCCACCCACAGGAGGGAAGGATGCCCTAAACCCAGCTTCAGGAAATGGAGAGGGAGGAACCCCATAAAAGTGAGAGACACTGTGAAGGAAGAGCCCATCCCCATGGGAGCTAGTTAGATGGAGGCAGGGCTAAAGGACAAGGGGAGTTAAGAATATGTCAGAGGTTTGGGGCATGGCTATTCAGAAAAAGGAAGGGGTATGTCAGGGAAGGAAGCTGGCTGTGGGGAACCAGATGAAGAATCTCATTTTTTACTCCATGAGTTTAGGTGGTCTAGAGCCAACCAGTTGGGCTGTGAGTGTGTGGATGTGAGGATAGTCAGAGCTTCTGAGGACTGACTCCATAGCCATCCCCTGGAATGAACGGACCAAGGGAAGCCTGGCATGGGGACAGCAGAAGAAGAGACCACTCCTCAAAGGAAAGATGGTCCATGGCCTAGACAACAGTACTCTTTACCACGGGAAAGAGTCACCAGGGGAATATGTATAAATGCAGATCTCTAGGTCATACTCCATTCCAAGTCAGAATTTAAGGCTCAGGACTCTACACTTAAAAAAAAAAAAGTAAAGACAATGTCTCACTGTGTCACCCAGGCTAAAGTGCAGGGGCACGATCATAACTCTCTGCAGCCTTGAACTCCTAGGCTCAAATGATCCTCTCATCTCAGCCTCTCTAGTCACTGAGATTACAGGCATGAACCACTGTACCCAGCACAGGATCGTATATTTTTAACACATTCTCCAAGTGATTCTTTTTCAATTAGTCCAAAGACTCCAATTTGAGAAAAGGTGGCGCATGGGCATGGGGTTCAGAGAGCAGACAGTGTCTATGCCAAGTCACCACCAGTGGGGTGTCCTCTCCCACTTCCCCAATTCCTTTGGTGGACATATTGCATGCATCTTGGCTGCTGTGCTGTTTGTAAGCTCTGGCTGGCTGTGCCGCCTCCTTCTCTCCTTGGCTGCCCTGTTCCCACAGGCCTCCTAGGTCTGGATGTGCCCAACACCCTACTTCCTGTCCCTGGTGTTTAGGGCCAGGAATAGCAGTTTGCTTCCATGAACAACTCCCCTCCACTCTTCCATCCGACGCCTAATTTTCCAAAATCCTTTTCCCTGCCCTCCAAAGACTGCTCCTTGTGTGTTCTGGATTGTATCCAGAGGGTCACTGTAACCTACCATCAGTCACCACCGCCAAACAGAAAGGGATGGCTGAGAAAGAGCCACAGTCAAACAAAGGTAAATCATATCTCTGTAGTTCTCCAGGGCGCCTGTGCTCAGACCACCAGAACAGGTTCAGTTACCAGCTGAGAGCCACAGCCTGGAACAGACCATAAACAACCTGTGTGGAGGAAGGAGCAAACTGGCTCCACTCTGTCACCTCTTCACCAGCCCGAGAGATTCAACCAAAGCTGTAGTGCACTTCTGGAACACTCTCATAGTATCCATGCATTCTACATTAGAAAAGGGCAGGGAGGGAGATCAGAGCCATCGCTGCTTGCCCCAGGCTCCTGACAGAGCAACAAACCCATAGTACAATGCTCAGCATACTACTCAGTATACACTAATAATCTCATAAATGCCTGGGAGTATTACAAGGCCCAAGAACAACAGAGTGTTTGTTACTTCCAATGAACACAAGATAAGGAAGCTAAGCTCTGCCCTTTTCACTGAACTTAAGGTTGAATTTATTCAACTTCACTTAAAAGAATCACAGAAACGGCCAGGCACAGTGGCTCACGCCTATAATCCCAGCACTTTGGGAGGCCAAGGGGGGTGGATCACGAGGTCAGGAGATCGAGACCATCCTGGCTAACACGGTGAAACCCCATCTCTACTAAAAATACAAAAAATTAACCGAGTATTGTGGCAGGCACCTGTAGTCCCAGCTACTCGGGAGGCTGAGGCAGGAGAATGGCGTGAACCCAGGAGGCAGAGCTTGCAGTGAGCCGAGATCATGCCTCTGAACTCCAGCCTGGGTGACAGAGCAAGACTCCATTTCAAAAAAAAAAAAAAATCACAGAAACTTTCCTATTAACAAACATCAACATTCATGCTCTTATGTACAAAGCATCATACCTAGTGACTTCATGTTACTGTGTGCCACAAACAGATGACCTGAGTGACCATATTCAGTTATTTCATTTCCTGCCATTGGCTCTAGGCTCTATGACTTAATTTTCTTATTTTGTTCATTTAACAAAGATACATTGAGCACACACTGCATGCCAGGCATTTGGGATACATCAATAAGGAACACAAACAAAATTCCTGCCCTGGGGGAGTCATAATCTATCTAGGCAGGGGTGAGGGTGAGAGTGGGGAGACAGGTGATGAACAACTGACACGATAAATAAATTATAAAGTATGTTAAAATGAGGTAGGGGCTGTGGAAATAAAATAGAACAAGTGAGGATGGGGTAAGCAGGGAAATAGCATGCAGCTCTAAATAATGGTGTCAAGTAGGCCTCATAGGAAGGCAACGTGTGAGTAAAAACTTAGGTTTTCTGGCCTGAGCAAGTGGAAAGATAGGATTGCTGCCAACTGAAGGAGCCTGAAGCAAAGCTGGCTTGGAGAAAGAAGTCAAGAGCTCAAGTGTGAGACATGTTCCACCAAATTCTAAGTAGAGGTGTCAAGAAAGCAGTTGGATTTTTTTAGTTTGGGGTCCCGGAGCAAGGACTAAGATATACTTTGATTTCGGGTGCCTTTGGCGTATAAATGGAGTTTAAAGCTTTGGTACTTACTGAGATTGCCAAGGGAGGGAGTGTGGAAAGAAAAGAAAGGAGGAACAGGAAGTAGGCAGGAGAAGCCAGCAGAGAGGACCAAGACAGAGCATGAGCATGAGCCACGTAGGAGGAAAGGCAAGGGCACAAGTCCCTGGAAACCAACCCAGGAGCTTGTTTCCTGGAGGAGGAAGTGACCAACTGACCGAATGCTGTGGATAAGTCAACTAGAGGAGGAGGACCATTGGCCATGATCAGAGTCAATAATGGGGCCTCACCAGCAGCCCCTGGTGATGAATAAGGGACGTGAAAGCCTGTTTAGAGAGAATGAAAGAGGGACGGGAAAAATTGAACACAGTTAAGTTCAAACAGCTCTTTCAAGGAATTCTCTTGGCAAAACACAGGGCAATAGCTGGTGAGGGAAGTGGAGTTAAAATAAGACTTTTGTTTGTTTTTATAAGAGGGAGAATGATGCAAAAGGGAGAAGTGAACAGTTGTAGAACAATAACTTTAGGAAAACAAAAGGGGGAAAAGATCTAGTTGAAAAACTAAGAGATTAACTTAAGATGGGGACACAGAGAGTCCTTCTGCAGTAGGTGGGAAGGCAGGGGTGTGGGCACAGATGGGGGTGGGAGGCGATGGGGCCATGCCATCTGCAGACGTTCTCTCTCAACTGCTTATGTTTCTTAGGAAGGAAGAAGCAAATCATTGGCTAAGAGTGAGGCCAGATAGCAAGGGTTTGAGGAGGCAAGAGAAATCGTGAGCTAATTGTTTGGGATTGTGGGAGAGGAATTGGGAACATGCTGTGTTCTGTTTTCTGACAGCATTAAAGACCTAACCGAGGATTGTAGTTGTGACTTCAAGGTGAGCCCAGTGAGTGAGGCAGAGGGCTTTCCTCCAGCCATGTTCAGCTACTCAGCTGCACATGCCTAATCAGGGCTGTGATTCTGGCCAAAGGAGCTAAGGATTTTTGCAAAGGAGTGATCATAACAATTAGCCATGGGGTGTAAGCTGGGCAAGGAGGGGAAAGAAGGCCCAAAGGGATGCGGAATAATGAACAAATGGTAGGATAGAGGGAATGGGAGCTTCCAGTGGGGTCATTAACTCTTGGAGTCAGGCTCTCGGAGAGACCAAGCTGTACAGAGAGGAGGTGGTGGCCTGAGATTGGGATGCACAAGCCTGAAATATAGGGGAGGTGCAATTGTTGAGGACTGATCTGGAATAGGACACGGGAGTGAGCAAGGGAAGGAGCAGAGGACAAATCATCAGAGGAGAGGTCAAGATACGGAGAGTCCTGGGTGTTGGAAAGATCATCTATGAGAATTCCAAAATCACCAAACATTAAAAGGAGAGGAAAAGTGGAGAGACCAACAGCAAATCAGAAGCTAAAATCTCGAAGAAATCAGAGAGGGACCCCCTTCATCCATGGCAGCAACAGTGAAGAGTATTGATAGTGTGATATAATCTGATGGGGGATTCAAAGCTGGTGCTGTTTGCAGGGGAGAGTGGGGAGAGGCCTTTAGGAGGCAGTGAGGTTCGGGGAGAACACTTAGCTCTCCTCCAGGCAGGCCCAGGGGTACAAAGGCTAGGAGAGAAACATCCTCACCCTGAGGGGCTGCAGGGTAAGCATTGTCCTGGGGAGAGATTTGGAGGGAAGAGAAGAGATTAAAGATGTATGGGATTTTGTTCATAATGTAACAGGAATTACAGAGGCACAGAAGAAGGGGTTCAGGAGATAGGAATGGGAAAGAGGACAGAATCGTGGGGATGCAGAACCATAGAGGGATTAGAAGGTGTGAGAGGAGGGTGACCTGCCAGGCTGGCACTCCCATGATAACTGAAATATACAGAGGGCATAATGAGATTAGTCCTGCTAAACTCAAAACAAATATTGGTGTTAACACTGTAAGTATGGAAAGGTAGAGAGAAGTAGGTACCTCAGGCCTCCTCTTGAGCCCCCAAAATGGAGGGATAGATGGCCAAGAGTGGCAAGGTCATAATTCCTGAGCTCAGGGACTATTCTTCATGCCTGTAAGTGACTCGGAGATACAACTATCCTCCTTGAATCTTGTATATGAGGCTACAGACATTTAGGAAAACCCAGAGTGCCCTCTGCCTCACCAAGACCAAGTCTCCACTTGACTTCAGTCAATGAAGGGTAGAAATTTTGTTGGTTTTTTAAGGTATTTTGTAAATATTGTTAACTTCCTCATATCTAATATAATAAAAATAATGAGACTATCCTAGTAACAAGAGAAAGAACTCTTATGGAAACAGACATAAAAATTAAAGGGAAAATTGAGAGTGGTGAAAAAGGCCAAGTATCACTTCTTTGGAGAAACTTTGAACTTGCAAACAACTTAATTTAAGAAGAACCTTAAGGACCTAACCTGTTTACGAGTAAAGGAGCTTCATAAATTCACTAGCCAATATTCAGAACATCATGTGTCCCAGATAATAACACATTGCTATATTGCAGATAACTGATCTATAATTCACATCATTGTTACTCTTTTGAATGATTTTCTGATGTTACTGCAATCAGAGGAAGAGAAGAAAGCCTGTTTGGAAGATAAAGCTCTGACCTTAAGGTATTTATTGTCAGACTCACAGAATGATGGATGTAAAAACACGGTCAAGGGAAATCATCTAGTCCCAGTGGCCCTTTTCTTCCATTTCAGAGGCGATCCTACCACTCAATACTTGGGAGGTCTCGGTTTACACTTGCATTGAAATTTCCTTTTTCATGTATCTGTTTCTTTACTTTGAACCTGCTCACAAGCTTCTGGAGAGGAGGCTGTCCTGTGTATAATTCATGATGCACAAACACTTCATGGTCAATTGTATTGATTCTATCCCAATCCACAAATTCCAAGGGACTGCCTGAGTTTTCCTACATTACTGCTTTACCTATAGTATTACTTTCTTTTACCTATAGAGCTATGTACAGAGAGCCTTTCTCTTGCGACTCTGCATTGGTGTTGACATAGACAGCATTTTTGCCAGTTTGACGCCAAGGTCCTGGAGCTTAGCTCTTCTGGCCATTTCAAAGGAGATCCTTACTGAACATGAGTAGCCTGAAACACCAGCAGGAGGAAGGTAGGTGAGAGCCCTGGGCAAGCCTCTGAAAGTTTGGAAAGTTTGTATGTCCTGAGGGGGGTTGGAGGTACATGCCCTAATAGGACTTTCCTTTGCCCTTGACACAGTGCCTCTTATTCATGGTAAGGAGATGTTCAGACCTCTGCCACCTGGCTTGGAGTGTCTAGGCAAGTATCATGGAGGCAGTGACATTTAAGAGATGAACAGAACTTTCTTAAGCAAACAATGAGGGTGGCTGTCATTCAAACAAGTGAATAACAGAACATAAAGGATCTGTGCATGGGACAGAGTACAGGGGATAAGCACAAGGGACAGAGAATAATTCTGAAGGCACGAAGGGTCCCTGGCAAGCACAGAAGGAGAGATGGATGTCCACTATTCTTTGACTTCTGAAGTCTCCCTCACCCTTCATGCCCTGCCCAAAGAGAACTCCTGCACATAAGGTATGCCTCCCTCATCTCTCTGCCCCCAGTCTCTCAGAGTATTCCTCCTGGTGCACAGATCATATTCGGCCTTCATTGTACCAATGCATCACTCGCAATTTTTGTCCTCCTTCTTTAGATGACAGGGATTACATCCCCTGGGTTCAGTATGCAGCCCTCTGTAAGCTCTGCTCCTAGCTAAGGCTGTTTTCTACTTTTTAGAATGATAAACGTGTGTGTGTGTGTGCGCGCTCGCGCGCTACTATAGACTGCAAACTCCTCGAGCACAGATACTTTACCCTTTGTATTGAATGACAGCCTTCCTTCATTGTTTGCTTAAGAAAATCCTATTTGTCTCTTTTTTTTTTTTTTTTTTGAGACAGAATCTCGCTCTGTCACCCAGGCTGGAATGCAGTGGCATGATCTCTGCCCACTGAAACTTCCACCTCCTGGATTCAAGTGATTCGCCTGCCTCAGCATCCTGAGTAGCTGGGATTACAGGCTCGCAACACTGTGCCTTGCTAATTTTTGTATTTTTTGTAGAGATGGGGTTTCACCATGTTGGCCAGGCTGGTCTTGAACTCCTGACCTTAGGTGATCTGCCTGCCTCGGCCTCCCAAAGTGCTGGGATTACAGGCATGAGCCACTGCGCCCAGCCCCTATTTATCTCTTAAATGTCACTGCCTCTGTAATACCTGCCCAGATACTCTGTGTCCCCAAGCCCTCTGGTTCACATATCTCATAAATAAACTGATTATACGTTAACGGTGTTCTAATTTCATCAGTTACAAATCTATTATTGTCTTTTACTGAAAGGGCGAGACTTTGATATTACTCATCTTTACATCTCTAGCTCTTTGCCTAGTGTCTGGAACATATTAGGGCAAAAAAAAAAAAAACACCTTGTTGACCTGAACTGGAGGGATTTCATGGGCAGAAGCCCATGTAAATAAGGTAAAAATTACATGATATGACTTTAGGATGCAGAAAGATCTTTCCTTCCCCCAACAAGTTTTTTCTTAACCTCTGATCAGGGCAGGAAATTGTACCAGGAGGCCTCTGCCTCTTTAGTCTTGGGCTTTAATTACATTGCAGAGTGGCTGTCCTAGGAACAGTTTCCATTTAAAGCCTCCCTATCCCTGGAGGGTCATGACTCCGAGCTTCCCAAGGTTGTGGGGTAACACACACTGGGCCCACTACACATCTTTTCATGGTATCAGTGCCATTATCATGGTTCCCTAGAAGCTGCCCTGACCATGAACAGCAAGGGGAACAGGAGCATAGACAACTCAAACAGGGAAAATCTTTGGAGGAAGGAAATGGGCTACAAAGGAGATAAGAGAGAGGAGAACCCTTGGTTGGAAAAAACTGATTTACAACTCATTTTACACCATCATCACTACCACCCTCTCACCCACTCTGTTATTTAAGTCCATTGCCCTGTCACTTAAAAAATTCAAGGACTTTTCACCTTGCAGTGCATTTAACATACATTTAGAGGAGCAACTTAAGGCTCTCCAATGCCAACTCTCCTTACACAATCTGTAGATAAGAATCAGAAACTGATCTCACCCTTGACAGAGTAATGCCGATTGCTTTGGGCAGGACAAGAGTAGGCTGACACACCAGTGCCAAAGTGAAGCCAACCTAGGAAGAGGCTAGGAGGAAAATGAAATTCCACGCTGTTCATGTAAAGGCAAGAGCCATGGGTGCTCCATGAGGCTGATTCACCATTCAAATGGTAATGACAAAAACCATTCAAAAGGCAGTAACTTCTCTTTGAGTAGGTTAATTTTATTGTTAGAGATCATGGGCTGATAACCTGACCATAGATGAAGATGCGGGATTTTCCTTGATATCTTTGCCTGCTCTGAGAATCGAGCACTGTAAATAAAACATGGGAATAGGTGCTTTCCCATTTTTTGTGTGTTTTCCAGTAAAAGTTTATTTTTTTAATTATTATTTTAAAAAAATTCTTTTAGGGACAGAATTGCCCTATTGCCCAGGCTGGTATGCAATGGTGTGATTATAACTCACTGCAGCCTCCAACTCCTAGGCTCATGTGATCCTCCCATCTCAGCCTCCCAAGTAGCTGGGACTACAGGCATGCACCACCATTACTTGCTAATTTTATAAAGTTTTGTAGGGACGAGGTCTCACTTTGTTGCCCAGACTGGTCTTGAGCTCCTGGCCTCAAGGGATCCTATCACCTTGGCCTACCAAACTGCTGGGATTACAGGCGTGAATCACCACATATGCGGTCTAAAATTCCATTATAAATGAATGCCTTTCAATTAGTTTTACAAAAGAAAAAAAATCCACAAGTATTGATAGGACATTTTCTCCTCTTTTCTCCTTTTCTTTACCAAGTCCCCAACCTCAGCCGTTCCCTAATTCTAATGACAAATTTAATTGGCTCAGTGGAAAGAACAAAGAGGATTGCAGGTGCTGGGGATATAATCGACACAATTACTTGGTCAGCTCTTTTCAAATATTATTTATTGAAGCCTCTCTATGTGTCTAGTACACTCAGGTGCTGAAGGAGTTACAAAAAATGCAAGTGCCATGATATTTGACCTCAAAGGGTTGCATACTCTTTGGTGATTTTAGGCTTCCATACAGAAAATATTGCAATAGCTGGTAAGTTTCAGTAGCCTTTCCCCCTGGCCCAGCCTTTCTAAGAAAGTTTCAGGAAAAAGGATCTAGCATATTGAGTGTTGGCTATTCACATTATTGAACTTAACTGGAACCCTGGCATGGTAAATTTTGTGCAGTCATGTAAGTACCAAGCTTCACCCTTTTTTTTTTTTTTTTTTTTGAGACAAGAGTCTTGCTCTGTCACCCAGGCTGGAGTGCAGTGGCACCCTCTCGGCTCACTGCAACCTCAGCCTCCTGGGTTCAAGCAATTCTCCTGCCTCGGCCTCCCGAGTAGCTGGAAGTACAGGCGTGTGCCACCATGCCCAGGTGATTTTTGTATTTTTAGTAGAGTTATTTTACCATGTTGTCCAGGATGGTCTCAATCTCTTGACCTCATGATCCACCTGCCTCGGCCTCCCAAAGTGCTGGGATTACAGGTGTGAACCACCTCACCCAGCCCAAGATTCCCCCTTTCAACAGTGCACAGTGTTTACCCCTTCACCAATATCCAATGCCTCCCTCATTCTGCCAGATGACTTCCTGGGCACTGCTCCTGCAGTTCACTAAATCAATCATCTCTGCTCTAGGACAGAAGCCACTGCTCTGCTCTTTTCCCCAGAGTCTCATCCTCAGTTGTAGCCTAGACCTCCGTCCCCTCTACAAGTTCTTCTTGACTTATAACTCTTCTGGCCTCTGTGTTTTACAGGTTGTGTCTTCGAGTCTGTGTCCTTTAAACTGTGTGTTCAAGCCTGTGTGCTTGTACCTGCATCCTCTAGCCTGTGTCCCCAAGTCTCTGTCCTCTAGGCTGTGTCCTCTAGACTGTTGTTTCTCTTTAAACCAAACCTCCCTCATCTTGCTTTCCCCCCCTACAAACTTTCTACACTTCAATATAAACTGTAATTTCTTCCCTCTCAACATCATTTTCATTAGTAGGCTAGGGAGCAGATTTAGGGGAAGTGGTTTCAGTTTGAAACATTGATTTGGGGTGCCTATGCAGTATTAATCTGGAGATGCCTCATATGCAATTGAATGTGTGGATCTGAAACTCACAAATAAAGTCAGTGCCAAGGGCATAAGATTGGAGAGTTGGCAACATGTAGAAATTTCTTTCTTTCTTTTTTTTTTAATGCACAACAAAAACTCTGGAATGGATGGAGATTGCTCGGTGACTACAAGAAGAAGAGAAGTCTGAGAGTGGTAGTACCTAAAAAATACATTTAAAAGATAGATAGTCAGGCCAGGCGTGGTGGCTTACTTTTGTAATCCCAGCACTCTGGGAAGTGAAGGCTGGTGGATCACTTGAGGTCTGGAGTTTGAGACCAGCCTGGGCAACATGGCAGAACCCCTTCTCTACTAAAAATATAAAAATTAGCTGGGCATGGTGGCATGCATCAGTTGTCCCAGATACAAAGGAAGCTGAAGCACAAGAATCACTTAAGGCTAGGCACGGTGGCTCACACCTGTAATCCCAGCACTTTGGGAGGCTGAGGCGGGTGGATCACGAGGTCAGGAGATTGAGACCATCCTGGCTAACATGGTGAAACTCCATCTCTACTAAAAATACAAAAAGTAAGCCGGGTTTGGGGGCAGGTGCCTGTAGCCCCACCTACTCAGGAGGCTGAGGCAGGAGAATGGCATGAACCCAGGAGGTGGAGCTTGCAGTGAGCCAAGATCACGCCACTGCACTCCAGCCTGGGCGACAAAGCAAGACTCCATCTCAAAAAAAAAAGAATCACTTAAACTCGGGAGGTGGGGGTTGCAGTGAGCCAAGATCCCACCACTGCGCTCCAGCCTGGGAGACAGAGTAAGACCCTGTCTCAAAAATATAAATAAAATAAAATATATGTAATCAGAGGAGAAACCAGAAGGACCAAGAGAAATAAGAGAAAAATGAGATGGATGTGGAGTCACAGAAGCAATGGGGGGGAGAGAGAAGGAAGCAATGGGAGGAGAGAGATAAGGATGAATATGCCATTGACTTCAGGCACTACATTGTGGGTCTGAAATTCATGACCCAAGAAGTTTCAGAGAAAAGAGGAATCAAGAATCTAAGTATTGAATAGATAGACTGAGAAGTAACAGAAAGGTGAGACATTGGTTACAGACCCTTTGATATGGTTTGGCTGTGTCCCCACCCAAATCTCACTTTAAATTGTAATAATCCCCACATGTCAAGGGCAAGGCCAGGTGGAGATAAATGAATCATGGGGGCAGTTTCCCCCATACTGTTCTCATCGTAGTGAATAAATTTCATGAGGTCTTATGGTTTTATAAATGGGAGTTCCCCTGCACAAGCTGTCTTACCTGCTGCCATGTAAGAAGTGACTTTGCTTTTCATTCACCTTCTGCCATGATTGTGAGGCCTCCCCAGCCATGTGGTACTGTGAGTCAATTAAACCTCTTTCTTTTATAAATTACCCAGTCTCAGGTTTGCTTATTACCAGCGTGAGAACAGATGAATATATTCTTCTTCTGAAAAGCTTTAACTGGAGCGAAGGAGTCATGTGGTAGCCTAGAGGGCAATGTGGGATCAAGGGGGTTTTCCCCCAGTTTTTTCATGGTCTTTATTGTGGCTACTGCCTTAAGATGTGTTCAACTTGAGCATATTAACAATCTAGGACCAAGAAGCCTATAGACATGGCAAGGTTGAGAATTCCAAAGAGGATAATTGATGCAGCAAGAAACCGAAAGAGATGAAAAGTAGGAATTTAGATGGAGTTTTCAGTCTTAAACTTATTTCCCTGGCTCTAGAGGAGAAGCAGCCAAGGGTAATTTGACATGTGGAAGTGTGGCCTGAAGGTCTCAGTGTCTTTCCTGAAGAAGGAGGAAAAGTCATTATCTTCTGAGAGTGAGGGGGAAAGGGCTGAGAGGTGAGTTGGGAAAAAGTGGTGATGATATTAAAAAGCACAGATAAATGGGAGAAATGGTTGACTGAAGACAAGAACAGAATTGTTAGTTCATCATTCAAGACCCAGCTGAGAGAGTATGCCACCTGTAATAGTCTGTTCGCATATCGCTATAAAGAACTTCCTAAAACTGAATAATTTATAAAGAAAAGAGGTTTAATTGACTGACAGTTCCTCAGGCTGTACAGAAGGCATGGCTGAGGGAGGCCTGAAGAAACTTACAGCTATGGCAAAAGGTAAAGAAAAAGCAGGCACATCTTACATGGCTGGAAAAGAAGAAAGAGGGTGAAGGGAGAAGTGCTACACACTTTTAAACAACCAGATCTCATGAGCACTCACTCACTATCACGAGAACAGCAAGAGGGATATTCCCTGCCATGATCCATTCACCTCCCACCGGGCCCCTCCTCCAACATTGGGGATTACAATTCAACATGAAATTTGGATGAGAACATAGATCCAAACTATATCATCACTCAATTATGCACCTGTATGCACGGTGTCTTGAGTTTCTGTAGCTGTACTCGGCAACTTCTATACTCTACACTAGTTAAGAGTGGAGAAATAAGATCCTAAAATTGATGGCTATTTTGGGGGTTTGTTTATTGGGCCATTGAGCAGAATTTGTGCTCCCTGTAATACATGCTGAACGAGCCTGTGATATGGATTAGTCTTTCCTACCTACCATGCTTCTGCCAACAAGATCCTGTATGGACTTACTCAATGTCTTATTCACCATCACTGTATCATACAACATTCCCTCTCTCAAAGGAACTTATAGTGAAAGAAGTAAGGCCATGTGCTCATCCTCACAGAATTCATGGGTCTTACCATGTGCCCTTCATCCAGAAACAGATGGTCTCATAGTGGAGAAATGGCCCCCTAAGGCCCAGTTACAGCATGAGCTGGGAGATAACACCTGACAAGGTTATAGAATGTGGTATATGCAAATTAGCAACAAATAAATCACCATTTTTAAAGCTGCAGCATCACCATTTATTTGTTGGCTGTGGTATATGCTGTATTAATCCTGTATTAGTTCATTCTCACATCATATGCAAATCACATGCTGATTTGCATATACCACAGTCAACAAATAAATGGTGACTCTGCAACTTTAGATGCCGTGGCTCTCCAGGGGACAGCAAAATGTTCCCATTGAACTAGAAGTTGAGACAGCCATGTAGCTAGTTTGAGCACTTCATGCCATTGAAATAATAGGCAAAGAAAATAAGGGAGATGATTGGTCTTGATGATCAAGATGAAAAAAGATTGTTGTTACACAACGAAGACAGGGAAAAATAGGCCCAGAATGCAGGGGGAAACTATGTCCTTAAAATGGACATATCTATGGTGACAGTTAATAAAGTCTGTAGGAATCCTACACAGACAAGACTGTCAAGGTCCAGACTACTCAGGAATAACTCTTTAGAGTACCCCACTAAGTAAAGAACCTTGACTGATTGAAGTATTGGCTGAGGGCAAAGGTATTAGCAGTAGAGGGATAAAACTATAAATAGAACTATAACCTTGGTTGGGAATTTACAGAAACAGACTGTAATAGATTCTCACATTTTCTTTCATTCACTCTCTCTCCTCTATCTATCTGCCTATCATCTACCTATCTATCATCTATCTATCTATCTGTCTGTCTATCTATCTATCTATCTGGTAACCTCTTTTATCCCTTTCTCTTTCTTTTACTGCTGTGATTGTGATGGCTATCTTTCTAATTTATTCCCTAGGTTAGAGGACTATAAAATCGGATTGTAAATGAACTACAGGAGGCATAACTATTACTCAGAGATGGATGTTCTCACCAATAAGACCTTTGGAAAGGATAAATATGTGTATTACAGTTATTAATAGTTATTATTAAGCCTGATGAATTTGACATTTTAGGTCAAAAAGTCAAATATCACCAATGTCACAAGCTTTAAACTATATCTTAAGTTAGGCAATGTGATGGTTAATTTTGTGTCAACTTGACTGGGCCATTTTATGCAGCAACTTGACTAGACCCAGACATTTGGTTGAACGTTATTCTGAGTGTGTTCGTAAGGGTGTTTCTGGATGAGATTAACATTTGAATTTAGTAGACTGGGTATAGCAGAGATGGCCCTTCCTACTGTGAGTGGGTCATCCAGTCCATTAAAGGCCTGAATAGAACAAAAAGGCTGACCACCCATAAGCAAGAGGGAATTCCTCCTGCCTGATTGCCTTTGAACTGGGACATTGATGTTTTTTCCTGCCTTTAGACTGAAACTGAAGCTTCAGCTCTTTCTAGATCTTAAGACCGCCAGCATTTAGATTGGAACCAAACCATTGCAGGCTGCAGATCTTGCAATTTTCAGCCTCCATAAACCCATCAGCCAATTCCCTATAATCAGTATATATTATTGTTTCTGTTTCTCTGGAGGATCCTGACTAGTACAGGCAGAAACATCAGTTATTGTTTGGAAATTTAAGTATAAGGAAAGATGTATATGAATGTTGAATACCAAAATGGCAGACTGTCACATTACCGGGGATTAGCTTGCTCAATATCCATTCCAACCCTCTCTGGTCCTGTGAATGCTAAATTTCTCAGACTACCTAGTAATGATGACTCTGTATATAGCTTGGGATCTACCATTCTATTGTACTTGTATTGGTCTTCAATTGTGAGTTGACTTATGTGAGAAGAAAGACAGAGTGCAAGGCTTCCTTTTTCTGATGTGGATCAGGGTAGAGAGGTGTGCTTCTGGAGCCAGTAGCTACAGTGATGGCTTTCTGACTTCTTGCCCTGATCTGGTGACTCCAAATCACACCAAAGGCAATGAGATTCTGGAACCAACCACTGCCTCTTCGTGCTGAGGAAGCAGCTCCCTTGGCAGTGCAGTTCTGCAGTGTGGGTTTTGGGAGTTGTTCCTGAAAGTTCCGCCTAGACTAAAGCATGGTTTCCAGCCCTCTCAGTGATTCTATGAGCTATACACACCTTTTAATAAATCTCTCAGCACTTAAACCAGCTAGAGTAGATTCTACTGCTTGCACCTAAGACTGTTATCCGACATACAGGCCACTTGCAACTCAGCCCTGAGTTCTCACCCAGCTCTCCTCAACTCTTCCCATCCACGATGCATATGACTCAGACATGCAGCAGGAGAGCACCCACCATTCTCCCCTTGCCTGCTCTTGTCCTCATCCCTTCTCCCTACATAGCACCGTAATGTTTGACAAGGTTAGGGAATGAACAGTACTCTGGTCAATGTAATGATTCTGCTTAGTGATCTTCAGAATGTGCCCCATTGGAAACCTAAGCAAATATAGACAGGTTGCAAAGGTTTCCTTCTGAACTCTTTTACATCAAATGCTATAAATTGCCTGGTATTTTTTAGCCTTTGCTAAAAAACTATTTACCATGTTGAGATTCTGCCTAAGATTTTCTTTGAGAAAGAGAGTTCCACCACTAAAACATTTTTAAGCCACTGTTCCAGTTACCAATTGCTGTGCTAAAAATGACAGACACATTGAAAAATACTATGAAGAAATGGCCCTGAAGCCAAGGCAGCAGGCTCATGACTTTCTAGACAGATGAATCGCAATTACCTATAGGCATGATTCTTTCCATGGAAATTGATTATCTGCAATAAGCCCCACACTGATAGGTGTGGGGCACAAACAGATAAATCATATACAGTTTCCAATTTAGGAGCTTTCAGCCTAGGACTTAGTATTTAACAGAATACTATATTAAACTTGTTTTGAAATGCTTAATAAAAGTGCTCTGTTCTCTCTGAAACCCAGTGAAAAGAGCTCCAGATTAGGAGACAGTGCCCTGAAACTCTCTCCGTCTCTTCATGCCTCAGTTTCTCATTGGTGATATGGAGCTAATAATTCACTAAGCTACTGTGAGAGGCAAATGAAATGCTAGATGTAAATTCATCCTGTAAACGTTCCCATGCTCCACAAAAGTAAGGCGTTTTGATGATCATGACCTGAATCTTTCCCTAAAGACTTCAGAGTCAGGGATCTCAGAGGGCCTGGCTTATTCCAACGTCCTCCTGAGCTCAGGAGTTGGCTGGCTGTGGGACGATGGGAACAGCAGAGGCTTCAAGGTAACCTTTAACTTTCGTTCTACCATTTACTAGCTGTGTGGCCTCAAGCAGGTGACTTCCCCTCTCTGAGCCTCAATTTCCTCATCATTAAAGTGGGGCCATAGTTCCTCAGCAGGGGGCTGTTGTGCAGATAAAGTGAAATGTTGCATGCAAAATGCCTCGTTCAGTGCCTGGCACACAGCCACTGTTGAGAACTGAGACTTGCCCATGTCTTCGACTTCCCTCCCCTGCCATCTCCAAGGCTCTGCCATGTGGCTCAGTCCAATCCAGCCTTCCAAACAGGCATCCGCTGTCCTGGGGTAACAAAGAAAGAAAGGGTTCTAGGCTTTGTCGTTTACTTTCAGCATAGTTTCTATTTAAGACAGATGTACCACCACATCGAGAATCTTCCAGAGTGAGCAAGTGGTCCAAAAACTGTCCCATTTATCCGATTTATTCAACGGATATTTATTGATTTCCTTTATCAATTTCCCTCTGTGACCTTCACATGGGGCACTCCTGGAGGAGAAAACCTCTGGGGAAGAACAGGTCGCTATTATTTCTCTGGCAAGAGCTACAGAGAGAGAAAAACACACTGCGCATGATAAGGCTGTCAGAGGACAATTGTTTCCAGGGCCAAGTAGTAAGGAACCAAAGGGCATCTCAAGCCTCTGCTGGTGGCATTGGCAGCCTCCTGGGAAGCCGAAACATCTTGCCAACACAGCCCTGAAACAAGCAGAAAGCTGGCTTGGCCCACCAGATCACGCTGAAGTTCTCCATGTGCCAGGAACATGGGGCATTGAATGAAATCCAGGCTGTGCACCTGGGTGACAGAAGGTGACAATACTGAAGGCAATGAGCACTGTCCCCAGGGCCCTAGCATTCTCCCTAACACATGCATTTAAAAGGTTTGGAGATGAGTGAGTGAGGCCAGCTGTGGGCTCCAGGAAACCCTATGCAATTACCTGGAGAGAGAGAAGTCCTTAGCATGAAGGAAGGGCACTGGCAGCCCTTGGCTTTGGCACTGGAACTGAACGCATATCAGGCAGCTGTCCATCCTGGGAACATATCCTGTCGCTACTGACTAGGTCTTGCCCACTTTCTGTGGCTGACCTGCCAGCTCTCCAAGCCACCAGCAAAGGCTATGTATGTGGTGGCAGACATCCACCCGAGGACTCAGCGGGCTTCACAGCTGACTTCTTGGTGTAAGGACCTCGAGGTGTCAGGTAGACAACCTACAAGTTCAGCGACTCCACTGGAAATGATGCCATGATGCTTGAGCATCCTACAAAAAAAGGATGAGAATCAGAAGACATTCAAGGCATCCTTCTGAATTTCTGTGAAGTTCAGCCCCATTATCTCTTCTCTTGACAGTAATGGCTTTCATAACCCAAGAGCAAATATGCTAAAGATGGTTAAAATGAGTAATCCATGGTCACAGTGATCGCCTTAATTTTAGTTCTGTTTACTTAGACAGAACCAAGTTAAAACTCTGTCTTAGATACATTGGGACCATTGAGTCATTGGGTGTTTCTCAGCACAATTCTAGATTAACCTCTTTCTTTTTTTTTTTTTTTTTTTAATTTTGAGATGGAGTCTCACTCTGTCACCCAGGCTGGAGTGCAGTGGCCCCATCTCGGCTCACTGCAACCTCCGCCTCCTGGGTTCACGCCATTCTCCTGCCTCAGCCTCCCAAGTAGCTGGGACTACAGGCGCCCACCACCATGCCCGGCTAATTTTTTGTATTTTTAGTAGAGACGGGGTTTCACCGTGTTAGCCAGGATGGTCTCGATCTCCTGACCTCATGATCTGCCAGCCTCAGCCTCCCAAAGTGCTGGGATTACAGGCATGAGCCACCGTGCCTGGCCTTAGATTAGCCTGTTTATACAGAAATCCCACATGATCATTACATAGTACAGGAAGGTGAGAAGAAATATCCTTGAATGTGGGGAATGGAGTTAAGGGATAGAACTGCAGAATAGGGTATCTGTTGGTATAGACAAAATCCTAACACACAGTAAATTGTTTTCTTCTCCCTTTTTCCCTTGAGTCTCAAACAATAATAGTTCAAAATCCAACAGGCAGTGGAGTTCCAGACACCCAGTGCTATACTGGGAAATCTGCATTGAACAGGAAGCACCCACATACCTGTGCAGACTCTATCCCGCTACCTGGAAATTCATTTTCTGCAATGGGGCACTTTGCATTATTCAGAAGCATAATCAGCTGGTGAGTATGAATGAGGTCAGAAACTCATCATCCCTCTTGTCTGTGTAAAATCCTCCCCACCAAGTATTTCTCAGTGCCCTCTGGCATGTCTTTCATGTTTGTGAATAATTTTGGGCTTGTTTTTCTCCCATGGAGCTCTGCTGGGTGTCTGCCAGATCTCCACTGTGGAGAGGCTGCTGTCTAGGGCCTCCACTCCTGTCAAGGGCCTGTATTCCTGAGTCCCTAAATTTGTGCCTGAAGGCTGTGTTTCCCCAGCCCTCACTGAACTAGAGCCAGGCTGGTGCTCTGCAGAAATCCGGAAATGGGGAGGACACTGCCCCTTTAGGAAGGGGTTGAGCTGGACAGCACTCCATTGCCACCACCTCTTTCCTCTGTCCCCAGGTGTCTTAGCACCTCAGGCTTCCTACTCAAGGGTCCCCTTCTGGGTCCTCCTCCCATGCAAAGCAACTCACCTAAGGACACTTGGGGGCCCCACGTGCCTCTTACCCTTTCTCAGATTAAACTCAGCCAGGACCCCGCTGCCCTAAGAAACCCCAAAGCACCCAAGGACCCACAACATTTAGAAAAGACTCACAGGAGATGAGACTTGAACAGGATTTCAAAGCGAAGGAGACAAACAGAAAAGAGGATGAGAAGATGGCACAGGAACTCAAGGATGTGTCATATTTGCTTTGTCATTGAGAAGAAAAAGGAAGAGATGACAAAAGAACCCGGCAGTTCCTAGGAGCCCAGCCCCGGGCAAGCTCTTTCTCCATGTGTTATTTCATTTAATCCTGAAAACAACGTTATTAATTCCTATCATTGGTGCTTTACAGATGAGAAAACCACAGCTTTGACTGATTAAATCATAGCCTTTCTTAACACCATGAATTATACTTTGGGAAATAGTACTCCAGAGAAGTTCTTCTCAACCAAAGAGTCAGGATCCAGGGGAATAGGGGGCTAAGCGTGGACTGGAGGAATGAAGACACTTGGCTTCCAGCTTTTTGTATGTCAGTCTCCTTGGTCCACACCACAGAGCTCCTTTGGACATCATTATATCCGCAAGATGTAATCATTACATCTTCTCAGGCCAAGCAAGGTACAAAGTGCCAAAATCTTAAAAGAGGGGGCATTGGATAGAAAATATTGGACAACCTCTTTTCCTAAGAGAAGAAGATCTTTAGAAGAAAATAAAGCTATTTATACCTCTGTTTCTAAATACAACCATTTTTATACCTGCCCTGGAGTTGGTTCCCAGAAGAGGATACCCATTCCATGGCTTTCTTTGAATTGGCATTTCTAACTTCAAACTAGAGGAATTAGTCAAAGTTCTTTAACACACTAAACCACCCATAGGAATGGAACTCACCAATATAGGGGACAGGCAAGCGGGTTTCTGGGTTCTTTAGTCATTGACGCAGACACTGCATTTACTGAGTGTCCTCTGTGGGACAGCATCATTCCAAGTGCTGGGCTAGGGATGGAAGCAAGAGGCAAAGATAAATAACTAAGGGTCCCTACCTTCAAGTGAATCTCTCTCAGTGTCTCTCTCTTTCCTCAAAACAGCTTTGTTTGGTCCCCACAAAACACGAGATGTCCCCTGATATGGTGACATCATCAGGGCATCTTCCCTTATTAGAAACATTCTGGCCTATTTATACCCTCAAAGTTTTTCAAACTCACTGGCAGTTCCACTCCTATATGCAAGTTTTAAAAACTGGTACACCAATGGGTTAAAACAATGCCACTGATGAAACAAGGAAATATTCAACCGGGCTTTGCAAATTCCAAACAGTTTTCTCTGTATACAAATAAACCCGGAAGCATAGATTGGAACAAAGATGACCCTGTAACACAATCCTCTCTGTGCAAATAAGAATGTGTGAGTGGGGTGATGTGCTCTTTGACCAAAACTCCTGTCCAGGGGAGTTGGGTCATGTCTTGGCCTTTGACCACAGTTTTCTGGGAGGTCAGCAGCATCCCAACACCTTGGGAGCAGAATGAGCTAAACTATGGAGACTCAAAATCGAGGCTGTTTTCTTGTATGGCAGAAAGTAAAGAGCACCAGACCAGGGTTCAAATAAGACCGATCCCAATATTTCAATTTGAATCACAGCTCTGCAACTTACTGGCCATGAGTTCCCAGGCAACTCACATAAGCCCTTGGATCTTCAGTTTTTCTATCTATAAATGGAGTGGAGGAAGGGAGTAACAATGCCAGCTCTGACGACCTCAAAGAAATATTGTGAGATTCTAAAGACATAATTTGCTTGAAACCATGCTGTAAACTGCCTAATGCACCCCAAATATAAGAGAGTCCCATCATTATTACTATAATAGTCTCTACAGTGGTATGTTTAGAAAATTCAAGTAGTTCCAAGTGTGTGTCTATTTGTGTCCTACTATTTCTCTTTCGCAGAAATAAAAAGTCGCTACCAGGACTGGGCGCAGTGGCTCACGCTTATAATCCCAGCACTATGGAAGGCCAAGGTGGGTGGATCGCTTGAGCCTAGGAGTTTGAGACCAGCCTGGGCAACATGGCAAAACCTCATCTCTACAAAAATACAAAAAAAAATTAGCTGTGAGTGGTGGTGTATGCCTATAGTCCCAAATAATTGGTAGACCGAAGTGGGGAGGATCACCTGAGCCCCATATGACGAGGCTGATGAGCCGAGGCTGTGGTGAGCCGTGACTGCACCACTGCACTCCAGCCCAGGTGATAGAGTGAGAGCCTGTCTCAAAACAAAACAAAACAAAAACAAAAAACAAACAAACAAAAGTAGCTACCTGCTAAATAGAAGACCAGCCCAACAAACAGATAGGCAATGATTTGTGAATTCTCTTGAGTTCAGCCATTCTGCTTCCATCTAGCGTCAACTGAAGAATGTCACGTACATGCTTGTTACTATCAGGTGTCCTGCTGAAAGAGCAATCTGGACATGATTTTCATTCTTGCCAAAAATCTGACTTCTCTTCTTGTACTACAGGCAGAGGAATCTGCCAGCCGGAGGCCCCTTGAGGCCAAGGAAGGAAGCCCAAGCTTTATTCCATCCCAGCATTACTATGTTGATGTGAGTGACAGCCCTTACAGGAAGCTGCAGCAAAGCCTCTACTACTGTCCCTTCTGCCTTGTCCTGGGCTCATGATTCCCACTCCCTGGAGCAAAGCCGACTGCTGCTATGAGAACAGGTCCTTTTGGTTTCACAGAGGACTTTCAGCAACTACGACCTTCCTATTTTATGATTAATAATTCACCCTTAGTTCCCCCAAAGCAGATAGGAGCTCAATCATAAAATACTCATCCTATCGCCATACTAATTGTTTTCTGTTGGCCAAAGAGAAAGTGTCAATTCCTCAGCTAGGTATACAGCCTCACAATTTGCTCCTAGTCTGGCCTTTCAGCCCACATCAATTTTGTCTATCTCTCTATTAATATATTGTTCTACCTACCCACCTAGATTCCTACCTATCTACTCTATCTACCTTTTCATCCGTAAGATATATAAATAATTATAGGAGAAGGAATTATTCCAAGTTCCAGAGGGACACACTGATGTAATTGTACCTGAAACAATACGTATTTATGTGAGTTGCACCTAAACAATATATATTTATAATTAATTTGTGCATTGATTGTCTCTAATAGCCAACCTACACTTATTCAGATGTAAAACATAGTTATTCAGACATTACACATACACTCTCAGTGTGGGCAGAAGAAGCTTTTGTCAGCTTTATTTAACTTATTTTAGAGTGACTATTTCTTGTTTAGAAAAGTTGGATTTGAGCTGCCTTTTTAGATTACTCTGACTTGCAAAGATCTCCACTTGCCTCATAATACCCCAGTACTCATCTGCTGTTCACACACAGTTTTGTGTTATCTCTCAGGAGGCTGAGTGTCCTATTTCTGTCTTTGTCTTAATTCCTGGTGAGTTTGCATCCACATTCAAATGGTCAGATAGCTACAGAACACCCCCAGGAGGTGCTCAGCTTATTTAGATTCTCCTGCCACCACCATAATGTGCTTGTGGACCCACTCCCACCACCTTTGTGAATTCACATTCTCATACTTTCGATCTAAGATGAATGCTCAAATGCCTGCTGACCAAAATTTGCTTTACATCATGGCTTCAGTGGGTAGCCTCCATAGTTTACACTCATCCGAAAGCTGAGATTGAAACACCATCATCTTCTGCTCTAGGTCACAGCTCCTCGTAGATGTCCCAGCAAGCCTTGACTTGGCTTGTACTTGGGGACCACTTGACTCTGTCTTTGGTCCATTTGTGACTTCCATCTAGATTGCTGCACTTTATCACTTTTCTTATCAAAGTCCAACCCCCCTTCAAAATCCAACATAAATCCCACTTCTTCTGACCCTACTTCCTCTGAGAAGCTTTCTCCATCTATTCACAGCCAGATCTGACATAGTGGAAGCAACCCTAGCACTTTCATCCTCTGTCCTGGTGTGGCACTTACTGTACTAGCAACTATTTTGTTGCTATTTTTTTCTCTGATTGTAGTGCCTGGAAGGCAAGGGCTGTCTGCCCCTACATGACACTTTGTTCCTGGTGAGTTAGAGAGACTCCATTCTGGGTGCGATGACACAGGAATCTTGCAGGGCTGAGAAGACGCAATGCAGAAGTGTTCAGTGGAGTCCACGTGGTGACCATGAATTCCCCCATGCCTGCTTTTACGAGGAATGCTAGTTCTGGGGTCCCAGAAGAGCCTTGATCATAGAAACTTTGACTATACGGACTCTTTGGAGAAAATAATACCACGCCCCGCTTTGGCCAAATGAGGCTACTAAAGCCAAGGTAAGGGTGACAGATTCTCATTCATGCAATTAGTTAAACAACAGAGGTGAAACTAGAATAAAATGAAAAGCCACAACCACCCAGAATGCACAGTACAAATCTAAGTTCCTCACTGAAGAGTTTGAAGATTTAAAGAACACCATTCTTCTTCTTCTTCTTCTTTTTTTTTTCCTTTTTCTAGAGACAGGATGGGTCTCAGTCTATCACCCAGGCTGGAGTGCAGTAGTGCTATCATAGCTCACAGCAACCTCGAACTCCTGGGCTCAAATGATCCTCCTGCCTCAGCCTCTGAAGTAGCTGGGGCTACAGGCACGTGCCATCACACCCAGCTATTTTTAAAATTTATTTGTGGAGATGGGGTTTCAGTAAGTTGCCCAGGCTGGTCTCAAACTCCTTGGCTAAAGCGATCCTCCTGTCTCAGCTTCCCAAAGTGGTGGGATTACAGTCGTGAGCCACTGCACCTGGCCAAAACATCATTCTTAATATTGGCTATCACTGTCATCAACATTTACTGAGTATCCTCCTTAGTCGAGGCTCTCCAGAGTCAAGGTAATGAAAAAGAGAAAAATTGGCAAAGCAAATCCACCTCTAGTTCAACAGGAGAAACAGAGTTATCACTGTGTGGGGGCTGTTCAGAGACCAGATGAGGCAGATGACCCTGGAGACGCAGTGTGGTCAATGGGGGAGGGAACTGGCTTGCCATATGGGATCTGTCCCAAGCTAGCTGTGCCATCTTGGACTGGTTCTTCAAGCACTCTGAACTTTGGCTTTCTTATCTGGAAAATAACTGTGACCATCTTTTTTAGCTTGCACATTCTGAGACTGTTTCTCATGTAGTGTATGGGTGATAAGACCTCAAGCTTTTTATTCTCTGGCAAAAATTCAATGCCCAGTGGAGCTAACCTTATGCCTGTGTGTAGCTGGTGTTTATATGAAAGCCCCTCCATCTTAGGACTAAGTAAATGATTCCTGAATGTGAAAAAGGAGGCACTCATTCATGTCTTCCTAGCCCTTCCACACATTGTCTTGACTTGATCTACTTTTCCCTTGCTTTGAATCTTATAAGAGGGAGGAGACGTGCTCAAGTGTAAAAGGTTGTGTTAATTGTATTTCTCAGCTCACACCACATTATCATCATTAGACCCTTAGAAGGCCCCTTTCCTGTTTATGTATTTATTTACTGTCTTCTAACTCTATTCTTCACTCCT